>NC_000002.12:15531607-15838363 GCF_000001405.40 Homo sapiens
CCCTGCATGATTCAGCACTCACCACGCTCTCTTTGACCTCACCTTATTACTCTGTGTCACTATCTGCTTCAGCCTAACTGTCTTCACTGCTGTTCCTAGAAAATGCCAAGCACACTTCTAACTCAGGGCTTTTGCTTTGGCTATTCCTGCTGATAGAATACTCTTCCCCCAGATACCTAAAAACTAGTAATACCCTCACCTATTCCAAGTCTTTGCAAGTCACCTTCCTCAATGAGGGTAATGTGGCCACCATATTTCAAACTAGAACT
Source organism: Homo sapiens (assembly GCF_000001405.40). Taxonomy (NCBI): domain Eukaryota; kingdom Metazoa; phylum Chordata; class Mammalia; order Primates; family Hominidae; genus Homo; species Homo sapiens. The sequence continues at coordinate 15,531,877 of NC_000002.12, forward strand.
TGCCCCCTACTCTCCCACCCTTCCATTCTCCATCTCTGATTATTTTTTTCCCATAATACTTAGCTCCTCATGTACTTTATATTCATTGTTTGTTGTCTGTCACTCCCTCGAAAAGTTCCACGAGGAAGATATACCCTAAGCACCTGGAACAGTATGTGGCACAGAGTAGGAAATCAATAAATGCTTGTTGAATGAATAAATGAATAAATAAAAATGGAAAATCACTGAAATCATGAAATATGGAAAATCATTGAAATCATGAAATACTATACAAGCTTCTTTTCTTACCTGTAAGTATCAGCTACATAACCATAATAATAATCATACTATAGGACAGGCATGGTGGCTCACGCCTGTAATCCCAGCACTTTGGGAGGCCGAGGTGGGCGGATCACGAGGTCAGGAGATCGAAACCATCCTGGCTAACATGGTGAAACCCCGTCTCTACTAAAAATACAAAAAATTAGCCGGGCTTGGTGGCAGGCGCCTATAGTCCCAGCTACTCGGGAGGCTGAGGCAGGACAATGGCATGAACCCAAGAGGCAGAGCTTGCAGTGAGCCGAGATTGCGCCACTGCACTCCAGCCTGGGCGGCAGAGTGAGACTCCATCTCAAAAAAAAAAAAAAAAAAAAAACTATAAAATTATGATATAACAGGATTTAACATATAACAGGAGAACAAAGTGAAAATTCTTTGTGCATACTCGTGGTAGAGTAAGAAAACTAAATATCCATCTTCCACAAAGGGAAGTAAATAAACATTGTGTAAAATTGGAATCAAGAAGTACAATGTAAGCTTTTTATTTAAATGTATGAAAACAATCAAAAGAATCAATTAAAATAGCTAAAAGTGGTTACCTTTGGAAAGCAAGAAGTTGGGTGGAGGAGTCAGTTTTTAAAACTAAACACTTGAAATTATGTGCAAATACAACTCATAAAAATTAAATGTAAATATAAGAAAAAATTTTTAAGAAAAGTCACATCTTGGTAAAAAAAAATACTCATTATGCATATAATAGACTAAGAATTAATATCTAGATTATATAAAAATGTCAACAACAAACCCCCTATCAAAAGAAAAGAAACAAAACCAGCATTTCATAGATGAGAAAACATGAATGGCCGATAACATATGAAAAGCTACTCAGTTTCATCAGTAACCAGGGAAGTACAAATTAAAACCAGAGTGACATGTTCTTTTACACCTACCAAACGAGCAAACATTTAAAAGTCTCACACCATCGAGAGCACTAACGAGAATGTGAAACGAGAGACACTTTCATAAGCTGCTGTTGGGACTGTAAACTGGCACAAATACTCTGGAAAACATTTGACATTATCTAGTAAAGTTGAAGATGTACTAACCTGACAATCCAGCATTGGCACTCCTAGTTACATATCCTATAGAAACTTTTGAACATATATATCAGAAGAATGCATAATTATTTCTACCACAGTACTATCTTTATAACAAAAAATTTAGAAACAAACCAAATTTTCATCTATAGGAGAATGAATAAATATGTTGCAAATTATTTGTAAAATGAAATGTCCTAAATAGTAGTTAAAAATGAATAAACTAAAGCAAAACGTGCACCAAAAAGGAAGTCACGAAGTGAGACTTGTATGTCTTCTGTGTGATTCCATTTACGTGAAGTCAAAACAGCAAAACTAAATATGAATGAGTGATAAAACTATAAAGAAAGCAAGAAAATCATATACACAAAACTCAGGACAGTAATCATCTCTAGAACGGAGACGATGGGATTGGGGAAGAGCACAAGGAGGACTTCGGGGGGTGTGCGTGTGTGTGTGTGTGTGTGTGTGTGTGTGTGTGTGTGTGTGTGTGTGTGTTCTAGTATAAAAATTTCATAATAATAAAGTCCTGAACTAAACACAGACATATGACTGAATAGAATACAAACCTGCATACATTTCCAAGGAAAAAGACTTAAGTATACTGAGATTCCAAGTTAAGGACTTGTCAATAAACACAGAGTAAATCTCAAAATTCAAAAACTCAAGTTATGTTTGTCTTATTCAAAATATGATACTCTTCCCATTTATGAAACCAAACATTTAGCTTGGCTATCCTATAAAACGTATATGGCTTCTGTTCTCAAATAACAAAATTAAAGGGGAGAAATCACTGGAAGTAGAAAATGCCATAAGGTTTCTAGTAAGCCTCAATGTAGATGCAAATACACAGAAAAGTGGCATATGTGAATGATGGGACACAGTTGCTGGAAGGAACTGTGCAACATCAGTGCAGCGGTAACTAGCAAGGAAAGAAAGAAGGGAAGTAGCATCTACTGAGGCCGTTCTGTGTGAGGGCACTTTATATATAGCACTAGTTCTCTCACTAATTCTCTTGAGTTATGTATCATACCCATTTTACAGATGAGAAAAATAAGGTCCGGGGGTTAAAAGAGGAGAATAAATTCCTCATTGAATATTCCCAGTGCCCCATCTGGCTCAGAAGAGCTCAGTGAGCCAGATAGATAAGCATGAATAATCAGATGACAACAGTATTATAGATATTAAAGATAACTACGCACAAGAGGAGGAAATTAAGAAGTCAACATAAGAATCAGAATAGTTTCTTCTATCTGAATCTATGCCAACATTTCTATGTCCCACTAAATATGAGAACAAATGGTTACTTACCTGTGACCAGGGTGGTAAATAGCTGTGTTGATTCCATGAGGATAATGACTACTGAAGCTGAAACAGTGACTTTCTTGGTAGCTCTGATTTGTTCCAACACTAAATTTAAGAGGGTATGAAAGAAGTAAATACCATTAAACCACAATGAATATCACTAAATACCCAATAAAATGTTTAGAATTTAAAAGACAGACAATACCAAATATTGCTGAGGATATAAAACAACCAGAACTCGAATACGTCACAATGAGAAGGTAATTGATAAAACCACTTGGTAAAAAGTGTAGTTTTTTATAAAAATAAACTATGTCTCCCCTATGACCCAGCAATCCCACTTGAAGATACTGACCCAAGAGAAATGAAAATGTATATCCATAAAGACTTGTACAAGAATGGTTGTAACAGCATTATTTGCAGGGGCCAAGAACTGGAAACAGGGTTCTATCAATAGAAGAATGGATTTCTAAAATCATGAGCTATTCATACAATAAAATACTAATTGTAAGTAAAAAGAAATAAACTAGTGATGTATGTAAAAATGTGAATGAATCTCAAAATATGATGAATGAAAGAAGACTTAGATAAAAGAGTACATACTACAGTCATTCCTAGGCATCCCTGGGGAACTGGATCCAGGATGCTCAGAGGATAACAAAATCTGTAAGTGTTTAAGCCCTTGATATAAAATGGCATAGTAGGCCAGGCGCAGTGGCTCACGCCTGTTATCCCAGCACTTTGGGAGGCCGAGGCGGGCAGATCACAACGTCAGGAGATCGAGACCATCCTGACTAACATGATGAAACCCTGTGTCTACTTAAAATACAAAAAAATTAGCCAGGTTTGGTGGCGGGCACCTGCAGTCTCAGCTACTTGAGACACTGAGGCAGGAGAATGGCATGAACCCGGGAGGCAGAGCTTGCAGTGAGCCAAGATCACTCAACTGCACTCCAGCCTGGGCGACAGAGCAAGACTCCGTCTCAGAAATAAATAAATAAATAAATAAATAAATAAATAAATAAATAAAAATAAAAAAATAAAATAAAATGGCATAGTATTTTCATATAACCCACACATATCCTCCTGTATACTTTGAATCATCTCTAGATTCCTTATAATATCCAATACAATATAAATGCTATGTAAATAGTAGTTATACTATATTGTTCAGAGAATGACAAGAAAAAGTCTGTACATGTTCAATACAGACACAATTTTTGAATGTTTTCAATCCACAGTATCAAATCTACAAATGCAGAACCCACAGATACAGAGGGATGACTGTATATTATTCCATTAACGTAAACTATTAGAATAGGCAAAACTAATCTGTGATTTTAAAAAAATTTTAAACACTAGTTGTTCTGGGAGTGGGTATGGAAAGAGATTTACTCGGAAGGGGCATGAGGGAACTTTCTAGCATGATGGTAATGTTCCGTATCTTGACAGAGGTTTGAACTGCACAGATGTACGCATTTGTCATAACTCACCAGCTGGTATAATCAAGATGTATGCATTTCACTGCATGCAAATTTTACCTCAAAAGGAAGAAAACTATAAGCAAATATTAAACTCTAATAATATGCATGCTAAAGCATTTGAGTACTGATATGTCCAACTTACTACGAAATGATTAATAGCCGGATAGAGGGGTGGATATATGAATAGAAATATGATATAGCAAGCACAGTAAAATCCTAATTGTAGAACCCAAGTGGAAGTAATGGGTGTTCACCACACCACTCTTTCAAATTCCCTATTATATTTGCAATTTTTCATAATAGACAGAAAGCAAAAAAAAAAAGAAATATCAAAATCTGACATTAAACCAGAGAAATAAACATTATTTCAAATATGGCTTCCAAAGCACATTTTTACCTTACAAGGTAACTTCTAAGTTCTCCTCGGTAATTGATGACCAGGAGTTCTGCAGACCACTGTGCACTTGCTTTATATTCTAAAAATATCAACCCAGCAATGGCATAGCTTAAGTCACCTATAAAACTAGATGCCTACAGAAGAGGGGGAAATTAAGTTACTAAAAAAAAAAAAACTAGATAAAAGTTAACACATGCATAATTAGAGAATATCTGATACACTGGCTTCAGGTACACTTTATGTAAGATAACTTCAGAATTGCTCTGTATACTCAAGAATCATGCAAGTCAGAATGCCTAGAGCTAGACACCCAAATCTAGACCAGCCCTCTCAGACCCAGGCTGAAACCACAGCAGCCCCTTTGAAGAAGATGTTCACCTACATAGGAAATTTCTATTCAAATTGTATGTCAATTGCAGAAAAAAAACAAAGATAATGCCACCATTCAGCCTCAAAAAACTCTAAGAGCTTGTTTAAAGATAGAAGCTTCCAAATGTTAATTTCCACTGCCAGCAGTAGCCTGCGGTAAAAAAGTCTCCAGTTTCCATTTGCCTAATCAGCAACCTAAAGGAAACTACACATGAAATACTCACTCAGTGTTAACCTTTCTCCATTAACCAAATACCAGGCTAAACTGCTAAAGATTTGAAGGCCTGTACATCTTGGGAAGCACACAAAATAAAGTTTATCACCCATGAAGGGGATTCGAATATGCCGACCCAAAATATGCCACTTTGGCATAAGGATTATTTTGAGCTGAAGGCAACTGAGAATCAACAGACGCAGGAAAAATTCTTTGCCCTCCCCTTAACTGCCTAAAAACAAGGCAAAAATTTATCTTTGTGACAGTGCTCCTCAGTACCAGGAGGAGGAGATGGACTCATCCCTGGAAACCAGAAGTCATACCAAGATGAGTCTGTGTAAACAGACCTTATTAAAATCCCTTTCTTCCATTAATTTGTCCCATGCATTTCTTAGTCACTTTCCCACAATTTACCACCTCAAAAAGCCAAAATTCCCTTTCCTTTGTCTAGTCACATCTCAACAATTTATATCCCTCTATTAAAATGGTATATAAGGCTGGATGGGGTGGCTCACATCTGTAATCCCAACACATTGAGAGGCCAAAGTGGAAGGACCACTTGAAGTCAGGAGTCCAAGACCCAGCCTGGACAGCAAAGCAAGATTCTGTCTTTACAAAAGTTTAAAAGATTAGCCAGGTGTGGCTGCACTATGATCATTATCATTACACCACTGTGCTCCAGCCTGGGCAACAGCAAGACTCTATCTTTAAAAAAAGAAAAAATGGTATATAAGCCTGAGTCTAACCACTTCTTTGAGCTTTCACGTCTTTTCTGAGAAGCTCCCTGTACATGTAAAAATATTAACATCAATAAAAACTGTACAACTTTTCTCCTGCTAATCTGTCTTTTGTCAGTTTAATTTGCAGGCCCCTAGCTGCTAAATTTAAGCAGGCAGAGAAAAAGTTTTTCCTCCCAATCACCCCTGAATGGTTCCTCATTGTCTAGAACCACACAGTCAACACTTGATACACGGCTAGTCCAAATTGAGATATGTCATAAATATAAAAATACCATCAAATTTCAAAAATTTAAAATCAAAGAAAGAGCATAAACTATCACATTAATAATGTTTTATATTGATTACATGTTGAAATAATATTTTGGATATATTGGATGATATAAAATACAGTATTAAATAAATTTCACCTGTTTCTTATTTTAGCTTCTCATTGTAGTTACTATTAAATAAACTTCACCTGTAGTTATTGTATATGTGACCAAATATAAAATTACATTTGAGCACACATACAGCTCATATTGTATTTCTTTTAGCCAGAAATAGTCTAGAAAATAAGAATCCAGACTCCTTATTTTGGCTAAGATTCCCAGAATATGAGCACAACACACGTTTTTAGTTTCTCCACTCATTATTTCTGAAAAAAAAATCATTATCTATATCATTGGTTTTCAACCCTAGCTTCTCACTAGAATCAGCTAAAAGCTTATAAACAATATTAATACCCAGGCCCCACAAAGATCAAATGAATCAGAATCTCTGTGAGTAGCGCCTGGGCAATCTGGTAATTTGTTTTTTTCTTTTCCTTATAAAGCTCCCCAGGTGATTCTAAGATACAGCCAGAGTGAGAACCACTGTTCTATCTGACCCTGTATCTCGTTCAGTTGATGAAGGAGGATAGAAACTAAAAAGCACTATATTCCTAGAAGAGACATTATTCACGGAATTGTCATACAAAAGTCATTTTGTTCCCACTCAATCTTAGTTTTCTAGACAAAATGAGAACATCTGCCCAACCTACTCAAAGGGCTGTTATGAATATAAAATCATAATATATATCAAAGGCATTAATAAAGAATAAAATAGTATACAAATACAAATTACTACTACCATTTGTTTTTCTCTACTCGCCTTTTCAATTTCTATTTCCTGTAGGGTAACGAATTCCAACTCCTCTTGAAGTTGTTCCTGTTGTGACAGACCACTGACTTCTTTCTGTCACTAGAGCTTTATCACAACTTTCTGTACCTATATTTAGTGTTTACTTACTACCACGTGGTTTACATCTGGATAGTGTATTACAAAATACAAGGAATAACTATTGCATGCATACAGATTTCTAACTAGATTCTGGGCGTCTTAAGTCCACAGCTTATTATTCTGATTTATATTTGTATTATCCCCCCCTTCACACTCTTTTATTCAAGTACCTATACATACATGACATTGAAAAAACTATGTTTTCAATTTAAGCTATGTACATACCGGGGAAATGACAAAGAGTTCACTTCCCATGAGATCAAACACCCTCACAGTTCCTGTGCTTTCGGCATAGGCCAGTAGGGTACAATCGTAACTCCATGCTACCCGTCTCCACTGGGGTTTCGGGTCTTTCGGAACTAGAACAAAAGAAAACAAGAGGTGCTTCTAACAATATATTACAAAGATAGTTAATGCTTTTAGTAACTGCAACTAAAGTAAGTATTCAAGTACAATAATTACGTCATCTCCTAAGGATCTCTAATAAAGCTTCCCTCAATAAAAAAGAGCAGTTTCCAGAAACACACTTCAAGTAAGAGTGGGAAATACAAACCACTGCAACTATGCCCTATTTATTTTAGAAGCAAAGTCTACTGATGCATGGTCTGATGAATGCTGAGCATCCCCTGGTCTGGTAAAGGCCCAGGAATAATACACCTCAAAATATCTGTAATACTCAGAGAGATCTAAAGCATACAGAATGGGTAGACAATAATTCTAATCCAATGAGTTCCACTCCTCTAAAAGCAAAAAATAAAAATTGCAACTTGATCTTTTAAATACATCAAATATAGAAGCCAAGATACAAATTGGGACTATGCTAACATTGTATTAGAAAGGGGGGAAATATATATATATATACACACACACACACACTCACACACATATACATACACACATAGAAAGAGGCAGGTAAATCAAGAACTCATGAGTCAATCACACAATTTCAAGATTTTGATAATCAACAACTTAATAATTCTAATAACTCAGCAACTGAATTTTTTTCTGTTCTGAATTTTCAGTAAAATAGAGAGAAAGGCTATCAGCTGCAAAAGAAGAAAAAGAGGATGTGAAACTCTATGTTAGATTTGTTTGAGATTTTTTATTGTTTCGTTTGCTTCGGTTTCATCTTATTGGAATCTCAGAACTGAAGAGTTAGGTAGATAGACAAGTGTTCTTCCTTTCCCAACAAGAATTCAAAATGAGTAGGAGACTCAAGGTGTCACCTTGAGTCAAGAGTAGAACAAAACCCAGAACATCAGCATCCTGTCTTTCCATGCAGTGCAGGTGTCATTACAACACACTGCCTCTCCACCAGAGCCTTACAATTGCCTCAAAAATGCTCCAGAAACGTATGGCCTTCTTTTGATGCCTCTGCCACTATCCCAGCTCAGGTCTCACCATCTCCTGCTTGGCCTACTAACAGGTCTTCTGCCATCTGTCTCTTCCCTTCTATTCCTTCCTCCATACTATCAGACGATATCTTTCTAAAATAACAAGATAAACAGATCACATTCTTCTGCCACTTTAAAAGTCCTGAAGGTTCTCCATTTCCAACAGAATCAAGTCCAAATGCCTCAATATATATGAAAGGCCCTTCCCAAAAGGCCCCATTGTAGCTTTCCAGTTTTGCCTTCTACCACTTCCTCTGTCATATACCTAATAACCCACTCATACCACGACAACCTGGCAAATGAGCAAATATATGCCTTTTGTTTTGTTTTGTTTTTTGTTTTTTTTTTTGAGATAGAGTCTCACTCTGTCACCCAGACTGGAGTACAGTGGCGCGATCTGGGCTCACTGCAACCTCCATCTCCTGGGCTCAAGCAATTCTCCTGCCTCAGCCTCCTGAGTAGCTTGGATACAGGCGTGTGCCACTAAGCCTGGCTAATTTTTTTGTATTTTTAGTAGAGACGGGATTTCACCATGTTGGCCAGGCTGGTCTTGAACTCCTGACCTCAAGTAATCCGCCCGCCTCAGCCTCCCAAAGTGCTGGAATTACAGGCGTGAGCCACCGCACCCCGCCCATACGTGCCTTTTATACATATTGCTGCTCTACCTAGACTGTTCATCTCCAATCTTACTCATCCTTCCAGGTCTAGTTTGTTACCTCCTCCTTCCTTGACACCCTTGAAAACTGGCTGCTCTGTGCCACCAAATATTCTGTACATACCTCTTTCATAGCATTTATCACATCATATTGTTGTTTACCTATTTGCCCCACAAGTCTCTGAGCTCACTGAAATCAGAAACAATGTCTTATTCAACATTCTATTCCCAGGACCTGGAATTCAAAGTGATTAATGTTTCACTAACGAGTGACACCTATGTCTCTCAGAAAAAAAAATCTCTATTAACAGGGCAAGGTAATGGTAAGAGTTCACCATCCCTCCAGGACTACCAATGAAATGTGAATTCTATAACGGAAGTCATCTATCTACCTAAAAGAAATAATGTGTAGAGTTCAGACTTCCCTTAACTTTGTAATACATATTCTAGGGAATATATGGGGAAAGTACACCAGGCATCAACGATTTTCTTCATTTTGATTATTTATCAATAGGTTAAAAGTATACAAAAAAATCCCGGAGAGGTCATTCAGCATGGATAAGTCTAATTAATTTTATTAAAGCCTAACAAGATACTGCATACATTCTGGAACAGCCATTTTTGTAAGTGGGAATAATTTTTTCTAAAAAATCAATTCCCTGTCTTTAGACTGCTAAAATAAAAAATCAAACTTCACGGGAGGGAGGTGGGGGGGTCAGCCCCCCGCCCAGCCAGTCGCCCCGTCCGGGAGGGAGGTGGGGGGGTTCAGCCCCCCGCCCGGCCAGCCGCCCCGTCCGGGAGGGAGGTGGGGGGGTTCAGCCCCCCGCCCGGCCAGCCGCCCCGTCCGGGAGGGAGGTGGGGGGGTTCAGCCCCCCGCCCGGCCAGCCGCCCCGTCCGGGAGGGAGGTGGGGGGGTCAGCCCCCCGACCGGCCAGCCACCCCGTCCGGGAGGGAGGTGGGGGGGTTCAGCCCCCCGCCCGGCCAGCCGCCCCGTCCAGGAGGTGAGGGGCGCCTCTGCCCGGCCGCCCCTACTGGGAAGTGAGGAGCCCCTCTGCCTGGCCACCACCCCGTCTGGGAGGTGTACCCAACAGCTCATTGAGAACGGGCCATGATGACAATGGCAGTTTTGTGGAATAGAAAGGGGGGAAAAGTGGGGAAAAGATTGAGAAATCGGATGGTTGCCGTGTCTGTGTAGAAAGAAGTAGACATGGGAGACTTTTCATTTTGTTCTGTACTAAGAAAAATTCTTCTGCCTTGGGATCCTGTTGATCTGTGACCTTACCCCCAACCCTGTGCTCTCTGAAACATGTGCTGTGTCCACTCAGGGTTAAATGGATTAAGGGCGGTGCAAGATGTGCTTTGTTAAACAGATGCTTGAAGGCAGCATGCTCGTTAAGAGTCATCACCACTCCCTAATCTCAAGTACCCAGGGACACAAACACTGCGGAAGGCCGCAGGGTCCTCGGCCTAGGAAAACCAGAGACCTTTGTTCACTTGTTTATCTGCTGACCTTCCCTCCACTATTGTCCTGTGACCCTGCCAAATCCCCCTCTGCGAGAAACACCCAAGAATGATCAATAAAAAAATAAATAAATAAATAAGATAAAAAAAATAAAAAAAAAATCAAACTTCAAAGCAGGCACAGGTGCAAAATAACAAAAGAATAAAAAATTGACATATGCACAGATGCTACATAAAAACCAGCAAGATGACAATTTTCCCCTGAAAATATTTATGTGCTAAGGAAACACTACCATGTGATAACAGATTTTTCCTCTTATTTCATTTTGATAAGATAAACAGATTCTATGCACTGCATTGCATCTGCAAGGGATTTGCTTTTATATGCTAGTTACAACCAGTAACTCCAGAAAACTCAGCAGGTGTTTTGACCTAGATAAAAATATTTTTTCATTACAAGGTAAGATTTCATATAACAATGTGAAAATAAAGACTTTATCACTGGATTTTTCCAGTTGCTCGTGTGGCTTGGGAAAGGAATGAACAGTACAGATTTTTACAAAGCAAGAGTCAATGAAGTTGTCTGAAAAGTATGCAAGAAACACTGATGGTAAAAGTTAACCAGCAAATTGACAACTGACACATGCATGGTGAAATCAAGTCTATACCCCCCGACTCATATTTTCATCAGCTGTAGCTCCTCAAATCTGCCCGGTTGCCAAGCTCTTTCCCATCTCACAGCTTTTGTGGATGCTATTTTCTCTGCCTGGAACATTCTTTCCCTAACACTCCACTGGCTTTTTTTCATCTTTCAAGCTTCACTTTAAATAGCACTTCCTTAGAAGGCATTCTGTGACCACCCTAAGTAGCCTCTGAGCCCCATTATTTTCCACCAGTCCAATGATTTCATGTCCTTCACAGCTCTTACGCCAAATAATCATACATTTGTTTGTTATATCAGTCCGTTTTCATGCTGTTGATAAGACATATCTGAGACTGGGCAATTTACAAAAGAAAGAGGTTTAATTGAATTTACAGTTCCATGTGGTTAGGGAAGCCTCACAATCATGGTGGAAGGCAAGGAGGAGCAAGACCCATCGTGCATGGATGGCCTCAGGCAAAGAGAATGAGGAAGATGCAAAAGCAGAAACCCCCGATAAAACCATCAGATCTCGTGAGACTTATTCACTATCACAAGAACAATATGGGTGAAACTGCCACCCATGATTCAATCATCTCCTACTGGGTCCCTCCCGCAACACGTGGGAGTTATGGGAGTACAAATCAAGATGAGATTTGGGTGGGGACACAGAGCCAAATCGTATCATTTGTCAGACATTTTATTGTCTGCCTTATTTGTTAATCTATAAATTCCAAAATGTCAGGAGCTGTGTCTATTTTGTTCATAATGTTTATGACCAGTGCCTAGTACTCTGGTGGGACATAACAAACACCCAAATTCTCAAGGAGCAGACTTCAATCCAGTGCCCATTTACCCAAACTAGCAATGGAAATGAGCAAGGATTTAAAAATAATAAACACTGGGTTCTTGTCTCAGTGCTACCACAAGACACCTGGGTATGACCCTGGGTATGGTCTCAGTTTCCTCATTTTCATAGTGAATTCAATGAACAATCTCTCATATATATACATTCTTTACTTCCAAGTCAAGTCAAGAACCAGTGAGCAAGGGCAAACTAGTGGGAGTGGAAAGACATCAGAGAAGCCAAATATGTAAATGTTAATAGTGTCGCCAGAAGAACACAAGAGAAAAACCTTAACAATTCTACAATAAGAAAGGCCTAAATATAAGAAACTCTGACTTTATAAAGAAAAAAAGTGACAAATGGTGAAGGGAGGGAGGAAGGAAGGCGGGAAAGAGGGAAGCAGGGAAGGGAGGAAGGGAAGAAGGGAGGGAGGGAATTCTCTATGGGAAAAGATGCCACAACAAATTTAAAATCAATTGGATAAAAACAATAGGCATAAACTTTGCAAATTTGAAGAAATCTACAAAACTGCTTATCTAGAAGCTTAATGAACTTAAAGCAGGATAAACTCAAAAGCTATCAAGGCACATGATAATCAATGTCTGACAAACAATAATAAAGAGAAAATTTTAAAGTAGACAGAAGAAAGAAACACACCTTCTATCCAAGAAAACAATAGCAATGACTCCCAATTTCTTGTCAAAAACAAAACAATGACATCTTTAAAGAGCTGAAAGAGCCAGGCTCAGGGCTCATGCCTGTAATCCCAGCACTTTGAGAGGCCAAGGCGGGTGGATAACGAGGTCAGGAGTTCGAGACCATCCTGTCCAAAATGGTGAAATCCTATCTCTACTAAAAAATACAAAACTTAGCTGGGTATTGTGGTGCACGCCTGTGATCCCAGCTGCTTAGGAGGCTGAAGCATGAGAACTGCTTGAACCCAGGAGGTGGAGGTCGCAGTGAGCCAAGATCGTGTCACTGCACTCCAGCCTAGGTGATAGAGCAAGACTCTGGCTGGCAAAAAAAAAAATATATCCAATACCCGCGCTATACCCAAGAACCAAATTCTTTTAAATGTGAAACATTCATGAAGACAGAATATATGCTAGGCCATAAATCAAGCCTCAATAAATGAAAAAGGTTAAAATCATGTTGTTTATGTTCTCTGGCAACAAAAGAATTAAATTAGACGTAATTAACAAAAAGATGCTTATATTAGAATAGGCTTAATTTATATATGAAAAAAGTTTAAATTCAGTAATCTAAATTTCCACCTTCCATCTATAACAATGAGAGCAAATTAAATCCTGTATGCAGAAGAAAGGAACTATTAATAAGGGCAAAAATCAAGGTAAGCAAAAAAAGAAATCCATAAAACCCAAAATTTTTTCTTGAAGAATATTAACAAATGGACAAAACTCTGGCCTGACTGATTTAAGAGAAAAGGGAAAAATACCAAGTACAAATCTCAAAACCGATACAGGGGACGTCAGTACAGATCCTACAGACAGAAGGGTAATAGGGAATATTATAAACATTAAGCCAATAATTTCTACAATTTAGGGAAAAATTCCACAAAAACTGAAATAAAAGGAAACCAAAATTTTAAAAAGCCTTATTAATTACTAGTATTTTAACTAAACTCAAGATTTAAAATTGGTTAATTAAAAGACTGCTTACAAGAAAACTCCAAGTTTCACTGGTGAATTCCATCAAACATTTAAGGAAGAAATAATTCAATTCTACACAAATTGTTTCAGAAAATAAAAAAGGAGGGAACACTTGCCAACCCTTTTCAAACCAGCACTACTCCAATACCAAACCAGGAAGATGTTACAAAAGAGCAATCTAAATACCAATATCCTTCATGAACGCAGATGCAATAATCTGCTATGTTTTACACAATTATCTGCATAAATGCCTGATGATGATTTTCCCTTGCTGGTGGAATCAAATACAATATCTAGTGGCTTGCTGCTCAGAGATCAAGTTTATAAGCATTTCCTGGATTGTCTGGATAGCTGGGAGACCTATGTCCTAACACCTAAGACGCTATTCAGTAGAAATGATCAAAAAAGATAACTCTGGAAAGTGCTTCTTAAACTTCAACCTAAAAATTACTCTTTTTTAACAACCTATCTTTAAGTGAAGAAATCAGATCACAAAACACTTATTTTCATAGAACATATCTACAGTAACAGGTACAGGAAAATGTCTGAAACAATAAATAAAATGTTGATAGTATTTATCTCTTGGTGGTGAGCTTATTTTTCTTTTCTTTTTTCTCACTTTTAGTTTCTAAAGTTTCTACGAAGAATGTGTATTATGTTTTCAATAGGAAAAAATTACTTCATCTAAACTTCCCAAAAAAGGGCAAATGGTTATCATATAATCTGAGGATCCTGAATCACAATTCTGGAACAAAATGCTTCATTTCAAAGTCTGGGTGTTTCAGTCGGGCATGGTGGCTCACGCCTGTAAGCCCAGCACTTTGGGAGACCAAGGCAGGTGGATCATTTGATGTCAGGATTTCGAGACCAGCCTGACCAACATGGTGAAACCCCGACTCTACTAAAAACACAAAAATTAGCTGGGCATGGTGGCAGGTGCCTATAATCCCAGCTACTTGGAGTCTGAGGCAGGAGAATCACTTGAACTCGGGAGGTGGAGGTTGCAGTGAGCCTAGATGGCGCCACTGCACTCCAGCCTCAGTGACAGAGCCAGACTCCGTCTGAAAACAAAACAAAAAAAACAAGTCTGGGTGTTTCAAATAGTCTATCCTTCCCAACCTTTTTCATGTCAACACACAGAGAAAATCATATTTGTATGGCATCTAACAGTAAACTGATGAGGCTGCTGGAAGCCAGAGGCAACCAGGAGAAGTTCAAGCTGTCAGAGTGCCCACCCAGCCACTGGAGGGCTGATGGGACCTTACCATACCTATAGTAGGCAAGCTGTTGCGTACAGTTAGGAAACTCGCATTTATGGTATCCCAAAATCAAAACTATGAAAAAATCTGTTGACTACCATAGTACAACTCTTTTTAAAAACTCTAATTTCGTGTGCTATTTTTAGTTCATTATTCAGGTAGAAAGAGAAAACTGAATTCCTATTTATGGCCTAACAGAGCCAAAACAAGTTACAATCCACATTTAAAACATTCTCGAATGGCATGTATTTTATAAAACAATAATTGAAAAATATCAGAGTAGAACCAAATAGCTCCTATTTCAGTTTGTAGACTCTGCAATATGTAGTTTCAAAAATGCATTAACAACAATCTGGCTCCTTTTCTGCAGGCACACACATGAAATATCATTTGGCATATGGGAGTTATTCCCATAAAGATGAGTCAGATAACAAGCAAATGATCATTACCTCACATTATGTGAAATGGAAAGAAGCCATTAATGCAGTATTAAGGTCATAAATTCACACACACAGAAGCCAACAAAATAAAACATTAGCTCTCAAAGCATTATTTTCTTATCCTTGCTGCCACATTAACCATACACACTAAAAACTCTGACAAATATTATAATTTGTATAAAATACAGAAGGGTAAAGCTTCCCATGTTCATGTTAATTTGTAGATTTCTCGATTTACCTACTGGCTAGGAGCAGGTATCTAATGCCGAAGCTCAAAAGAACCCTGTATATCTGAATCACTCCAACACTCTAAGCACGCTCCTCAGAAACCTATCTTAGGCCCCCCAAGCTCTCACCCAGTGAAAGGGCTGCACTGGGAAAAAGGCAATTGAATACCCACCAAATTATTCTTCTGGCAACTTCTTGACCTTTACATATTATTTAAGCAAGGCCTGGTCTACTCTAAAGCACTGGTGAGGAAACTACAGAAGGTATATTCAAAAAGGGCTAGAGCCCCAAGCTTTAGATATTCATACTTAAACACTACCTCCCCAAAAGGATTAGGCAAACAGGTCTTCTTATCCACCCTTATTGCTCTATTCATGCTATGTGTATACATGTATACATAAGGAATAAAAAATATTAATGCCATGACAGTTTTCCACAAATTTATACATGGATCTCTATAATATGTATAATATAGACAGTATTATATATAATAAATACATGTACACTTTTGTGAATTTCTAAAGTTAAACAAGAAACAGGCAAACATACTTTGTTGGTATATTCATTCATCCATAAAAATCATTTGAATAGTTCCCAAGTGCCATTACCCACTTGATACGGTCAAAAATTGTGTGCCTACGATGTGTCAGGCACCGTGCTAAGCACGAAAAAAAAAAGTTATATTGGGTGAGATATGGCCCCTGCCATCAAATAATTTACAATCTAATTGGGAATCCGACAAGCAAATCAACAATTAAAAAAGAAATCAGGCAAGGCACAGTGGCTCATGCCTGTAATCCCAGCACTTTGGGAGGCTGAGGCAGGTGGATCACCTGAGGTCAGGAGTTCAAGACCAGCCTGGCCAACATAGTGAAACCGCATCTCTATCAAAAATACAAAAAAATGCCGGGTGTGATGGCACGCACCTGTAATCCCAGCTACTTCAGGAGGCTGAGGCAGGAGAATCACATGAACCTGGGAGGCAGAGGGTGCAGTGAGCTGAGATCGCACCACTGCACTCCAGCCTGCGCAACAGAGCAAGACTTCATCTCAAAAAATATATATAAATTAAATCAATAAAAAAGGAAAGCAGGCTAAGTAAGTGCTGTGATATAGGCAGAAGCAACTAGATGGGAAACATGAAGATGTACAAATGGTGGGAGCGAACACAGGGAGGAGAGCCGATGCTTGATCTAAAATATACAAGACTAATTAATTCAATACAAAGGTAGGAGCTTCCGAGAAAAGGAACCATCTGTACGTGAAGGCATGAAGAACACAATGGGGTTAGAAAATTGCACACTGTTTTGTACTAGAACATAAGACATATAGCAGGAGACTCTCACGGGATAGACAGGCTGATTGCGAAAAGTCTTTTATCGTAAATTAGAAAAAATGAACTGTATTCCAGTCAATAGCAAACAACTGACAGATTTCAGGTAGAATTATAGTAACAGTAATTATAACAATAGCTTAACATCTCCTAAGTATTCATGATGTGTCAGACACTATGCCGAGAGTTTTACATACATTAATTCATATAATCTTTCCACAACTCAATTTATAAAATTATGCCCATTTTACAGATAATGAAACTGGGGCTCAGAGAGGTAACTTGCCCGAGGTTACCAGAAATCTAGAAAGCAGTTAAGTCAGATGTGAAGGGTTACCTGCTAGAATAGTGTTTTTTTAATGATCAATTTGCCAAGGAGTATAAAGTGTGGATTACTAGAGGGCATACAGAAGAAAACTTTGTCAGCAGACTGTTGTAAGAAACCAAGTAAAAAATGTTAAGAGCCTGAACTAAGGCTGTGATGGTGGAAGTACACAAGTGGAATAAAAGAGCTATTTAAACAGGCTGAGCACAGTGGCTCATGCCTGTAATGTCAGCACTTTGGGAGGCCAAGGCGGGAGGATCACTTGAGCCCATGAGTGCACCAGGCTGGGCAACGTGGCAAACCCCTGTATCTGTAAAAAACACAAAAAAATTAGCTGGGCATGGTGACACGCACCTGTAGCCCCAGCCACCTGGGAAACGTAGATGGGAGGATCACCTGAGCCCAGGAGGTTGAGTCTGCAGTGAGCCATGATCATGCCACTGAACTCCAGCCTGAGCGAAAGACTGAGACCCTGTCTCAAAAAAATAAATAAATAAATAAAATTACTATATAAATAAATAAACAGGCTCCCAGGGCTTGGTAAAATTAAGTTAAAGGTGATTCTTCTCCATCATGGCACTTAAGTACAAGTACAGTCATTATCTGTTATCTCTCTCTCAAAGGCTGGGCACAGTGGCTCACACCTATAATCCCAGCACTTTGGGAGGCTGAGGCAGGAGAACTGCTTGAGCCCAGGAGTTTGAGGCTAGCCTGGGCAACAAGGCAAGACCCTCGTCTCTACAAAAAATTTTAAAATAATAAAAAGTTAGCCAGGCATGCTGGTGCATGCCTGTGGTCCCAGCTACTCAGGAGGCTGAGGCAGGAAGATCACTTGAGCCCATGAGGTCAGGCTGCAGTAAACCATGATCACACCACTGCACTCCGGCCTGGCAACAGAGTGAGGCCCTATCTCAAAAAATAAAAATAAAAAAAGAACAGCATTTCCATGAGGGAGTGGGGGAATCTTCTGTATTACCACATTGTAGCTCTGAAAACTACCAGTGCCTCCCACCTCCTTGCTCTCTATTGATGTCAAATACATATTTTATCCTAATACTGTTTTAAGATAAAATATTTATACTGCTTTATTTCCATTACACAAGAAAATCATGTAAAGCCCTAAATACAGTGCCAGGCACACAGTAAGAACACTATAAATGTTTGTCATCAACACAATGACCATGTTTACCATTATTATACTTCCTACAACAATTACACTGTTAAACTAACACAAGATCAGACAGATGGAACTGTAGGTCCTGTAAATAAAACATAGGTAATAGATGCATTTACCTAATACCACCCTTTTTTTCTCCTGTAAGGTTCCTTCTTTCTGTCTTTTCTTTTTTTTTTTTTGAGACGGAGTCTCACTCTGTTGTCCATGCTGGAGTCCAGTGGCTCAATCTCGGCTCACTGTAAACTCCATCTCCCAGGTTCAAGTGATTCTCCTGCCTCGGCCTCCCAAGTAGCTGGAATTACAGGCATGTGTCATCATGCCTGGGTAATTTTTGTATTTTTAGTAGAGACGGGGTTTCACCATGTTGGCCAGGCTCGTCTCAAACTCCTGACCTCAAGTGATCCGCCCACCTCGGCCTCCCAAAGTGCTGGGATTACAGGTGAGAGCCACTGCGTCCAGACTACTCTTTCTTAAAGCTGCTTTCCAAAAGTCATTTTTCTTTCTCAGCCATCTCATCTGACACCCCCGATTAAGAAATCTCATGGGATTTAATTTTTCCTTAATTAGATTTGTCAAAGTTTGTAATTATATATTTGAGCATCTATATGCTTCATGAGATAAAGGAGCAGGTCTTTTTGCTCACAATCATTCCTCAAGCAACCAGCAAAACAGCACATACACGTAAATTACAGTCAGTAAATTTTTGCTGAATATATTTAAAAAATGGCCAAATCCTAGACTTCTTACTAGTCTGTATCTAACTCTTGACTTATACCTATTTATTTCTGCATTTAATCCAAAATAAAAGGCTACAGTTAAAAATACTTCATCCCATAACTGGCTTAGACTTTTTTAGAACCCAGTTTCCAAATCTCACTAAAATGAACCATTTTAAAGCAAAATATTTAAGACAGTAAAAAAAAAAAAAAGCAGTTTTTAAAAATTATTTTAATAGTCATGATAATCCTTGTTAATAAATATTTAATATCTATTCTAACTTTTAAGAAACATTGGAAACCATTGCGCATTTGAAATTTTCATTCTTTAAATATTTTGGAAACTCTTACCTTGACATTTCCCAATAATGGATGTAAAATCATCTTTTGCAGACCTGTAAAACATGCAAAATCAAGGCAAAAGTTTTATCGTAACACTGTATAGAACCATAAAATACCAGATACTGTGGACTAGACAGCCTCTATATACAATGCTCAATCATATCTCCTCTCAGACATGGTTTTGTGGCTCAATTATGACCCTTTTGTCAGTGACAATATTTTCTTCCAACCTTATTGCATCAGATACGGAGCTACATCGTTATGGAGACATATATATGGAATATAGTGACACAGCCTAAGTGAATTTACCGTGGTCTTTTCATACAATAGAGATGTCTGGTCCCCATCCCCAAAGGTTCTGAATCAAGAAATGTGGGATGGGGCCCAAGCAAAAATATTTTTTTGCTGGATACATCATTCCTAATTAAGAACCACTGGTCTGTATCATATTACAAAGTTTGATCACTTAGGGGAAAAAGTCTTATTTTGAGAAATCAAACAGCCTTAATAGGTCACCATATTTAAATCAACAACCTATTTTAAATCTGTGATCCTGAAATATATACCAAGTAGAATAATTATTATAAAATATGTTTAAAAATGAAAACTGGTAAACCTTCTAGAAAATAATTTAATAACAATTATCCAAAACCTTCATGTCTGTAGCATTTGACCTAACAATTCTATTTCTATAAAGTTATCCCCAGGAAATAATTACAGATACATACAGATATCAAAAAAACTGGTATGGTCTCATTTATAAAGGAGAAAAATAATACCCAGTATAAAGAGATTAAACTTTGCTATGTGCACCCAATGAAATATTATGGAATTACTATAGTCGACCCTTGAACAACACAGGTTTCAACTATGCAGGTCCATGTCTATGTGGATTTTCTTCTACCTCTACCACTCTGAGATGGCAAGACCACCTTCTCTTCCTCCTCCTCCTCCTCAGCCCACTCCATGTGAAGATGACGATAATGAAGACCTTTGTAATGGTCCACTTCCACTTAATGAACAGTAAATATATTCCTCTTCCATATGATTTTCCTAATAACATTTCCCAAAGAATGAACTCATTTTTCTCAGTTGCTATTGTTGCTATTTCTTTCATAACTGATATACTGTTTAAAAATAAAACACCTGAAAAGTCCAGCTTAGAGATGTCTTTTAGATGTGTATATAATACCACTGAATGTCTCAAGAGGACAGACAGCATAATTGGTCTCAAGTAATACGTAACCTAGGTCATTTGCACACTCATATTCCATCTACAGTTTTGTACCAACAGAGAAAAAGCATACCTATTTTTTTTTTTTTTTTTTGAGACAGAGTCTCGCTCTGTCGCCAGGCTGGAGTGCAGTGGCACAATCTCGGCTCACTGCAACTAGTTCTCAGCTCACTGCCTCCCAGGTTCAAGCAGTTCTCCTGCCTCAGCCTCCCGAATAGCTGGGATTACAGGTGTGCGCCACCATGCCCAGCTAATTTTTGTATTTTCAGTAGAGACGGGGTTTCACCACGTTGGCCAGGATGGTCTCAATCTCTTGACCTTGTGATCTGCCCGCCTCGGCCTCCCAAAGTGCTGAACCATCCCTACTCTTTTACACCTTCCTGAGTTTCTGTTTAGCTAATATAGCAGTAAATAGTCACACAACAGTGATTTCCAGAGTTCTGGAGGATAGGCCTCATTTACTGAGAAAGTAAAACTTCTTAAGAGGCAACGGAATGATCTGGGGAAGGAGAAAGATAAGCATATAACTCTGAGAAAGCATCCTTAATTTTTTAACTGGCGTAAGTTGGTGTTTGACACTCACAAAATTAAGTGAGTTAATAATAAAATCCTTTTAAATATATCCCCTATAAAAATCTTAGTTTCCATTTATAGAGTAACAAATATTTCTCAAAGGAAATCTTGAATATGAATAATATTAACAATTACCTGATTTCCACACACTGATCTTGAACAGCAGCCAAAAGCTTTCCATTGCTTTTATGGAGAAGAAAGAGGGGGAAGAAAATCTATTATGAATATCTATAGCAGTTTTCAGCACAGATGGAATTATTTAATAAGTTAAAAATCATTTTTAAATTTGTTCACATGCTTTAATTATCCATCTTTTGACCTTACAATTAGATGAGGATACAGGTACAAAAGCACACAAAATGATTTAATACAGCATGAATTAACATGTTTAAGCTCTCTCTCCCCCACTCTCCCCATCTCTCTCCCTCTCTCCCCCTCGCTCCCTCCCACTCTCTCTCCCTCTCCTTCTCTTTACCTCCCTCCCTCTTTCTCTCTCTCCCTCCCTCCCTCTCTCCCTCCCTCCCTCTCTCCCTCTCTCTCTCCCTCTCTCCCTCTTCCTCTCTCCCTCCCTCCCTCTCTCCCTCTCTCTCTCCCTCTCTCTCTTTCCCTCTCTCTCTAAAAAGTTTAAACAATACTAAATATTTGCAACAAAGAAATTTACACACAATAAAAATCAAGACTGAAAGCCACAAGCATTCCAAAATTAACGTCCATAATGAAATGTAAAAGCTAATCCAGACAGAAAAACATTGAATTTCACACTTCCTTACCTTGCAAGTACCAAATGCCAGTTTATCTGTTTATTAACCAAGCGAACCAGTCCATCAGGGAGCAAAAAAGGTGCCGGGCTGAAATCACAACACATTAGTTAGCTTAAAATCTAATCATGAAAACCACATATATGCAGACAAATAGCACATATACTTATAGAGAGAGACACAGATTTTTTTCCATTAGAATATAAAATTTGAATATTAGCAAACCCAAAACCCAAAGTTACTATTTGGTAGCTGAAATTTGACCATATATATTTCTCTATTTCCAAAAAACACAGTGATGTGTTCAAAGGTATAAATGTTATGTACTTCCCAGGTAACAGACATCTAGCATACCAATCACAGAGCAGAGTACACTTATACCAACCCTTTCTGCTCTAACTACCTAGGAACTCTGGCTCAACTGTAACAAAAACAAATTCTAGCATAGAGTTAAACTCACAAGAAAGAAAGATAAATTTCCAAGTACTAGAAATGAAAAAGTCACTGAAAGCTAGAATTGGGCACAGGGTAAAGAGAGAGATAAGAACTCAAAACAGGACTTAGCACACGAGATAGGAAATGAGCTACTGAACCAAAGAGAGGACAGGAGTTGGAAGTGAGACTCCTGCAAAGGCCAGGATGCTCAAATGACTGCACCAGGTCATTGAAAGAACTAGAAACACCTCACCATAGGCCCAGGGAGACTAAAGACTCTCTTCTCTCCCTGGAACTATGGTTCTGTGGAGGATAAGAATAAAATCTCCTATGAAAAAGTAAAAGTCCAAGTCTGTACTATATGTAAGATCAGATTACAATTTCACTTTACTCATGTGATGCAAGAATCTGCAAGCATAAGTTCAAAATAAAACCATTCACAAAAGACACGAAACTACTCATCATAAGTGAGTAAGCAGACACAGCAAATTAGAGGATTAATACCCGAAGAAATCAAGAAAACAGATGGAAAAGAAGAATAAAGAACATAATTTCATGAAATAGAAAAAAAATAAATTATGGAAATCAGAAAACACAAAATAGGATTCCAAAATGTTAGTGGCCAGGCACAATGGTATGTGCCTATAGTCGCAGCTACACGGGAGGCTAAGGCAGGAGGATTGCTTGAGCACAGGAGTTTAAAGCTACAGTGTACCATGATCTTGCCTGTGAATAGCCACTATACTCCAGCCTGACCAACACAATAAGACCCTCTCTTAAAAAAAAAAAAAAAATTAGTAATATACATGTAGTACATTTACGCTCATTTTTTAAAACACAAAATAATATCAAAAGACAGTTACAAAAATATAATGAAGATACAAAACATGTATGTGAATACTACCTATATGAGGATGATAATTTCCTCTAGAAGGGAAGGGAAAAGAAAAAGGGAAAGGACTTGAGATGTAACATTTTGCATAAAAACAAAAAGAGCTAGCTGATACAGGTTTATTATATTGTCAATAATTCTCAGTATGTTTATATTTCATAATTAAAAGAACTTTTTTAAAAAAAGAAGAAAAAGTCACTTGAAACAAATACTGACCCCAAAACCTTTGGGTTTAATTACCATAAACTCAAGAGCACAAATTGAACTATAATCTTTTTGAAAGCAGCATATCATGAGACAGATGAATCACTTAATGGTGCATTTGCAACCTGTACAATGATTCAAGGAAAAAGGCTTCTCAGGAGGAAGGGAGACAAAAAGATACCTACTTCTGATGCCTGATCATAAGGTTCTCACACAGAGGACAGGGCTTGTAGCAGAGTTAACTTTTTGAGTCTTCCTTCTCAATAAATAAAAAAAAGAATTATCAAGCAGCAACCTGAACAAGACAAGCTTGACACCTCATCCAAGGGTGTTCAGGACTAACAAGCTGTCGCCTAGAGAAGTCAGAAAACACAGCCCACCTCCCACACTCCTATCCTCTCCTTCCACTCTCTCTTCCTACTCATTGCTCTATCCTATCATATCCCACACCCACAAAAAAAGTGACACAATTAAGTATAGAAATTGTAAATATGCATACATATATACATGTATGCACATACACACACACATACATAGAGTAAAAGCAGAAAGACGTTGGAGCAAGTCCTAGAGAACGCCAAAGGTCTCTTTTATGGAACTATATTATCTCTGGAACTTTACGACAAGATATCCTCAACGAAGAAGCAATCTATGTAAATAATTCTATAAAACAATTCCTACACATGTATCTAAAAGCAGAATTATAACTTTTTTGTCATAATAATAATTTCTTTGTTCTTTCTAAAGCTGGAAATTAGCATCATCCCTGCAAATATACTTAACACTCAAGGAATTAAAAAATATACAAGAACTGAAACCTAAAGAACCTTCTCTGATATACAGCAGTTGAATATTAACCACAAGTGAGATGACATGACAAGAACAAAAATGTATTTTAAAAGATATGCAGGCTACAGATGCTTCATATGGACATTCAAGATAAGCCTGAGAATAGTCATCAGAGGAAGCAGAAATTGTCATGAGACATTCTTAATAGTAACTAAGGGAACAAAAACTACCCTAAGTCTACTGAGATATCTTGTCAGATTCTACCTAAATGTTTGAAATGTCTCATACTGAGTTTGCCTGAATGTCAGCAACTTTATCATGATCTAGAATTCAATTATGAAAACAAATCATATATAGAACAATATTGTTTATATTTGATGTTCATACTGTTTCTCTGAAGAACCGAAGACTCACCTGTACCAGATGTATTGGCGTAAAAATAATAAACGATCTGTAATCAAAAGAAATGGCAAAGCCAAATATAAATCAGCTGTTAAGAATCATTTTCAAATTAGATTTATAGATGAGAAATCTAAAATATACTACAGAGCGAGTCATTAAAAAAAATAAAGAACTCAAGTCTTAAAATGAGAGACTAAATATAACCTAATATACACTGTAACATTTACAGGGTCATATACTTATTAAATTCCATGTTTGTGTGTTATTCAAAAGTTTCAAGTATTTCCTAACTGTTCAAGAAATAAAAGCAGTTTGAGATGTTAAATTTAATCTAAGAAGCTTTCATGAAACCATGGACTAGAAGTTATAATAATCACCCCTTAGAAACCAAAATATTTGTATAAAAAATTAAAGCAAGATATATTTTACACTTTATAGCAAAGATTTTTAAAACAGTAATACCTAAAATGGGAAAGCCCACGGAAAACAAAACCTCTAACACGCTATAAAAAACAATGCTTTCTATCATCCTAAATGTACATGTATGTGTGTACCTGTGTATGCAGTTAGGTATATATCAATGGAAAAATATCTAAAGAATAACAGATTCTCTCTAGGTGGTATGAGGACAAATTTTTTTCTAATTTGTAGTTATCTATAGTGTCTGTATTTTCTACAATGAATTTTTATTATTTGTACACATTTTCTAAATTCTCAAAATTTAAAAGCATTTGTCATTATGAAAACTGAATATGCTAGTGCTTCTTGTATCAGAAGATAAAATTAACTATAATTAACTGTAATTTTATCAGAAGATAAAAGGATAATCAGAAGATTACAGTTAATTTCAAGTACTTAACTTCTGTGAAAATGAATTTTCTCTTTATAAGGAACTTAAATTCACTGGTATAAGGATGGACTTTGAAGCCAGAAAGACATGCAGTCAAATTCCAAATGAATGACCTTGAGCAAGTTTTCTTATCTAAAATCATAAAGGAGTAACGGCACCTTTCTGGTCTGATAAAAGGACTCTATTAATGAATATGGTAAACCCGTCATGGCACCAGCTCAGTAAACCTAGTGCTCAATCCTTTCTCAGACTCTTGTTAGTTCATACGTAAAATTTGTCAGGAGTTAAATGAATACCCTGGCTTATCAAATCTGTAATTTGAGTATCTCTGACCAGATCTATCTGAAACACCACATAGACCTCTTAAAATAGTCTCTCAGTGTATTTTCACCTTCAACATCCACTGACTTTCTGAGACTCATACTGGCTTTGACCTTCATTCCTTCTAGAACAGCGTCCCCCAACCTTTTTGGCACCAGGGACTGGTTTTGTGGAAGACAATTTTTCCATGCAACCTAGATCCCTCACACGTGCAGTTCACAATAGGGTTTGCACTTCCCTGATAATCTAATGCTGCCGCTTATCTGACAGGAAGTGGAGCTCAGGTGGTAATGCTCACTCACCCATCGCTCACCTCCTGCTATGCAGCCTGTTTCCTAACAGACCACAGACTGGTACCAGTCCATGGCCCAGGAATTGAGGACACCTGTTCTAGAATACATCCATAATGGTTAAACCAAAGCTATATACTTTAGCTCTAAGCTGCATTAGAGCTAAAAACGTGCATGCGTAAATATACAAATGTATACATATACATACATATGTGTGTATATATAAATATATATATAATTAAACTCAGATAACACACATTACTTTTATTAGGCTCCACATCAGAAGTCTAAAGAACACATTTTAACTGTTAACCATATCATTACTGTAGAGAAATAAGCTATATTTACCTCGAATTGCTTTCGTGATGATAAAGGATGCACCATGTTTTTGGTTGCCTCTAGGCTGGAATTTAAAACAAAAAACACTTACATTTGAATCTTCTAGTAGTATTAGACCAGTATTACTTATACAATATGTAAACTTATTTTTATTTACTAATACTCAGAGTTTTGGGCACAGGGAAGCAGTGTCTTAAAACTACTTAAAGACTGGATGTTCAGGTGCAGTGGCTCACGCCTGTAATCTCAGCACTTTGGGATGCCAAGGTGGGCTGACTGCTTGAGCCCAGGAGCTCCAGACCTGCCTGAGCAACGTGGCAAAACCTCATCTCTACAAAAAATACAAAAATTGGCCAGGCATGGCGGTGCATGCCTATAGTCCCAGCTACTTGGGAAGCTGAGGTGACCCAGGAGGTTGAAGCTACGAAGCTACAGTGAGCCCTGATCATGCCACTGCACTCCAGCCTGGGTGACAGAGTGAGACCCTGCCTCAAAAAAAAAAAAAAAAAAAAAAAAAGTAGACACAGGACGCGGGACAATAGGAGAAAAGTGAGCATAGCAGAGCTACAGGCACATGTCAGGACTAACCTTGCAGGAAAGAACAAGGATTGAAGCTGGAAACTGTTTCCAAATCAAAAACCAATCCAAAGACAAGAGAAGTCAAGGCCAAAGACCATACTGGTTGCCAGTTCAGCATACTCTATTGAGGCTGTAAGTTTTGCTCACAGGAAAAGTGGTCATATCTCCAAGGCCAATTCATTGACTATCTGTTGTGTATCTATACAGACAATGCTACTAACAAAACATACACAGATACGTAATTGCTATATTAAATAATTCCATTCCATAAGTATAGACTGAACACACCGTGGGTAGGTTCATGACGCTAGGCACTGCATAAGATGCACTAAAGTGCTGTCAAGAAAAGCACAATGGACATACAGTAAGTGTAGACAGATTTTTTTAAAAAACACAGAAAAGTTATTTCACTCAATAAACATGAATTGATTGTTGGATTCATGCAAGACACAATTTGGCCCTGGGAAGAGATATAAAGATGAATCAGATGTCTGCCCTCCAAGAGCTTATAATTCAACAGCTGAAATCAACAGAATGCAGAAATCGATAGAATGCAGAAATCAATTGAACTCCCCCACCCCCAACACACAAACACAAAACAAAGTGCTAAGGGTTTCAAAGTAAGTTAATTCTGTGGTTACTTTTTTGGAATCAATTTATGGTAAGCATTCTGAAACATTACTGCAATTAACCAATGAGTGTTAAGGAGTGGAAACTTATCTAACCAGCTGCCTCAGCAACAGCTTCCTAGCTGCATAACCCAAAAAATATTCACATTAAGACAAACTAAGTACTTGAAATTAAACAGTAATATATGCAGATCTCTACCCGTCTACAAAATAAATTATTCATGATAAGCACAAACTGCAGTGGGAAGGAGGCTACAGAGGAAAAAAATACAAACTTTGGGCTGAAAAATGAGTCGTTTCTCCAGCAAAGAAACACTCAGAAAAAATGTAAGATAACTCACATGGGCTGGACTACATAATCTTTAATAAAGGTTCTTTTCGATCTGGCTGCTTCCTCTGGGTCTAAAACAGTAACTGGCACGTGTTAAGCACTCAATAAATATCTGTTAAATAAACATGGATCCAAAAAATAATAATAATAAAAAATAAAATAAAATAAACATGGATCCATGGTTCCTACTCTTCATCACAGACCCGGGAGGCCTTCACTACCAAACAACTGATAATCCCAAGATCCAGTCCATAAATTATCAACCTCTATAACCCTTCTGTAGCGGAGATCCCAATCCCAGTCAGCAGCTCTTTACTCTGCACTTCCGTGGCATTTTGCTCACATCGCTAACTATAGCGCATAAAACGCTAGGTTATGAAAAACGTTTACGGGACTGTCTCCCCTCTAGACGAGAAGCTCCACGAAAACATATTCATCTCTGTATCCTTAGCACCTAGCACAGCACCTGTGACACCGAGACAGACGAACGGACACGCACACCCTTATTAAATGCTCTTTTATTGAAACACACAAGACCTGGCGCGATCCAGCCCCCAGTATGGGTAAAGGCTCAGATTCTGCGCTCTGCACCAGCCTGGCAGATGCTGCAGACTGTAAGGTCCTGGAAAATTCTCCCATCGCAGTTGAGCGTCGGCCCAGACTAGCCCTAGCCAGACCGCGAGAAGGGACCACTGAGGGTCCAGATAGGAGAAAGGACCCTCGAGTCCAGCGCTGTGCCTTCCCCTCCTAATACAGAGAGCGACACTAACAATCCCCTCTCCTCCCAATACAGAGAGCGAAACTGAGAACCAAAGTGGGATCGTACGCTCCCCAGAGCACGAAGTTCCAGCCCCCAACAACCGAATTCTGAGCCCAGGAAGAATCTCAGGGACCACCACCCCACCCCGCCCTAGACCCCCGCTAGCCCAAGGTGCCGTTGCCAAGGCGACCGCACAAGCCAACCGGCCCTAGTCCCCCACCCACCCGTCTCCACTCCCCTACGTGGCTCCTGCTACGTGGCTCTACCCACGAAGCGCCCGCGCCAAGCTGGCTGCTGCTGTAGATGGGCCTGGTTCACCTGTACTTCAGTCTCCGGTGGCCACTCGGTGTTGACCAACAAGTCATAGAGAATCGTCTCCTCCTCACCCTCTGCAGTGCCTGGACTCAAAGCCGGCCCTGACTCGGGGGCCGCCATGTTCGCCGAGGACTCAGGCAGCGGAGGAGTGTCTCTACGGAATCCCTCACAGGACAAGCTTCTCTATCCGCGGCCGCTTTTGTTTCACGGCAAGGAAATGCTAGGTTAACCCTTTTATGAGTAGGAAGGACAGGGACTATTGCTTGTCTTGGGAACGACTTGTGTCCCGGTCCTGATACACTCCTTGTTCATTAATCTACATGAGATCGGCCAAGTCATTGAGCCTCTCTTATAACTCAGTTTCCATAAAACAGAAATGGTAAAGGTACCCCACTGAAATGCTAATGTTCATTTGTATATTCTTTGCCTAACACGTAGAGAGAGTTCAAACAGTGGTTTTAAAATAAACAACTAAAGTTATCCAATGAAAGGTAGCAGAGGAAGGATGCTACAGGAGCTCAGAAAAGGCAACGAAGGCCAGAGTCTGCAGGGATTTCCTGGAGGACGTGGAGCTTGTCCCTGCGTCTTTAACAATAGGCAGAATTTTAATCTACTGGAGAAGCATTTCAAGTAGCGGGAAATGGAATGAGCAGAGACAGAGGCAGAAATACAGAGTTGAAAGAACTCTTTCAACGTGTCGCCAGTGAGTGACGACTTTCTCAGTGTGGGAGTAAAAGAATTTACCAAGACAGTGGTAGATAAAGAAAGACAGATTAAAGAAAGTATGAAAGTTCGTTGCCAGGGAGCAGCGGGCCGACTCAGCAGAGGAGGAGCTCATTGCTAGGAAACAAAGGCTTGTTGAGAATTTTATAGACTGGAACTTGGAGTGATTGATAACACCAGGTAGCAGGGAGTTAACTTGCTTTTTTTTTTTCTTTCTTTCTTTTTTTTTTTTTTTTTTTGTCAGCTGAAGTGTTTCAGAAATTGAGGCATTTGAAGGTAAGCAGGAAGTTTGTGAGTTAAGTACGTTATCTGGGTAGAAGGGCCATATGTCCTGGGCCATAAAGAAAAGTAGACCTATGGCTTATTTGTTTCTTCCTTTTGTTTATATGTTTTGGACCATGAAGAAAGACAGACGTATAGCTAATTTGCCTTATCTCTTTGTTTTTCCCTGCTCCCACTAGCCTGCCTTTTTTTTTTTCCTAATTAGTACTCAACAAGACGGGTGAATAGAACCCAAGTTGAGAAAGGGTGTAGGGGCAATAAAGTTGAAATAATAGGTTGAGAACCCGCATGGAGGGAGCGAAAAGGTCAACCCCATTTGTTCATTCATTCATTCATTCAACAAATACCTCTTTGTGGACAGTTATAAGCAGAGCCTACTGTAACATGAATGAATATATACTGTACAAAGTATTACACTGTTTCACATCAAAAGAAACACAAATACTGAATATCCCTTGAGATAATTATATTCATGATATCCATCAAGATGCATTAGGCGGTGATGCAATTAAAAGCCTCTGCTGGGAAGCCTCTAACCAGCTCCCATTTCTCTCAAAGTTTAATGACCTCAAAGCCCTACGTCATCTGCCTGCTCCCCTAAATCTCACACCTCATTTCCTGCTCCCCCTACTACCTTCAGCCACACTGGCTCTATTTCTGAACACACCAGACACACATCAACTTCAGGAGTTCTGCAAAGCCTGTCCCCTCCACTTGGAAGGCTTTCTACCAGATGTTTACCTGGTTCCTCCCTTATCTCCTTCAAGTTTTTGCTCAAATGTCGTCTCTCTCTGAAGCCTACCTTGACTGCTCATTTTTAAATTTGCAATGACCATTCTCCAACTCCAGCTTTCCAGAGCTGCTCTATTATTTTTTCCATTACACTTGTCATCACTTAAATGGCTATACAGTATATTTGCTTATTATCTGTCTCCATTCACTAAAAGGTAAGCCATGCCAGGTGCTCTATCTATATGCATGCAAATGCTATATCCATCCCTGCTATATCCCCAGAATTTATAACAGTGCCTGGCATAGAGCAGAGGACAAAATATATATTATTTGTTGAATAAATGACAGACTTCCCAGAAAATCTTTTACACATTGTCTCCCCATAGTATTTCTCTGCATAGCAGCTGTGCCCTTCAATCAAACCCCTCATTGTGAACACCAGACGTGTCTTCTCCCTACCGCACAAGGCTGACAAACTGTATACCTCCGGGGAGCCCCGCCCACATTGCATGCGGTAGAACATGAAGAGGCAGGAACACCATGCACATGGAATGCGGTGTGAGGGCTGGTTACTGGAGTCCTCCAGTACCTCAGTACAACCCCACCTATTTCTCCACACCAAGTTTCCTTGGCTCTTTATTCCTCTGTCTCATCCTTTCTCAGATAGATATTGGGGTTGCTTTCTGTTTCATCACTCTCTTCACCACTTTCACTCAATCTGTACAACCACGGCCAGGAGATAGCTGGTCAAACTGGCAAAGGATGCTTCCTTCTTAGCTGGTGTGCAAAGGGGACCACTGCAAATACACCATGAAGAATTTATTTATTTTACCATCATCACACTATTTTTGTTTGTTTGTTTTTGTTTTTGAAACAGGGTCTCACTCTTTCACTGAGGCCAGAGTGCAGTGGCACAAAGAGAGCTAACTGAAATCTCTACTTCCTGGGCTCAAGCAATCCTCCCACCTCAGCCTCCTGAGTTGCTGGGACCACAGGTGCATGCCACCATGCTGGGCTAACTTTATTATTTTTTGTAGAGATGGGGGGTCTTGGACTTCTGGGCTCAAGTGATCTGCCTCGGCCTCCCACAGTGCAGGGATTACAGGCACGCACCACCATGCCCAGCCTCACACCATGTTAATTGTTTTATCCATCCTCATCCATACCCCACTTACCATAGCATGTACAAAAGGACAGAAAACATAAACTCATGCCTGGCAGAGAGCTTCTACTCTGAAGAAACAACAACCGAAGTGTCACAGGATGAATCTATGCTATTTGGAGAGGGAGTATACATTTAACTTGAAGCAATCCCTGGAAGAAAAATTCTACTAGCAGAGATGCTCTGAGCAGGTAAGTGGGTTCTTAAACCTTCAGCACCACTAGTTAAAATCCAGAAGAGTTCCTGGAAGGGGAGAAATGTGAGGTGACCAATAAAAGGGAAGAAGATGGTAAGAATATGTATGCCACAAGAAGAACTCCAAATGTTGAATATCAGACACGGGTTGGAAAAGAAAAGACAAAGATCTGATCAAGTTCAACTGAATCAAAGGAATAGGATGACTTAAAACAGATTGAGTGGCTGAAGCCAAATTGCTACTTGGTCTTATTTACAGTGACTATATAGCAAAGTATCCAAACTGGGATATTTTTGAAAAGAAAAAGCCATGATTTTAATAGTTATGCTAGGACAACAAGCATGAAACAGGGCTGTCATGGGCAAACTGAGATGATTGTCACACTAATCCTAAACAGCAGAGTGGGTAATTTAATGAAGAGGTGGTGAGCGTTTCACAAGGATAGCAAGACTCTTCTGTTCGTCATTATTCTCTTCTTTCTTCCCTCGTGCTTGTAGTGACACTGGTCATTTTTGTCTGCCCAGGCCCTTTGCTTCCTTCGGAGACTGTTCTAGCTGCTCTTCATTCACTCAGTCAGATAATTCCTAGTGGGGCCGCCAATCCCCAAACTCTGCCCCCTTGACCCAAAGAACTCCATTCCTGCTACTTTGAGCATCAGGTTGAGAATCCTTCCCTGGGATTTTTTTTTTTTTTTAAGTGGAAATGGAGGAAAAGGCTCCTTGCCTTTTTGGGTCACAGAGTTTGAAGAATATTGGGGTTATTAGCATCCATCTTATTCATTCCAGAGAGAAAGCCTGTCTATATAGTGAAAGAATGAAACCAATACATTGAAAAAAACTGAGAAGAGAAAGAGGTAGAGACTTCATCTGATACAAGCATGCTTGAAACAAGAGACACCTGTATGATTCCATCTTCCCAGGTAAGTGATCTAGTTCATTCTCTTTTATGCTTCAACTAGTTTGAGTTTCTAGGCATTGAAACCACCCCTCTCTTGGTGTTTCTACCAGTGGAGTTTGCATTATTTATTTTACCTTAAAATATAGAATATCAGACACGGGTTGGAATAAGGATTTTACCTTATTTATTTATGTACGTATTTATTTAAGACAGGCTCTTGCTGTGTCACCCAGGCTGGAGTGCAGTGGCGCAAACACAGCTCACTGTAGCCTCAACCTCCTGGATGCAAGCGATCCTCTTGTCTCAGCCTCCCAAATAGCTGGGACTACATGCACGTGTCACCACACCCAGCTAAAGATTTACCAAATTTAGAATCTGTATGTTGTGTATGGATCTCTGCAATGTTGCTTCTGAATTGACAGATTGGTGTTATTAGTTAATAATTGAGAGTGTTCATAGCTTACTGAGCTTTTCCATCCTCACAGCCACTGCTAAAATTGACAGACTCAGAAGACAGAGTCTATCTCTATTTCACAGATAAGAATATTAAAGCTTAGAGAAATCCAAGATTACAACAGAGCTAAAATTCAGACAAGGTCCTCAGGTCTTGATCCCGTGCTTTTTCTTTAAACTACCACATGTTACCGAGAACGTCATGGAAAAGATTATTTAAAAACATAGATGGAGCACTCAGATGGTTCAAAGTGAAAATAAACAGTTAAGGATGACCAGGAGTACCAACACGTGGAACTGGGGTATTATCAACCTGTCAAAGGAAAATTAAATACATTATATGTAAGAGTTTGGTTGACAAATACTATTGTGATCATCTAATCAACTCCTTAATTTAGCTGAAAGTCCATCTCTGGTTCAAAAATATTTGAAATCATGAATAAGTCTTTTTTTTTTCTTTTAAATGTTTGGAGAGACAGAGTCTTGCTATGTTGCCCAGACTGTTCTTGAACTCCTGGCCTCAAGTGAGCCTCGCACCTCTCAGCCTCCCAAAGTGCTGACATTGCAGGTGTGAGCCACTGCACCCAGCCTCTTTTCTCTCTCTCTTAGTTTCTTTTTTATGAATAAATCATTCTGAAGAGAAAAATTATGTTTTCCAAATAACCAACACAAATGGTAACTGTAAACTGCTTAAGGAAATAAGATAAATAAAATCTGAGACAGTTTCAAAGTAGGCATCATCATCATTATCATCATCACTATGTTTTGTGTACCTACCCTGCTTCAAGCACTATACCAGGTATCTACAAGTAGATATAGATGTACTTTAGTAAACTGAGGCTCTAAATCACTGTGACCCAACCAAGGTCACATGCTGGTAATGGTAAAGCCACAAATGAAATAGTTTTTGTCTAACAGAGAAGGTACTACGATTTACCCACTTCAAAGAGTAGTGATCTGATGATGATATAAGCCTTTGATGAAAAGGAAATAAATTTAGAAAAATTTTCCTATTTCTTCCTAGCCTTATAGCATATTAAGTGTACTTCAACTGAACTGAATATAATCCTCATTCACTTTGCTGATGACCACAGACATTCTTTCTTAGAATTAGACAAAAACTTAACATCATCTCACATAAAGGAATCATTTTTTGGCCAGGCGTGGTGGCTCACTCCTGTAATCCCAGCGCTTTGGGAGGCCGAGGCGGGCAGATTACCTGAGGTCAGGAGTTCGAGACCAGCCTGGCCAACATGGTGAAACCCCATCTCTACTAAAAAAAAATAAAAATACAAAAATTAGGCAGTCACGGTGGCACACCCCTGTAATCCCAGCTATTCGGGAGGCTGAGGCAGGAGAATTGCTTGAGCCCGGGAGACAGAGGTTGCAATGAGCCGAGATTGTGCCGCTGCACTCCAGCCTGGCCGACAGAGCAAGACTCTGTCTCAAAGAAAAAAAAAAGGGAATCATTTTTCTTCTCTTAACTCATCAATGTATAGCTGTCATTAGCTCATAGATTCATTAGTAGGAGCTCAGCCTTTTAGCTCCTATCAGTTAAAAAGTCCATTAAGCTAAAAGCCATTAATGATTCAGCATTTAACCCTTTTATGCTTTTCAATATTAGAGACAAAAGAGATTAGATCATCATATGAAGTTGCTTCTGTTTTAAAGTTGAAATTGCATAGTAAAATTGAATTTGGGCATTTAAACACTACCTGTTATAGGTGTCATACATTTGTATTTGATTGGATGGTGCACTAGCTCTTTATGAAGAATATAAATTTTAATCATAATATAAAATAACACTGAGAGCAATTCAAGAAATTTTATTTCCTCTAGAAAGCCTGCAGAATCCCAATCAATCCTTCCATAAATATTCTAAGACTTTTATAATATATCTTGGCAGCCAAAATAGATATAAAGCTCATGCATGGTTTTAGCAAAGAAACAATGTCCAACCCCTTACTGAAATCTCATTTACACTAATTAGCAATGCAATTCAAACAGACCATTTCCTCCCCCCAATTTTCTCACTCACAAATTATACAGAACATCAAACTGGGAAATAGGCCCTACCAGAGGCACATACAGTAACAAATGCATAAATCAGCAGCAAGTAAGTGCAAGAAGGGGACTAATACATTGGTAAAAATACACTGGTAGGCTGGGCATGGTGCCTCATGCCTGTAATCCCAACACTTTGGGAGGCCAAGGCAGGCAGATCACCTGAGGTCAGGAGTTCGAGACCAGCCTGCCCAACATGGCGAAACCCCATCTCTACTAAAAATACAAAAAATTAGCCAGATGTGGTGGCGGGTGCATGTAATCCCAGCTACTTGGGAGGCTGAGGCAGGAGAATGGCTTGAACCCGGGAGGTGGAGGTTGCAGTGAGCCGAGATTGAACCACTGCACTCCAGCCTGGGCAACAAGAGCGAAACTCCATCTCATAAAAAGAAAAAAATACATTGGTAAATTGATCAATTATTGACTTAAAAGTGAAAATAGCTTTTTAGTTTTATTTGGTTTAAAAGCAAAGGTAAACTATCTGTAATATAATTTGAAGTGCCTCAGAAGTGCATCAGAAAATAAGATGGGTTAATGGATAGGTGGAAGATAAATAAATACATGGAAAGATGTGATAAAGCAAGTATAGTAAAATACTAATGATATCTCATTGGTGGGTACATGGGTGTTCATGGTAAAATTCTTTCAACTATACTATATGTGAAAACTTTCATAATAACATATTGGGGGAAAAAGGTAAATTTACAATTTTAAAAAGCACAAACAAGGGATAGAAAGAATTACAACATATATCTTCCAAAACATAAAATAGAATAAAGGACATTAAGAAAACTGTCAATTTGAGGCAGGGAAAGACAGAATAAATAACAAGTATAAACCAGGATAAAGAGAAATTTCTCCCAATGGAATAAGGTGATGCAATAATCATTAAGCTAATACAACACACACGTATGCATCCATGCGTACACCTCCCATACACACACTTCTCTCTTCCAACCTCCCCCTTTTTTTTTTTTTTGAGACAGAGTCTCGCTCTGTTGCCCAGGCTGGGATGCAGTGGCAGGATCTCTGCTCACTGCAAGCTCCGCCCCCCAGGTTAACGCCATTCTCCTGCCTCAGCCTCCCGAGTAGCTGGGACTAGAGGCACCCGCCACCACACCCGGCTAATTTTTTTGTATTTTTAGTAGAGACAGGGTTTCACTGTGTTCGCCAGGATGGTCTCGATCTCCTGACCTCGTGATCCGCCTGCCTTGGCCTCCCAAAGTGCTCGGATTACAGGCGTGAGCCACCGCACCTGGCCCCACCCTCCCCTTTTCTTATAAAGAGTAATTTCAGAAGTTTAGAATATGAATTTCCCCCACTCCCTTTATTTGTTTTAATCACTTATGGAAAGTTCTGCCCTAACCTGGGCAACATAGCCAGACTCTGTCTCTTAAAAAATTGTTTTAACTAGCCAGAAATTTGCCAGACGTCGTGGCTCACGCCTGTAGTCCCAGCTACTCGGGAGGCTGAGATGAGAGGATCGCTTGGGCCCAGGAGGTTGAGACTGCTGTGAGCTATGACGGTGTCACTACACTCCAGCCTGGCTGACAGAGAAAGGCCACAGCTCTAAAAAAAAGAAAAGAAAAAAGAAAATTCTCAGTTCTTACCTATTCACATGTCACCTGTACACCATTCACTTTAGACAGATGATGGGGCATTGTATCCTCTGTACGTCTCAGCCCCCCTCACACTTTATACCTCATTGTCTTTCTGTTTTGTATCCAGTGTAATTTCTTCTAATCTCGATTCCAATGCCCACGTTCACTTTTAAGCTTTCTCTGCTTAATCTTTCCATCAAGTTTTTAAATATTATTATATTTTTATTTCTAGAAGATATTTCTTTAAAACTCAAGGCTGCTGATCATTTCGTTACTTTCTTTTTCTGTTAAAGTCCTACTTTTAGAAACACATCAAACATAATTTATATTCTCTACCTGGTATTTCTAATACCTGAAGCCCTCGAGTATCTATTTTTTTTCTGCTGACTCTTGCCATGGTGGCTTCTTTCTTTATGGGGTGTGTGTGTGTGTGTGTGTGTGTGTGTGTGTGTCTTATTGTTTGCTCAGATGCTCTGGAATTCTAGTTCTGAGGATTCTTTGAGGCCTCAGATGGAGGGTGCCTTCCCCCTGAAAAGACTTGCCTTCATGTCTGCAAAGCACTCAGTAGACTTGGGTCCACTTTAAATTAAAGTTTGTTTCACATGATACAAATAGTGTAAATTCAGGCTCCAAACTTACGAGAGTGTCAGGCTGTGGCAACAAATTCTTAAAGGAGACTTTTATATGCACTCAGATTCCAGGCTGAACAGACAAATTTATTTACTCTCTGCCTCTTTTTTATGGGATTAAAAAAAAACTGTAGCTCTTCATGGGTGCTAACTTTATTTAGAGTGACTAGAGATCCACTCCCATTACACCAATCCAAGCCTCCCCTTCCCACTTCCACTATTTTCAGCCCTGCAATCAAAGCTCTGGACATCCGGATCCATAAATATCCCTAAAGCGTCAGTTCCCCCGTCTTCCATGGATTCCCACACCTGTTGCTAGGACTCAGATATCTTTTACTTTCTTACAAACTCATTCATTCATTTTAAAAGTTGTTTTTGTTTCTATATTAGCTAGCACTCTTGTTGTTTGTGGGAGTCTTTTAGGATGTCTTCTCTGACAAATTGACTAAATGAAACCCTCTGAACCTAGCAGAGCGAAACAAAAAGGGGGAAGGCATTCCCCCCTGCTTTGTTACAAACAGCCATGCAGCTCATAGACAGCACAGACCCCGGGCAGCAGATCAGCAATGGCTCCAAAGGGAAATGATCGGCAGAGTAATGGACCTTTGTGCCAACATGTATCAGATATCTATGGGACTCCCCA
This sequence comes from Homo sapiens, assembly GCF_000001405.40. NCBI lineage: Eukaryota > Metazoa > Chordata > Mammalia > Primates > Hominidae > Homo > Homo sapiens. The sequence goes on from NC_000002.12 coordinate 15,570,567, forward strand.
GAAATATTTGGTAGAGGATTTTACAAATGACTGAGTGTCTTCTGTCATCAACTAGGAACAAGACTAGTGAAATTATGATATTTGCTATTACGATCATTACCATTCATGTCCACAGGCGGCAAGGCTAGGGAGTCTCAAATAACACCAATAATACAAAAATTCAAAAGGCAACTACAAAACCAAAACACTGTAATTCTTTGTGGACAGGGCCAATGACTTTTTAATCTCTGTAAACCCAGCCTGAAAGCAGGCCCTGAGAAAATATTTATTGACTACATGAATTATACATGGTTATGTTGATGCTATTATAGATTAACCTTTTTTGCTTAAAAGGGAGATTGTAACTTTTAAAAATCACCTATTTTTTCCAGCAAAATAATGTAAGCTCGAAAAAAATTTCTCTCAATGAATGGACCATTCATGAGCCATAATTTTTTTTCTACCATTGTAGTGGATTTTGGTTAAGTTCTTCAGTTTATCTTTGAGTTTCCTCTAATTGAAAACTACAATGGAAATATTAAGCAAAAGTGCAAAAATTCAATGAAACTGACAAGTAATTAATATGTATTTTGATAGGGCAAAGTACCAACTCAAAATGTAGAAGTTATTAAAGCATCACTGTCAGACACCTTCAGCTATGTGGAAAAACTGAATTAAACACCAAGGATTAAAAACCGTTTGAGGAAGAATTATTAAATGTCTCTCAATGTTAATAGTTTTAGCTCTTCCATGGAATTTCATGCAAACTGTTTCCTATTGAAGTCCTTATCATTTTAGGCTTCTCTTTAGTTAAAAAATGTATACCTAATGTTAAACTTTTAAAGTTTTTAAGTTTAAATTGTTATATTCTGATACAGATATGAGATAAATGATTTTTAAAAGAAACTTTGGAACCTAATTAAGTCCTGAAAGGATGAACTAAAAGAAAGATTGAAAGCATTTAAAAGAAAGATTGTAGGCAAAAATCTTTACCAAACTGAAGTCACCAAGTAAGAAAATAGCATGTTAAAGTCGAATGTATCCCTATGCTAAAAATTGCTCTAGAATTTACGTTGAACCTAACAGATGAAACAATAGTTTTGCAGTCAGGGCACATTTATAGAATGTCATTTCTTCCACTTCTCACAGATCTTGACTTCTACAATCTTCCAGCTCCTTCTCCTACCTCTGGGATAGACTCTAATGTTAGAGAGACCTTGTTTTGAATAATAGTTCTGTTACTGACTAGTTCTATAGCCTTGCAGGAATTATTTAATCTATTCATATCTTGGTTTCCTAATGGGAAACCATTAGGAATGGTTTGGGGGACATAAACTAAAGCGTGGTTCTCAACAAAAATCTAGCCAGGCTCCTCTGAGCCCTCTTATCTGCCAGGCCTCAACCTTGGCCTATGAAAACAACAAACTCTTAGTGTAAACAATTTCGTCCACTCTCTTCCTCTCCCCATTTAAAGACTTAAGCAAACACTAACAGTTACCAACAGCTCAGAGCCACAACCACCGTAAGTGACCCTAGCTATCCTTAAAGGGCCTGAGAAAGCACAAGGCTTCTAAAAGAATTTACTGTTTGTTCCAGCCAACACCTGACCATAGGCCCCTGACCACCCTTTCTTAGAGCATTTACTAAATTTTACTCAATGCACTATTTACAATTGTGAATCCTTCCTCTGTCCCTTTGAGATGTACACCTTTCTCCAACAACTCAGCAGTGAAAGCCATTCCTTTGAAATGTAATCATAAGGAATGACAGTACCTGTCTCTAGTCTCTGGGAGAATACAACCCTAACTTTAATTAATTGATTAATTGCAGCTGACTTAATGGGCATTTACACTGACCAATCTTCCTAATTTTTCACTTCTCTGACTCTGCTCAAGCTCTAGCAGTCCCCCCACCACCTCCCAAGTTGAGTTTAGTTCATGCTGGACATTCTTCCCTATTGCAATAGTATATTACTGATTAAAATCTGTCCTTACCACTTTAACATTCATCTCTTTAACAGATCAAGAAGTAGGAAATAAAATGACATCTAAGAATAAAGCCATGAAATCCAAATGACCATGTTGGTGAACCTTAAAACAATAATATTCTAAAATAAGCTTTCCACATGTGTCATCCAAGGAAACCCACCTGCATTAGAATCACCCACCTAGGGAATTTGTTTAAATGTCCACTCCTGGGCTCCACCTCGGACAGGGGAGACCAAAATTCCTGAGTGCTAGACCTTGAAATATGCATTGGGGAAAGAACTCCCTGGAGTAATTTTTTTTTTTTTTTTTTTTTTAAGAGAGAGTCTCGCTTGTTGCCGGGGCTGGAGTGCAGTGGCGCAATCTTGGCTTGCTGCACCCTCCACCTCCCAGGTCAAAGCAATCCTCCTGCCTCAGCCTCCTGAGTAGCTGGAACTACCGGCATGTGCCACCACACCCAGCTAATTTTTGTCATATTTTTTAGCAGAGACGGGGTTTTGCCATGTTGGCCAGGCTGGTCTCAAACTCCTGGCCTCAAGTGATCCACCTGTGTCAGCCTCCCAAAGCACTGGGATTATAGCTGTGAGCCACCACGCCCGGCCTCCCTGGAGTAATTCTAAGCTACTTGCATTTGAAGAGCACTGGTGTAAACAATTAAATATAAATATGCTGCTGAAAATTTCTTCCAAACAAATGGTTAAGACATAGCTCATATTCTGTTTACTTTAGCATGTATTAAGCAAGATGGGAAACCGAGGGCTAACCTGATTAAGCCTGCCTAATTTAACCTGCCTTGCTTGCTTTTAATTGCTTACATCCAGTTAATCTTAAAATTCCCACTAGCAAGTCATAGTAGCCAAACAATGCATAACTAAACTTCCACTAGCCTCCTTATAGATAACAGCTCTGACAGTGGGTCACCATAATAATAAGTGCTTAATGTTGTTTTGCAGGAGCTAGCAGGCAGTTCTTGTTGAGTTCAAGCCAGTTGAGACCATCAACCCTTCAACTGAGCCTGCATGGGTGCGTAAAGTGTGACCTTTTGATGTCAAAGGGCCAAAACCTGCACCCTCCTTTCATGCTAATTCAACCATTTTCTGAACATGCATCCTATGAAGAGCCATGTAGCTCAATTATGCTTGTGCAGAAACCCTGATTACCTCACCTTTCCCACCTGCCAATCACCTTTACCCATACTTCACACCATCCTGCTTTCTATCCCGCTAATTACCCCTAAGCCCTGTTTTCAGGGAGGTGGATTTGCGATTTGTTCTCCTTCTCCTTGCTCAGCAGCCTGGTAAGCAATCTCACAAAATAAAATCTTTTCTTTTTTGCAAAACCCACAGTCCCAATGATTGGTTTGCTGTCCATGAGCAAAATGAAGCTGGTTTGATATCAGATGTCACATATAAAAATTGGGGGTGGAGTAGGGTGTAGAGGGAGCAGGTATAGAATTTCATCAGTTTGCAGTCAGTAAAAAGAAAGGGAGTTTAGGCTGAGGACAAGTATTCCAATCTTTCTATGGGGGGGGGATGTATTAGTCAGGGTTCTCTAGAGGGACAGAATAGTATAGATATATAAAGGAGTTTATTAACTGACACAATCACAAGGTCCCACAATAGGCCATCTGCAAGCTTGAGGAGCAAGGAGAGCCAATCCCAGTCTCAAAACTGAAGAACTTGGAGTCCGATGTTCGAGAACAGGAAGCATCCAGCATGGGAGAAAGATATAGGCTGGGAGCCTGAGCCAATCTCTTCTTTTCACATTTTTCTGCCTGCTTCATATTCGCTGGCAGCAGATTAGATGGTGCCCACCAGATTAAGGGTGGATCTGCCTTCCCCGGCCCACTGACTCAAATATTAATCTCCTTTGGCAACACCCTCACAGACACACCCAGGATTAATATTTTGCATCCTTCAATCCAATCAAGTTGACACTCAGTATCAACCATCACTGGGAGATAGTCACTTTTGGTGGGTAAACACGTGGAGCTTATGTCTCCTCCCCTTGAATCTGGACTGGGCCCGTGAGTGAAAGCTTTTACTTTTTAGCCCAGGCTTTAAGAAGGCCTGGCAGCTTCAGTTTCCTCCGTTTTGGATTCCTGAGCTACTGTGAAGGAAGGAAGGCCAGGCCCCTGTGTGGGGCCTTGGAGGAGGAGGTAGCACGGGGTACTCCCCACATCCCCCCAGCAGCAGCCCCAGCCTCCTTAAAGCCCTCACAGAGGGCAGTCCAGGAAGCTGCCCTGAAAACATGTCATCCTCCTCCTAAAAATGTGTTTCCCTTTGGATGTTAGTACCATTGTTCATGCCTCACCATTAACATGCTTGAACGTATAGCAAATGTGCTTTGCCCAGATCACTTTTTTGGTGGAAACTTTTCAGCAGCACATTTATAATTTATTAAACTAGTGTTCCTCAAACTTTACTGTAGATAAGAATCATGGAATAAAAATAAATTCCCAAGCCCCCTCTTCCCCAGTGGAGTGAACAGATCTCCCTCGGCCAAGGAGACCCCAGAAAATCTTTAAAAACTTTCCTGGCCAGGCACAGTGGCTCATACCTGTAACCCCAGCACTTTGGGAGGCCGAGGCAGGTGGATCACCTGAGGTCAGGAGTTCGAGACCAGCCTGGCCAACATGGCGAAACCCCATCTCTACTAAATATACAAAAATTAGCTGGGCGTGGTGGCAGGTGCCTGTAATCCCAGCTACTAGGGAGGCTGAGGCAGGGAGAACTGCTTGAACCCAGGAGGTGGAGGTTGTGGTGAGCTGAGAGCACGACACTGCACTCCAGCCTGGGTGACAGAGCGAGACTCCATCTCAAAAACAAAACAAAACAAAACTGTTTCCTGGCCGAGACAAGATGGGAGGTTGGTCATGCCTCAGTGTGTCCCCTTCCTCACTAACCACTACTTAAGAGTTAAACAGAAACCAGCCCTGGAAAGCAAAGAACAGAAAACTTCTCCACTGACATCAACTTCAACCAGTTGCTTGGTGTCTCAGCCAGACTCTCCTCCCTTTTCAAGATTTTGACATGACAGCTGACCAAAGCACCCCTTCCATTGAAGGAATGACCGTCCACCATGGAAGGGTTCTGGCCAGTTTACACAGACTGTGCACAAAGCAGCTTCATGTCCTACATTTCCTTTTGACATATGGAGTCTAATATTACTGCATTTTAATGATACATCTCCACTGCAAAGTCAACATGGGATGTATGTAACATATATGTTTGCTTATCACACTCATGTGTGATCCCCCTTTCATTAATATTCCTAACTCCTATAACCTGTCAAATATGTATGTTCAGCCAACCCATTTAGCATAAAACTCCTGTCTACCCTTCCTCCCTCAAAGTTCCAGCTTTTTTTTTTTTTTTTTTGAGACAGGGTCTCACTGTGTCACCCAGGCTGGAGCGCAGTGGCACCATCATGGCTCAATGCAGCCTCGACCTCCTGAGCTCAAGTGGTTCTCCTGAGTAGCTGGAACTACAGGCACACACCACCACACCCAGCTAATTTTTGTTTTTGTTTTGTTTTGTTTTGTTTTTTTGGTGGAGACAGGGTCTCACCATGTTGCCCATGCTGAGCAAATTCGTGGGCTCAAGCAATCCACGTGCCTTGGCCTCCCAAAGTGCTGAGAGTACAGGCATGAGCCACCGTACCCAGCCTAAAGTGCAGGCTTTGATCTCAGCCAGAGGCTCCACTTCCCAGCCTGAAGGTTGCAAGCAATCATAAGAAATAAAGTTTTCCATTCCAAATGTATAGAGCTTAAGACTTTAAGTGGACATAATTAATTTAAGCCAGTTCCAAGGGCCTGACTGCCCTTGCACACTGACTGAAAGGGAAGTCCCTGTCTCTCTAGGGCTGAATTTTGGACTGGGAGACACAAACTGAGATGTCCCTGTGGACACCGCTGTCACTGTAGTCTTCCAGTTCTTTTGTGCTAGTACCCACAGCTAAGGGAGAAAGTTTCTCTCTTTCTCCTGATTGAAACCATTCCCTTCACCCATCGTAATTCCTTCTTTCTTCTCTGAAGCTGGGCTTAATCTTGGGCATCCTTGTGCAGATTCCCTCTTTACTAGCGATGTCCCCTCAGCCTGTGAACACACTCAAGTTTCTCTCATGACTAAAAAAACTGGCCAGGCATGATGCCTCATGCCTGTAATCCCAGCACTTTTGAAGTCCAAGGCAGGTGGATTGTTGAGCCCAGGAGTTCAAGGCCAGCCTAGGCAACATGGCAAAGCCCCGTCTCTACAGAAAAATACAAAAACATTAGCTGGGTGTGGTGGCACGTACCTGTGATTCCAGCTACATGTGAGGCTGAGGTAGGAGGCTCACTTGTACCCAGGAGGTAAAGACTGCAGTCATCTAAGATTGTGCCACTGTACTCCAGCCTGGGCAACGGAGCAAGACTGTCTCAAAAATAAAAAATAAAAAAATGAAGCCATCCCTTGACCCCCACATCCATCCTGCATTTCCATCTAGTTTATTTTCACCTCATCCAAACTTCTTACAACAGGAGTCTATGCTCACTAGTAGTCTCTTCTCATTTAGCCCTTAACCTACTATAACCTGGGTTCTAATTACTCCACTAACGTGTCCAACATATAATGCTAATCATCCCATAAATTTCCAGAATGTCTATACTCTTGGTTTCTGTAATAACAGACTCTTCGAATTGTCCTTATAGTTCTGACTTTACTTGCATCCTCTAGGGCCTTCTCCCTGTTCTCTGCACCACACTGCCCCCTAGTGCTTGGGTTCTCTACACCTTGTTACTACAACAGTGCTGCTCAGACCAGTGGCTTTGGCATCACGAGGAGCTTGTTAGGGATGTATCTCAGGCCCGTCCCAGACCTGCTGAGTCCATATCTGCATTTTAACAGAATCCCCAGGTGATGTTCATGCACAGCAAAGGGTGAGAAGCAGCTCCACGACTCAGTCCTCACTCCCTGCTCTTCTCTTTTCTGGGTGAGCTCATCAATTCCCAGGGTCACTACCTATTTGTTGAGGTTTCTCAAATCTCTATCTCAACCCAAAGTACTTCCTCCAGGTTTCAGTCTCACATAGCAGACTACTTGCTGGCCATGATATTCACACAGAACTCAACAGACCCGTGCCTACCAACCAGCTGCCCCTCCTGTAATCTATTTTTCCCAGCTGATGCTAATATCACTCACCCAGTTATCCATACTGAAACCTGCGCATTGCACTAACGCCTTTCTTCCTCTCATTACTCTCCCTTCACTCTCCCCCTCTACCCCCATTAAATTCAACAAGTCATCAAATCCTGGCATGTTAATGGTATTTCTCTTACCTGTCCTCTCCTGCCTGACACAATTTCTTTGTCCTCATTCAAGTTTCAATTACATCTTATATATACTGCTGCAATAACAGCCTTGTAATTGTGCCTACACAGATATGTTCTTCACACAATCACCAGGAAGAGTTTTATAAAATGGAAATACGATCATCTCACTGTCTTGCTTAATATCTGTCCCACCCACCACAGTGGTTCTCAAATCATGGTCCCTGGACCAGGAGTATTAGCATGGTACTCACAAGTTGCCTGGGAACCTGTGAGAACTGCAAATGATGGGTCTAGCCCCAGATCTCTGAATCAGAAAGTCTAAGGAGGAGGTTCCTACATCCTGTTTTAACAAGCTCCAGGTGATTCTGGTGCACACTGAAGGCTGAGGCCCGCTGACCTCCCAGAGTAAACCTTGATCAGCAAACATTTCCCCCGATACAGCTCAGGTCCAAACTCTTTAGCATTATTTCTGTCTACTTTTCAATTTTGAACTTGACATGTGAGGAATGGAGGAATATTTTTTATTTCTATGTATGGTAACCAATCTTCAAAATGACACCCCTGCCCCATTCCCCAGCCTCCTAGTGTCCATGCACTTATGCAGTGCCTTCCACATTGAACAGGGCTGGCCTGTGTAACCAGCAGGATAGTGTGGAAATGATGGTGTGAGACTTCAGAGGTTACAGCAACCTCTCTCTTGAATCAGTTGCTGGGGGTAGACACCTGCCATGAGTGACGACACTCAAGAACCCCATGGAGAGGTCCAGGTGCTGAAAAACTGAGGTCTTCTGTCAGCCAGCACTAACTCACCAGGTGCATGAGGGAGCCTGCTCACAAGTGGATCCTTCAGCCCTGGTTGACATCTTGACTGCAGCCTCATGAGAGATTCTAAGCCAAAACCATCGTAATAAGTCATTCCTGGATTTCTGACCCACAGAAACAATGTAAGATAATCAATATTTTTGTTTTAAGCCACTAAGTTCTGGTGTGGTTGTAATGCAGCATTGGATGATTAATACATCAGGGTACACCATCCTGTTTCTTGCCACTGTGTAAGTCTCCATGCTGTCCCCTCTACCTGAAAAGCTTCCCCTCCTTTCTTCCCCCATAAGCCCCTCTTCATCTAATTAAATTCAATCCACCTTTTAATATTCATCTGAGATATTATCTTCTCCAAAATCCCTTCTCTGACCCTTCCAGACTGGCTTAGCTGTCTACTCTGAGTTCCCATGATACTCTGACTATATCTCTACCATTGCATTTCTGCCTTGTGTAAATTATGTGTTTACATTTATCTCGGTTGAAAAACTTAGATTATCTTGAAAGCAAAGAAGTGTGTCTTATTCATATTTGTCTTACTCATATCCCCAGCACTATCATAGGCTTTGGCACATAGGAGGCACTTCATCAGTTTTGTTAGGTGAATAGCAAATGAAGGATCTTTGTGAAGCTCTTAGAGATGATTCATGGAAAGAACATAGTGCCTTGTTCACTCTCAGGCCTCAGTATGTTTCCATTTCTTCCCAGGGCAGAAGTAGCTTCCAAATCAGGAGATTCAATATATCCACTTGTGGCAGATTGCATTTCCCAAAGATGGCCATATGCTCTGAATCAGTATCCAATATATGATACCATTTCTCCCATAGCCAAGATTCCCAGGTCCAGGAATCAAGGGGCAGAGATGTGAATGGTGCCACTCACTATTACCTCTAGTGAGCCACTAGCAAAATTTTTACTTCCAGTTCCTGTGACTTTACACTCTTCTGACCTAGATAGAGGTCTTAGCTCCAAAGGCAGGAATGTCTCCACCAGGAGACACAACAGTGATTCCATCGAACTGGAAGTTAAGATTGCCACCTGGTCACTCTGGGATTTGCATGCCTCTGAGTCAACAGGAAAAGAATGACTGTGCTGGCTGGGGTGATTGATCCTGATCACCAACTGGAAACTGAACTGCTTTTCCACAAGAGAGGTAAGGAAGAGTATGTCTGGAATACAGGAAATTCCTTAGGGCATTCTTACTGTTACCATGCCCCATGATTAAAGTCAATGGAAAACTACAACAACCCATTCCAGGCAAGACAAATGGTCCAGACCCTTCAGAATAAAAGTCAGTCTGGGTCACCAAATCAGGTCTCATGACCAGCTGTGGTGCTTGCTTAGAGCAAATGGAATACAGAACAGATAGTGGAAGAAGGTACAGTAGTTATAAATACCAGATATGACCACATAACTAGTTATAGAAACAAGGACTGTAATTGCCATGAGTATTTCTTCCTTATTTTGTTATGAATATATTTGTGTGTTTATAATGTATATATGTATGTATATATATGTATATGTGTGTATATATGTGTAAATGTGTGTATATATGTGTATGTTTGTATATATATATGTGTGTATATACATCTGTTTTGCTATACGTATGTACATACATATATGGCAAATGTCTTTATTTATGTATTTATTTGGTAGAGACAGGGTCTCACTATGTCACCCAAGCTGGTTTTGAACTCCTGGACTCAAGCGATCCATCTGCCTTAGCCTCCCAAGGTGCTGGGATTACAGACGTGAGCCACTGTGCCTGGCTGCAAATATCTTTGTTTTCTTCCCTCTTATCTCCTCATGTAACATAAGATACACTCATTTTATATTATAGTACCTAAGTATTGTTAATTTTATATCTAAATATTGACATAAAAATAGAATGTCAAGGAGAATAAACATCATCCAAGAGTTTTTACATCCTCTCCTGGGGAAGGAGCTAGTGTGTTTTCCAGTGTACACAGGACAGTTGTATCATCTTAGGTGGAATTATGACCTTGTTATTGTGTTTACTTGGAGATTAAGTATGGGTTAAGGAGATGCGTATGGGTGCCAAGTTGACAAGGCATGCATGTGTGATGTTTAATATTACGTATGAATATATGTGGGCTATGGTGCCCAGATATTTGGTCAAACATATTCTGGGGCTGGGCACAGAGGCTCATACCTGTAATCCCAGCACTTTAGGAGGCTGAGGCAGGCAAATCACTTGAGGTCAGGAGTTGGACACCAGCCTGGCCAACATGGTAAAAGCCTGTCTCTACTAAAAATACAAAAATTAGCCAGACATGGTGGCAGGCGCCTGTAATCCTAGCTACTCAGGAGGCTGAGGTGGGAGAATCGCTTGAACCCTGGAGGCGGAGGTTGCAGTGAGCTGAGATCACGCCACTGCACTCCAGCCTGAGCAATGGAGAAAACTCCATCTCAAAAAAAAAAAAACCCCAAAAAACAAACATATTCTGGATATTTCTGTGAGGATGTTTTTGGATGAGATTTACATTTAAATTGGTGGCTCACACCTGTAATCCCAGCACTTTGGGAGACCAAGGGGAGGTAGGACGATGGCTTGAGCCCAGGCATTTGAGACCAGTCTGGGCAATATGGTGAGATCCCCAACTCTATAAAAAATACAAACAATTAGCTGGGTGTAGTAACATGTGCCTGTAGTCCCAGATACTTGGGAGGCTGAGGTGGGATCACTTGAGTTCAGGAGGTCAAGGCTGCAGTGAGCCATGATCAGGCCACTGTACTCCAGCCTGGGTGACAGAATAAGACCCTGTCTCAATAAATAAATAAGTAACCAAATGAATAAACAGTTGGCCTTTGAGTAAAGTGGATTGCCCTCCATAATGTGGGTAGGCCTCATTCGGTTAAAGGCCTTGATAGAACAAAAGGCTGACCTCCCCCAACAAGAGGGAATTCTCTAGCAGATGGTCTTCGGGCTTCAACGGCAACATCAACTCTTCCTGGGTCTCCAGCCTGCCAGCCCACCCTATAGATTTTGGACTTGCTAGCCTTTTATAATCATGTGAGGCAATTTCTTAAAATAAATCTCTTTCTATATACACACACATCCTATTGCTTCTGTTTCTCTGGAAAACTCTAACACATCACCACACCAATTTATACCTTGTCCCATGTTTTCTTAAAATGTAATGTTGAGTCCAAGCACTATGGCTCACACCTGTAATCCCAGCACTTTCCAAGGCCAAGGTGGAGGAATTGCTTAACTCAGGAGTTGGAGACCAGCCTGGGCAACATAGTGAGACTTTCTCTCTAAAAACAAATAAAAAAATTAGCCAGGTATGGTGGTGCACACCTGTAGTCCCAGCTACTTGGGAGGCTGAGGCGGGAGGACGGCTTGAGCCTAGGAGATTGCGACTGCAGTGAATCATGATTGTGCCACTGCACTCCAGCCTGGGAGACAGAGCAAGACCCTGTCTCAAAAAGAAAAAAAATGTAATGTTGACGCTCCTCCTTCAAGTGGTGGCATCTATGATCCCTCCCCTTGAATCTGAGCAACCTTGTAATTATCTTAATGAATAAAATGAGAAGGAAATGACACCACTTGACTTCTGAAGCTTGGTCAATGAAGGCCACATGGCCCTTGGGATACTCACCTTTGGAATAAAGCCACAGTGTTGTGAAAAAGCCCAGGCTGCAGCTGGCCAACAGTCCCAGCTGGGTCTCATCCCAGCTAGGATGAGCATTAACTGAGTTATGAGAGTGACAACTTTGTCATGATTCCAGCCCCTGGACAAGGTGAGTATTGTGGAACAGAAATAAGCCATCCCTGCTGTGCCCAGGTTCCTCACCCTTAAAATCTATAAGCAAAGCAGACACATGTTTTAAGTCAAAAACATATTGGGGTAATTTGTTACGCAGCCATAGTAACTGGACCACCACCATTCAGAGCTACAGTGGAAGCAGCCTTTATAAATTCCTATTTTTATTATTGTATCATAGAAAACAGGCAGTATAAATTCTTATATTCAGAATTGTTTTCTCCAGGCATTTTGAACATTCTTGACCATCTTTTTTATTACCTACCCCTCTTTTTCATATAGCAAGTGGTTTTGTTTCAGTCTACTAAAAAAAAAAAAAATCACAGACCTTGTTAACAAGAAAACCTGAGATCAATTTCACAGACAGGAAGGAGGTGCAGCGAAGCAAGGAACCTGGGCGGGAGGCTGAGAAAGCGAGCCTGAGCTCTGTGTGCAGGTGCAAAATGGCTCTGTCGCAGGTGATGGAATTTGGGGATCCTGGCAGATTCTGGGCTGCTGGATTTGAAACATGTGTCTGACGTACATTCTGTTGTTAAACACCCATAAGTTTAGACTCCAAATGTGGCACCATTTCCTCTAGGGCTGACAGCATCACTCACAGAGGCTGACGAACACTCAAGATGGTGGGCGTGGGAGACAGGGACGTTCGTGCCTGCCGGCCAGTCGGCAGCCTACCATAAATTGTGTCCCTGCCTGGCTTGCATATGCGGAGAGTGACGCAGTTAGTGAGATCTCTTTTTCTGTTTTACAGTCCTTCTGAAACTCATCCGGGTTGCCCTTTGTCTCCCTCTCCCCATATATCTGGAGTGATGGACTTTATGACCACTTCTTCAGGGGATACGGAATTATAGATCTCTGGATTTATGTCTGTTTGCCAGGCCCCCTCTGGTCCCTGCACCATAAGGTGAATGCCGGGTCAGCGAGAATGATGTTGCATTCTAATAGATCTGGACCAGTTTCTGACAACTTATTTTGACAAAAGCATAAAATTCAATGATTGTTGCTCAACTCAGAAGTTATAGGAAATATGGGGGGGGAAAAAAGGATGTTTAAATGTGAGCCTCCCTATCTTCAAACTGCTCTGTGAGTCTGGTAAATTGTGAAAAACACAGAAAGCTAAGCCAACAAATTTAATGACAATGGCAAGTCTAGAAGCAACATAATTTACCCCAGAGAATGTGATATGAACATACTTTTTCCTGAGACTGAGGCATCACCACCTGCCACATGAACACATAAGGGGGTCTGTTAGGGAAGCAGGGATATGGTAGCCAGCCTTTGGGTTGCCTGCCCCACAAAAGATCCTTGTCTACTGGAATTCACACCTTTGTGTGTATTAGTTCTCTTCCATGCTGAATTGGCCTGTGTGGCCACTAAGATATCACAGAAGGGATAGTGTGACTTTGATGGCTATGCCATAAAAGATAATATTTATTCTGCTTTGTTCTCTAGGATGGCTTGCTTTAGTGGGGAAGGGTGAGGGGTTCCCAGCTGCAATATCATGAGAACACTGAAGTGGCCCAGGGAGAGATCTATGTGGAGAAAAGCAGAGGCCTCCCACTCACTGCCAGCACAGACAAGGGAGTGACCAAGCTTTAAAAACTGATCTTTCCGCCCTAGCAAAGCCTTGTGATGACTGCAATCCCAGCTAGCAGCTTGGCTACTACTGCAAGAGTGACTCCAAGTGGAACCTGCCTAGCCAAGCTGCTTCTGAATTCCTGTTCCACAAAAGCTGGGAGTAATAATAAATGTTTATTGTTTTAAGTTACTAGATTTTGGGGCAACTGGTTTCGTAGCAATAGATAACTAATGAGAGCATATAAATTAGGATTAGGTTTGGCTGCGTGAGACAGACTGCCCTCATCTCCCCTTCCTGCAAAGAAAGAAGATAGATCTTTATTTCTCTCTCATTTAAGAAATCTAGAGTCACAATTTTTGGCTGGTATGGTTCTCCAAAGGTGTCAGAGACTCAAGCTATTTTTCTGTTATTTTTCTGCTATTCTCAGTATATGGCTCTCATTTAGTGGTCCAAAATGGCTGCTCAAACCCCAGCCATCACATCCTCATTCCATCCAACAGGAAGGAAGAAATAAGGAGGAACACAACACCTCCATTATGGACATTTCCCAGAAGTCACATTTGACACCTCTGTTTATATACCACTGGTCAGAACATGGGTATATGGCCATATATAGCTACCAGGAAGGCTGGCAAATAGAGTATTCTGAGCAGCCATATGTCCAACTAAGTCAGAAGTTTAAGGAAAAAGAGAAATAAACATTGGGGAAGCAGGATTTGCTGCAAGTTGCTAGCTTAGTTGAATCTGAATGATAATTAGGAGTTTGCCAAGAAGATAGGTGTTATTATAGTTTGTTATATTGTAAATGCACCTACTACATTACAGAAGATGGTATATTATAAATGGCTGCAAACTCTTTGCAATTTACTGCATTGAATGTTAGAGTCTGTTTCTCCTCCCCATGAGTCATAGGCTGGTCCTATGACTTGTGTTGGCTGACAGAATGTAATAGAAGTGACACTGTATTACTTCCAAGGCTGGCTTAAGAGATATGCAGCTTTTGCTTTCTACTTTTGAGACACATCTTTGTGGTACTATGTAGGAAGTCTGTCTTCCCTAATACTAATCCCACTGTGAGAAAGTCCAAGCTGGCCACGTGGACAGAGCAATATCATGTAGAGGAATAATGGGCGACCACACATGGGAGTAAAGTCTTCTTTGACCTCCCAGCCCAGCCAAGACACCAGCTGAATGTGACCTAGTGAGTGACCTCAGGGAATGCCACATGGAAAAGAAGAACCAGCCAGCTAAGCCCTGCCCAAATTCCTGACCCCCTAAATTATGAGCAAATATATTGGCTGTTGTAGTATGCCTCTAAGTTTTGGTGTAGTTGTTCACAGCAACAGATAGCCAAAACTAAAAAGGGAAAGCCATTCTAGGGAGAGGGAACAGCATTTTAAAAACTACAGTGGTGACAGGCAATGTGGCATATGCAAGGATTTCTACACAGTTTGATATGCTAGAAAGTAAAATTTGTGGAGAGTGGCAGGTAATAAGGCTGGAAGTAAGCAGGAGGCTGGACATGGAGGACCATCCTATGGAGGGTGGATTCAGGAGCCTTACCAACTAAGAGCTGTGTTGAAGGGGAGAGAGTTTGTTAATGGAAAGACTGACCATAGCAAGATTCAAGATCCAGTGCAAGTACTCCTGAGTCGTTTTTTCCCTCCTAACAGGTAGATCTGGGGCAACCTACACGGACAGCATTTATGGAGGGGGAAGGTTACTGTTACTTGTGTGAAATGATGGGTAGGTTTGTATTCTATATTGTGAGGAAGGACTTTGTGAGGGAGGGGGTTTATGGATGACGATATTGTATTTTCTACTCAACTTCTTTTAGATTAAAACAAATTCTCTCTCTAGCTGCTTCCTCCTTCTTGGTGGTGAGATCCTCAGAAACTAAGCAGCTGGCTTTATCTTGTTCCAGAAGGACCTGGGAATAGGAACTGAGGAGGAGGGTGGATGTCAATGAAAGGACAAACTAAACAACCTAATTTGACTTGTGTTCCCTAGGCTGGGTTCAGAGTCACATCCTCTACTGTATATGTCACATTTCACCTTCATTTTCATTGTGAGGAAATGGCCATATATTCAGGGATAATTTTGGATGTTTCCCTCACAACTCAGGCCAAATGTCTCCTCCGCCTTTTAGCCAGAATAGCTTGATTATTGCTGTATTATGAAACATTCAAAAAATGTTCCTGAAAGATACATTACACAATATCCATAATGATGTGTGTTTTATTTCCTTTCTTTTCTGTACCTCTTAGCAAAGTGTTGGGCTGCAGAAAAAAGAAATTTTAAAGTGGCTTAACTGGGACATTCTCAAGCTGCAAGAGAGGTCTAGAGGTAGACAGACCTGGGCTTACCATCATTAAGGATCCAGCCTTTTATTTCTGCTTCAGTAGTCTTAGTGTGCGGCTTTTATCTTCGGGACTCATTGCTGACTTTCCAGGCATCATATCAATGTTCCAAAGGAAAAACGGTGCATGCCAGACAGATCTTTCCCTTTTGAAAAGCATTCCTGGAAGTCCCAACCTGGCACTGCCAGTTATATCTCTCCAGGCAGAGCTGAGTCTCTGGGCTGTCTCTCTACAAAGGAATCTGGAAAGGTGATTGTTTTCTTCTTCTTCCAAGTTTCCATTTTTTTTTTCTTTTTGAGAAGAGTGTGGCTGTGTCACCCAGACTAGAGTGCAGTGGTGTGATCACGGCTCACTGCATCCTCGACCTCTTGGGCTCAAAAATGATCCTTCATCATGACATCAGGAGATCAAGACCATCCTGGCTAACACGGTGAAATCCCGTCTCTACTAAAAATACAAAAAAATTAGCCCGGCATGGTGGCGGACGCCTGTAGTCCCAGCTACTCAGGAGGCTGAGGCAGGAGAATGGCGTGAACCCAGGAGGCGGAGCTTGCAGTGAGCCGAGATCACGCTGCTGTACTCTACTGTACTCTAGCCTGGATGACAGAGTGAGACTCCATCTCAAAAAAAAAAAAAAGATCCTCCCCCGGCCAGCTTCCCAAATAGGTGGACTGCAGGTGCGTGCCACCATGCTTGGTTAATTTTTTAAAGTTTTGTTAGAGAAAGGGACTCTATGTTGCCCAGGATGGTCTCAAACTCTTGGGCTTAAGTCATACTCCCACCTTGGCCTCCGAAAGTGGTGGAATTAAAGGCATAAGCCACTACGTCCAGCCTTTTTCAGATTTCTATAATAAAGAAAGGCAATGGGAAAGGGGACTACTATTGTTTGAATGTTCCCTCCAAACTTCACATTGCCAATGTAATTTTAAGAGGGGGGCCTTTAAGAGGTGATTGGCCCATGAAGGTTCTGCTCTCATGAATGGGATTGAAGCCCTTGTAAAAGAAGTTTCATGGAGCATTTGGTCTCTTGCCCTTGTACCTCCTGCCATGTAAGGACATAGAGCTCCTCCCTGCTGGAGGACATGGTGTTCAAGGCACCACCTTAAAAGCAGAAACCAAACCCTCACCAGACTATAAACTTACTGGCACCTTAATCTTGGACTTCCCAACCTCCAGAACTGGCAGAAATAATTTCTGTTCCTTATAAATTAGCCATTCTCAGGTATTTTGCTATAGCAGCACAAATGAGCTAACCTAGGAACTGTGTATGGCTTTTGGGTGGTCCATCTACAGAGGCCTTCCCAGGACCCATCCTCTCTACACTTTCCCAGATACCTGAAGGCATTTTTTTTCAGGTCTGCCTTAGTAGTTGCAAAACCATTTGCTCTACAGTGGGATATAATTATAATATAGCTTACTTGAAAATACATAGCATAATATCTTGGGCCCATGGATAACATAGTAAAACTTCCCTATCACATGATTAGTGGGGCCCAAACTACCCAATTACAGAAAATGTGGGGTTATTCTGAGGTTAAAAAAAAAATACTGGGGGCAAGCCCAGGCTGAGGGGTGTGTGTGTGTGTGTTTGAGACAGAGTCTTGCTCTGTCGCCTAGGCTGGAGTGCAGTGGCATGATCTCGGCTCACTTCAACCTCCGCCTCCTGGGTTCAAGTGATTCTCCTGCCTCAGCCTCCCAAGTAGCTGGGATTACAGGCGCCCGCCACCAAGCACGGCTAATTTTTTGTATTTTTAGTAGAGACAGGGTTTCACCATGTTGGCCAGGCTGGTCTTGAACTCCTGACCTCAGGTAATCCACCCACCTCGGTCTCCCAAAGTGCTGGGATTACAGGCATGAGACACCACGCTCAGCCATATGTGTTTTTTAATTATAATTTTTTAAACAGCTTTATTAAGGTATAATTTAAATACCATAAAATTCACTAATGTACAATTCAATGATTCACAGAGCTGTGCAACCAGCACCACAATCCAGTTGTTGAAGACTTCCATCACCCGCCTTAAATGTCGCACGTCCATTTGTATAAATGGAGACAGATGAACAAAAGCCTACGCTGGGAGTTTTTAGGGTCCAGTCCAATCTCTTCTCAGTTTGGCTACAGTTTGGTGCCACCTGGTGGTGTCTGTCCTGGTTTCTGGGACCAGGCCAGGGTTTCTAGGAATCTCCCAGTTAGTAGGCAACCATTAAATCAACCTATTCTTGGGGAGACTAGACCAGCAAAATACCAGACTGAAAGGCACCCATCCTCTATCTTTTGGTTTGGTGAAGGGCCTGGCTGCTGTTTCTCTGCCTGGTGTTATTCTACCTGCCAAGGAGAGGAGCCAATCATACCCCAATTCACATATCCCAATTTGCATTACTGAGGGCACTGCAACACATACATACAAATATCTATAATTATTAAAGCAGTATATTAAGTGAGCTGAACTTGATAAGGCACAAACAGAAAACATTATCTGTTACCTTGAAATCATCTCTATGGGTTATTTCTTTCCCTGACCTAGATGAAGTCTCTGGCATCTTCCAGAGCTTTTCTGGTCACTCTGAGACAATGAAGAGTTGTCTGGTTACTTTCATCTAATTATACCCTCGTTTCTGTAAACTATCATGTCCAGGATCGTGATTGAAATTCACAACTTCAACCAACATCATGGCTTCCTCCTCTTCCTGCTTGGCCTATTCCACGCCAGAAGCCTGCAGTGGGATGGAGGATGGGGTCAGTCTCTTTTCTGTACTCGCCTCTCCCATTAGCTGTTGTTTCTGACTCCTGGGAAGGATAAAGTCTAGGGGATGGGGTGGCGGGTGGGTACACACCTTTATCTGGCTGGGTTTATGGTGATCTGATTCTGGTGCTTTCTGGCTTAGACATGCTCAAGGCTGATTGTTTCTCTTAGAGGGAACTTTTTGTGGTATCTTGGAGATTCTCCTTGCTGGCATCCTCCACATGCAACTCCCATGAGACAAGAGATATCTCTTCTCCAGTTTGGAAGGTAAGGATGCCACTGCGTTCTTTGGGGGGTCTGTGTGCTGAATCATTTAGCTCCTCCGGGAAGTCTCTTGGGCACATTCCCTTTGAAGAAAACTTCCAGTCCACTCTCCACAGATCTATTTATCCCTTGGGGAAAAAATGTCACACGATTCCCCCACAGTTAACTCCTGCAGCAGGCTTCTCTCTCCTTCTCTCTGTCTCTTTTTCTGCCCTGCCACCTCAGGTCCTCCTAGGGACGGCTTCTCAGAGCAGTCCTTACGCTTCCCAAACTCTCAGATCAAAAGTTCTCAGAGTATTTCCCTGAAATGCATTCTTTTCACAGAAATCTTTTCTCTTAATTTGCATCTTTAATTTTTTCATACTTTATCTCTTCCTTGAGACAGGGTCTTGCTCTGCCACCCAGGCTGGAGTACAGTGACACCATCATAGCTCACTGCAGCCTCCACCTCCTAGGCTCAAGAGATCCTCCCACCTCAGCCTCCCAAGTAGCTGAGACTACAGGTGTGCACCATGCCCAACTATTTTTTAATTTTTTTTGGAGATGGGGGTCTCATTATGTTGCCCAGGCTGGTCTTGAACTTCTGGGCTCAAGTGATCCCCTTGCCTCAGCCTCCCAAGGTGTTGGGATTATAGACATGAGCCATCATGCCCAGCCGATTTTTCACACTTTAAAGGTGGGCATTGGCAAAAGGCACAAAAATTAGATTTCAGATTTCCCTTTGGCAAGTCCTGCATAATATGGGTCTTGTATCTCTCCTTGGAATGTGGGGGTACTTGGTATCCATTCAAAACTGGTACACTGCATAACTCTCAGGGTCTTATTTAGACAAAATATAACAAGAATAGAGAATATAATGTGAATAGTGCCCCCTGGAAGTGTAAAGCTGCAGGGCTGAGTGTATTGTCCTGGGCCTTTGGAGCTTCAGGTGAATCCTGTTACATGTAATAGTAATAACAGAGCTAGTTATATTGTCACCATGTGCTATGCACTATTTTAGATGCTTTATGTATTTTATTTGATCCTCATAACTATCATATGAGAAAGGTACTATTGTTCATCCCTATTTCACAGGTAAGTAAACTGAAGCCCAAAGAAGCTTCATGACTTGTTCAAGGTCACACAGCAAGCAAGTGGCAGACCTAGAATCCAAACTCAGAATATGGTTCCCAACTCTGTACTTCTAACCCTATTCTATCTTTTTTATTTTTTATTTTTTTGAGACAGACTCTCCCTCTGTCGCCCAGGCTAGAGTGTAGTGGCACGATCTCAGCTCACTGCAGCTTTCGCCTCCCAGGTTCATGTGATTCTCATGCCTCAGCCTCCGGAGTAGCTGCAACCCTATTCTTTTTTCTTTTTTTTTTTTTTTGAGACGGAGTCTCGCTCGGTCACCCAGGCTGGAGTGCAGTGGCGCGATCTCGGCTCACTGCAACCTTCGCCTCCTGGGTTCAAGCGATTCTCCTGCCTCAGCCTCCCGAGTAGCTGGGACTACAGGCATGCACCACCACACCCGGCTTCTTCTGTGTGTGTGTGTGTGTGTGTGTGTGTGTGTATTTTTTGTAGAGAAGGGGTTTCACCGTGTTAGCTAGGATGGTCTCGACCTCCTGACTTCGTGATCCGCCTGCCTCGGCCTCCCAAAGTGCTGGGATTACAGGCGTGAGCCCCCGCGCCCGGCCGCTGCAACCCTATTCTATCTTGCCTGAGGGTTCCACTTTTCTCCATGACACTCTGGGGCAGGCTACAGATAGCACAGCACGCGCCCTCGCATTGCGCAGATGTGGCTCAGATCCCACGCTGCCATTCGGTAGATATGTGTCTTTAGATAAGTGACTTAACTTTCCCGAATTTTAGAGTCCTCATCTAAAGATTCTAATACCTTCCTGACAGAGTGAGTGTCTGGTTGGGAGGATTCCTCATTTACTTTCCCCATCTCTCTGCAAAGAGAAAGGAGTTAAAATTGCATGGAAGTCAAACCCGAAATTATAAAAGCGACATCAAACATGGGTGAAGGGAGGGAGACCTAAATCATTACTTAGTTTAAAAAAAAAATGTAACAAATACCTACTGGCTGCCAGGCACTCACTGGCATTGGTGCTCAGGGCAATGAATCCAGTCCATCTCTCCGGGTCATTCACACACCAAGGCCCTGCTCACCTTTGGAAAGCTGGGGGACTGAGTGGGGAGGGCACGGTGTGGTGTCAGCCTGAGCCCACTGGATGACCCTAATCACCAAACATCTGCTTCCTTCTCTGTAGCTGTGACCCTGATACCGCGTGGTGTGCTCCGAACACATGGTGCCCAGAACGAAGGCGGCGTCCAGAAGCCCTAGGTCCCAGAGGTCCGCTCAGCGGCAGGCGCATAAGGCGGGGCCGGCGCGGGCCTTTCCTTCCATCGGAACCGTTCTCCCGGGGCTGAGTCCCTGCCCGGACTCCGAACGCCGAAGACCAGGGGCCGGAAGCGCGCGCCGCCACTGCCACGCCGTGTCAGTCGGGAGGGAGGGAGCGAGCAGGCGAAGCCGCGGAGGACGGGGTGAAGATGGCGGCCTTCTCCGGTGCGTTTGTGGAAACTCTGGGGGTGGTGGGGCGGCTTGTTGCACGCCTCAGCCCTGGGGCCGCCCGCGGAGAGCTAAAGGGGCGGGAGCGGACAGGGGTCAGGGAGACAGAAGGGCGCTGTCCGCTGCAGTCCCTGATGGACCCGCGTTGCGGGATCAGGGGCGGCCGCGGCTCGGGTTCGGAGGACGATTCTTCCCAGGAGCGGGCCGGAACGTCCCTCCCCCTGCCCTTTCCCTTCTACCAGTCTCCACTTGGCTTTCCTGCCAGTGCACCTTCGGCTGCAAAATCTAGGCGGCGGCGTTGCTCTGGCGGCTCCCAGACGCCTGGGCCTCCTGCCTCTTAACGTGGCAGTGACCCTTTGGGAACCCTTTTCTGCCCGCGGCTCATCTGGGCTTGGCCAGGCAGAGAGGCGAGACGGCGTGGGGAGGAGTCATTGGGGAAAAATGACGATCCTGCCTCTGTCCAGTTTTTTCAGGCCCTTCCAAAACGTCCCAGGCATAAACCTGATCTTTATTTGTTCTTAAACGTTGTTATATCAACATTAATGTTCAGTGTTGAAGCTAAAGGGAAAGCATTTTCATTAACGTACGCACCAGTCCAACATAAGTTTGGAAAATTCATATTTATTTGCCGTCTGCTACCCTCCTTTATTCCAAATATGATTTGATATGGCTTATCGAACCCTACAGTTGATATTTTCGCCTCTTGCTTTATCATCCTCCTGTTAGGCATCCAGTTTTAGGAAGCTGTAATCAGCCTTAAATGCGCTAAACGTGATACATTTATGTAGCACTTATGTAACGTTTATTGCTATATAAATGTATCACGTTAGGCCTAATGTCCTTTAATGTTATTAACTTTTTAAGATGACTTCAGATGTAGTATTTTATATTTTTTAGTTTTCTTCTGTAAGAATATTAGGAATTCCATATCTCCAGTCATGTAAGATATTTTTTTTCTTTTTTGGGGGGGAGAATGGGGGGGTGGGGGGATGTAGTCTCCTTCTGTCGCCCCAGCTGGAGTGCAATGGTGTGATCTTGGCTCACTGCAGCCTCCACCTCCCAGGTTCAAGCAATTCTCCTGCCTCAGCCTCCTGAGTAGCTGGGATTACAGGCGCCTACCACCATGCCCTGCTCATTTTTGTATTATTAGTAGAGACGGGGGTTTCACCATGTTGGCCAGGCTGGTCTCGAACTCCTGACCTCAGGTGATCCGCTCACCTCGGCTTCCCAAAGTGCAACAGTCATGTAAGATTTCTGACTGTTTCAGTTACATCTTCTAATAGGATTCAATTGGAAACTGCTCAGAGTTGTTGCTGTTTTTCTTTTCCCAACATTCTCCTAAAACGATTTTAGAGCCAAGGTCTGTAGGATAGTTCTAGGTAGTCATTTTATAGGTTCACATCTTTGGGAGTCATACACAAATTTCATGAATGTTAGAGGTAAAGGACTGGAAAAAGTCTGTGATATGAAATAAGACAAAACTGGAATTTCACGAATGTTTCTAATTTTTCCTTAACTGTTAAAAGTATTATACTTAAGGTCCGCTTTCAAAGAAAACTTGCAGGGAACATGACCAGAATGGTACAAGAGATTGTCTGGAATTTACTGAAAATGATATGTTGTTTCTTGTATAACAATTTTGCAAAGAGCTTCAGCTTGCAGTATTCCGTATGCAGTAAGAACACACCACTCCTTTGTTTCAAGCAGTTTGCATTTTAGGAGAGAGAACATAGACTGTAATACAGGTTAATTCTTAGGAAGGTCTGCCTGGATATTCAACTTTAGATCTTCATTAGTTTATCTGTGGCTTTTTTTTTTCCTGAGATTAAGAGCTAGGAAAGTCGCCAGGTGCAGTGGCTTATGCCTGTAATCCCAGCACTTTGGGAGTCCAAGGTGGGCAGATCACGAGGTCAGGAGATTGAGACCATCCTGGCTAACACAGTGAAACCCCGTCTCTACTAAAAATATGAAAAAAAATTAGCGGGCGTGGTGGCATGCGCCTGTAGCCCCAGCTCCTCGGGAGGCTGAGGCAGGAGAATTGCTTGAATCTGGGAGACGGAGTTTGCAGTGAGTGGAGATCATGCCCCTACACTCCAGCCTGGGTGACAGAGTGAGACTGTCTCAAAAAAAAACAAAAGAAAAGAAAAAAAAGAAAAAGAGTTAGGAGAGCCTTCTTTGAAAATGATGATCCTTCTCATCTGATGCAAAGAAAAAGCTACATAATTTTATGAAGAATATTTTCAGTTTGTATGTTTGCTTTATGCCTTTTCACAATGGCAAGAAATACAGAATTTCAGAATTGGTTATTTCTGGGGCTTGGGAATGTTTGATTCTTGTTCTTTTTTTTATAGGAATATATATTTTTATGATAAAGCTATATTTTATAAATACAGACTTAAAATAAAAATCACTTGTCTTTTGGAAGGAAAGTTTAAGTAATCCAACTAACTACTCCATATATAATTACCCTCTACAGTTCATATGAGAAATGATAAAATGACAAAACCCGGTTAGGAGCAACTCATCTCTATTCATTTAGGATGGGCCTTGAAGTAGAATTATTGAGATATGTATACAGTTAAGAACTCAGCAGTTCTTCAGCTGACATTTCCAGGTGCCCACGTTTTCACCACTGACCCCTCCCTCTTCAGTTATTCAGAATTTTGATTATGGCTGCCAATAAATGTGGGTGCTCGCCACTTGTCTATTCATTTTTTTCCAATTGCTGAGGGTATTCACATGGTCCTAGAATAGCCAAGGCACATAACTGCCACATTGTCTCTAAATGCAACAACCCTGTCTATTCTTGGCAGACTTTTCACGAGTCATGAGAGGTAAACAGGCACTGTAGTGGCTACAGTTTATTAGGTGACAACCATGCTCCAGTTGCATTACATGATTATCTCTGGTCTTCATATAGCCCTGCAAGGTAGGCAATATCAGCCCCATTTTGTGTGGAGAAAACAGATTTATAGCTTTGCCTAAGGTCACTTGCTAATAAGTGAGAACTTAGATTTGAACTCAGGTCTTTCTCCAGAACTTGTGCTCTTTCAACAGTGCCACGCTCAGTAGATTTGATGTAACTGAGCTATCCTTCAAAATCTTTACCCTGTTTTATGAATAGTAATTTTGAGAGCAATGCAATTTATCATTTCAGTTTATGTGGTTTTTAAAATTAATTTTTACTTTCAGAGATGGGTGTAATGCCTGAGATTGCACAAGCTGTGGAAGAGATGGATTGGCTGTAAGTACATAAAGCCTAAATGTACCTGGGAGAGGATGTTTTATAATTTAAACAGTTGTTAGTGATTTTATCAAATATTTTTGTGTCTAGTTGGGTAAGTGAAAATCAGGTTTTTTTTGTGATTTTCTAAATTATGGAAAGTTTCCTTTTTTTAACCTTGACATATTTCTAGTGGAATAAGATGGATCGTATTTACCACGTAAAATTTTCTTTTAGGCAAATTAACGTGACTTAATTTGCTTAGGCGATTTTTTTCCCCAGTAACTAAAATTCTTCAAATATGATTCTTTTAGCCTCCCAACTGATATCCAGGCTGAATCTATCCCATTGATCTTAGGAGGAGGTGATGTACTTATGGTAAGTTTAAATTTGGTGAGGTGATTGGTAGCTGGGGACACACTCTAAGAATTGCATAGGCTTACAAATGCTACTTTACCTTTATTCACAAACATTTATGATACATATACTGTATTCAGACTATTAGGTAAAAGCTTCAAACAGGTAAGTATTTACTCCTGAGAAGCTTAAACCCACTAGGGCAATAAGACATGTATAAGAATGAATCTCGTATCAGAGAGAATGTGGCTTCTTCGTAAGAGATGCAGAGTAGTATAGAATTCAAGTGGGAATCCAGTTGTCCTTTTGCTTGAAGGATCATAGGGACTGCTTAAAGGAAGTAGATTTCTTTTTTTTTGTTTTTGTTTTTTGGAAAAGGCCAAGCTCTGTTGCCCAAGCTGGAGTGCAGTGGTGTGTTTATAGTTCACTGCAGCCTCAAACTCCTCGGTTCAAGCAATCTTCCTATTTCAGCCTCCCAATTAGGTGGGACTACAGGTACACACCACCACATCCAGCTAATTTATTGTATTTTTTTGTAGAGACAGGGTCTCACTATGCTGCCCAGTCTGGTCTCCAACTCCCAGCCTCAAGCGATCCTCCTGTCTTGGCCTCCCAAAGTGCTGGAGTTATAAGTGTGGGCCAGATTTTTCGCAAGGGAAGATAAAAGAGAAATGCTTTTTAGGTAGAGAGAATATCAGCAAAACAGCGAATAGTAGAATGTAGGATATGACCCTGGAATATTTCAGTTGGTTGGTAGCATAAAATATGTGTCTGAGGGGGGATAAACTTGAAATAAAATTGTAGAGAGATAATGGGTCAGATTATTTGGGCTCTTTCTCAAGTGTCTTGTTAAAGAATTTGAGTGTTAGTCTTCTATGAAGACTAATCTGAGTAGCAGATTGTAGTATAGCTCTGGGATTAGATGTTGTTCGGATACTTTTATAATAATCTAGATTAGAATGATGAGAGCTTCCGTTTGAATGGTAGCAATGGGAAAGGGAAGAGAAGATTCTTAAGGGTATGGGAAAGGTAACAAGATGGGCTGTAGTTGGAGTTGACAGAGGAACCCTGGATATCTGGAGGCACTGTGAAAATAAAGGTAGCCAGTCAAATGTTAAAGATTTCTACATACTATGGTGTTAGTTTGATTTCTTTAATAGACAACTTAATCTGTAAAATCAACTTTTTTCCCCTCATTCAGGCTGCAGAAACAGGAAGTGGCAAAACTGGTGTAAGTAATAAATTATATTTACTTTCTCTCTAAAAGTTGAATTTTAAAATAACTTTGAACAGTAGTTTTTACTTTGAAATATTTAATAAAATAGCAACCTCCAAAAGGTAAGGAATTAATTACTTGCTACTGAAAATGATATTTTTGTTGCCAGCTAATTATGAAGAGCTAAAAAAAGTATGACCTTAAGAACATAGTTTTAAATGGGCGTTAGAGAGTTACAATAGCTTTAGTGTTTATACTCACTTCTGAATTTTAATATGATGACTCTTAAAATAAAAAGGTTACATACAGAAGTTGATCTCCTACTGGCCTGGACTAGAGAAATAATTTGTCGGACTGGATGGTATTTTTCCTCTTTAGTGTAGGTTCATTCTACCAGTCTCCATTGTTCTATCTTTTTGTGATGTTAGCTGCGTCCTATTTCCTTCATTCAGTCCACTCTGTGTTGTCTGATGGGTATTTTTGGTTTGGGTAAATGAAATTGTAGTAGCAATCTGGAATATGTATGATTAGTTGATGTGTGTGCATAACTTTTGTCATTTATATTGGTTATTAAATTGTCGTTAATATGTGAATACTAATATAGATACCTTTTGTTTCTTTGATAGGCTTTTAGTATTCCAGTTATCCAGATAGTTTATGAAACTCTGAAAGACCAACAGGAAGGCAAAAAAGGAAAAACAACAATTAAAACTGGTGCTTCAGGTAATTTTTGTAAATTGATATTTCCTTTTATATAAATCATTGGTTCTCATCACTGACAGTTAGGAAAGTGAGATTTGGGTATGCATTTTTAAAATCTTGTCAGTATCTGGGGGGTGGTATTGGGATCTGGAACCCTGGAAACCAGGGATGCTAAATGTTGTTGAGAGCCTAAACACTGCAAGGTTGTCCCTCCTAAAATACTAATAGTGTTCCCTTTGAGAAAACACTAGCATTTTGGAGATTACATTTCAATATTATAGTGTTTTTCTTAACCTTATAACTTTCTATGCTTAATGCTAAAGGAAAATAGGTACATTTTACAAAAATATTAAGGAAGGATTTTACAAATAATTTATGGAGTAAAAACCCATGCTGGTGGGAAGTATTGCCTTACAGGGAACAGAGGCATTTTTTTTCCTCTAAGATAAGAAGGGAACCACCTAGGAAGTTAAAATATAAATTTTAAAGTTGTTTCTTATGTGCAGTCCTATCTACATGGAAATTGGTCTTTTTATTAGGTTTCTGATACTGTCTCTACCGTAATCAATCTTACCGCAGTTTCTTCATCTTTAAATTGTGTTGCTTCTGTTGAATGTTTTCTAAATTTCATTCTATCTTAATTAATCTTTTGTTTTGTTATATTTTAATAATATTTTTTCCACATTTTAAGTCACTCTTGTTTCATTATACAAAACAGGATTGTTACAAAACAGCAAGTTGAAGACCAGTGAACCTGTCATATTAACATATTCTTTTCAGTTGTTTGAAAGTAATGTTATACATAAAATGTATAATGTAGAATCTGTGAACTCATGTAAATTAGAGATAGATAATTGATGTAACTATTTACACTATTGGCCTATTCTAAAATAGTTTCAGAATTTGTAACAACTGTGCCGTCATTTATGAGAAATGGTGGTAAAAGAAAACACTCCTAAAGGAGAATAACCATAGTGATAATGGTTCTGAAAGTCACATCCTATGAGGAATAAAGAAAGTAGAAATTTAAACATGGAGAAGAAGTAAAAATGGAGATGGGATAATTGTTAAATTATTGAAGAGAACTAGAGAGAAAGTAATTATTCTAGAAAGTAGGACCAGGACCAATTAGAAATAGTTTAGATGAAGATTTCTGTTTAACTTAAAGTACTTCCTAATAGCTACATTGAGCCACAATGCAAGGGAAAACCTCAAAGTTATTTCTACAATGTTCAAAGTGTTTAAGCTGATGATGGATATCTTTTGACCAGAAATAATCTAGAAAGGATTTCTACCGTGAGTGGAAAGTTGGTCTAGAAAGCACGTAGAGCTCTCTTTATTACAATTCTTAGTTTATACGTATACATACATCTTAACAAACTATCAAGATGTGTCAGAAAAGGAAAATGCCAATCTTATAAAAAGGCGGATGAAAAAAATGTGTGACTTTTGAATGTGGTATTGAATTAAGATAAAGGACTTGCTTTTTTTTTGATAGTTACAAGATAATTAGACTCTGAAATGTTGATCAGTTATTTCCTTTATAATTGAAGTCAACTTGTTTGGTTACTTAAACTTCTTTTTAATAGTGACCTAGGAGTAAGGACAGAGATCAGTATCATCTGATAGAGAGCACACTGAAGCAAGCAAGTGAGGAGAAAAGGTTTTAGGTCCAGATAGACCAGTGATGATTATCTTCAACATGTCTGATTTTTCAGTTGCGTTTTTGCTTTTAATAAAAACAAGTTTTACTTGTGTATTCTAAATAATATATAAAACCATATTGAATCTAGAGGAATTAAGGTACATAAAATACTTGTTTTTTTTTTTAATAGAGCGTTTTATTTTATTTATTTATTTATTTATTTATTTTTGAGATGGAGTCTCGCTCTGTCGCCCAGGCTGGAGTGCAGTGGCTCGATCTCTGCTCACTGCAGTCTCCACCTCCTGGGCTCAAGCGATTCTCCTGCCTCAGCCTCCCGAGTAGCTGGGATTACAGTCACACGCCACCATGCCTGGCTAATTTTTGTATTTTTTTTTTTAGTAGAGATGAGGTTTCACCACGTTGGCCAGGCTGGTCTTGAACTCCTGACCTCAAGTGAACCACCCACGTCAGCTTCCCAAAGTGCTGAGATTACAGTCGTGAGTCACCGCACCCGGCCAAGCATTTTAAATTTTATATATCTGTGGGTAACTTTTCTTATTTTAATTTGTTTAGTGCTGAACAAATGGCAGATGAACCCATATGACAGAGGATCTGCTTTTGGTAAGTGGATAGACTTTCCATCAGCTCATTTGTAATTCAGAAACTTTAAAAAATAATACATGAGAACACCAAGTAAATAAGATTAAGATTTAATTTACCAGATATTAGAATTTAGTCACTATCATTAAACAGTATAGAACTGACATAGGAATAGACAGTGGAACATAATGGAAATAAATCTCAGCACATATGAGAAGTTATATGCAGGAAAAATAATTATATTTCATTTCAGTGAGACAAAAGGATGGTTTATTAAGTAAAGGGTGCTGACACGATCCATCTGGAGCAATATAAAATTGACTTCTATCTCATATCATAATTAGAAATAAATTCCATGTGTATTTAGGACTTAAATATATATGTATGAATTTGAATACAGAAAACTACATGTATAATTTAGCAGTGGCAAAACTTTCCTAACCCAAATAGAAAATGCAGAAATTATAAAAGAAAGTATTTATAGGTGGAGTTGGACAGTCCTCCTTCTTGGGGTTAACAGACCTTACAGTGGCTTTTATCCAATTCACCAGGCTGGCTGTTCACTTGGGAATAACCTCCATCATGCATAGAGCCATCTGTGATTGTTCCATAGTGAGCAGCGAGACCTGCATCAACTCAAATATGCCCTTCTATTCTGCTGCATTTAAAACTAAGGATACTTTCCTAAAGCAGTTACTCTCAGAATGCATTTTAGTAAAGACTCCTCAGGAAGCTTATGATACTGATCTACAAAATGTAACAGTTCCTTCACACTATACCCTCCAGTTTCAGAGTGTTTTGGTTTTGCTCTTCCCCACATTTACTGCCTTCTTGGAGACCACAGGTCTTAGAAGTACTTTTTGTTGGCCCTGCATAATTTTTCCCTTGGGGGTCAGCTTTGAAGCTGGTGACCAAAGCTCAGATGGACTGAAATCTGAATGTAGTCTCACATCAAGGGCTGACCCAGCACTCTTTTACTTCATTTTAGCTATTACAGATAATAGTAACCAAAGGACTGTATACTTTTTTTCTTATTTGCATTTTCTTTTTTTTTTTTTTTTTTTTTTTTTTGAGACAGAGTCTCGCTCTGTTGCCCAGGCTGGAGTGCAGTGGCGCGATCTCAGCTCACTGCAAGCTCCACCTCACGGGTTCTTATTTGTGTTTTCTTATGCATCCAGTGAACCAGCTCCCCAGGAGTTGGATCCAACTCTAAATTCCACTGATAATTTTTATCATTAGTAACTGTGTGTAGCACAGCTGTGGCTCTGTACCATAGGTGATCTTGTGGCCACCAAGAAACCTAAAGTTCCTCATCCCCTACCCTTTTATCCTTTTTCTTTCCAAACCACAGTTCTGTGAGCCAAGGCAGTTCTAGCAAACCCTGATTCTGACACCAATTCTGAGAATATAGAGAAATAAATAAACTCCATTTTCCCTGTATACTCTCTCAGCATGCTTCTGACAGCAGATGTGTGGGGTTTTTTCCCACAAGTCAAGCAAGCAGTCAGTTCTCAGCATTTACGAGTTGAGAACTGATGGAGTAAGTAACAGACACATGTTTGTTTATTCTTGGTTTCCCATACTTTCCCATTATGGTTTCTTCCAGCTGAGAACTGTAATTCAATTCAATTCTGACACCGTCTTCATGAAGATAGCATCATATCCCACAGGTTGAGGGTTCAATCACACAAGACTGTCCCCCACATCTGATGCCCAGGTTGTGGCTTATGCTTCTAACCTATTGGCTATAAATCAGGGTTCCTACAATTCCTTCCTCAGGTTCAATTAATTTGCTAGAGTGGCTCACAGAACTCGGGGAAATATGTTTACTGGTTTATTTTTAAAGCTATTATAAAGAATACTGATGAAGAGATGCATAAGCTGAAGTACAGGAAGGGGCTTGGAGCTTCTCCCCTCCCTGGGCATGACACCCTTCAGGAACCGTCATGTGTTCAGCTATCCTGGAAGCTCCTAGATAACTTTTTAAAAGTTCAGTTCTACATAATTCAGTACCCATATGGGTAAGAATTCATACTTTGAATAATTAAATTTCTGAAAAGTGTAGGAAGATGTGTGTTGAGGTGCTTAACAGTTTGTTCTACTTTCAAGTACAGAATACGAGTTGGAAAGATGAACCAGGACAGAAATTATAGTTTTTTTCCAGTACAGACAAAAAGCTGAATCTTTACTTAAAACCATTTAGTATGTGGACATCACTGAGACTGATCATGATGTATAGTATAGAATATACCTCATCTTTTAGAGCCCTTATAATATTAGCAAGTAACAAATACATGCTTATTTATTCATGCTTTCTCCTAGTTTCCCATATGGTTTCTTCCATGGATTGAGGAACAAGCTAGAGACAGTTCTGTTATCTTTTAGTTATATAGTCACTCAAGCTCTAATTTAAGTATAAAATCAGGACGAATATTGATGAGCGAGTTGTGCATCATCCTTGAGTACGTTTCTTTAAAGGGCTCCAGAGAATAGTTATCTAAACACATTTGTATTGATGGTGCAACTACTATTAGTGCAAGTCAGGTTAAGAGCTGTGTTGAATCCTTTCTAGACTTGTTGCTGTAAAATCTTACCTTAGTTAACAGATGGCAGCATAGAAAATAGCCCCCAACATAGCCAAGGACACCCAGGGAATGAAATGGTTAATTACACTTGGGAAATACTACTATCACTCAGGAATCAGTAAGTCTCAGTCTCTGGAACATTGCAACAAATGAAGGAATTATCTTGTTAGTGAGACTGAATGATTTTTTTTGGTGGTAGGGGGTGGGAATGTATGATTTATAAAACCTGTACTGACGTGTTTTTCTGTGTTTTCTTCTCAAATCCAGCAATTGGGTCAGATGGTCTTTGTTGTCAAAGCAGAGAAGTAAAGGAATGGCATGGGTGTAGAGCTACTAAAGGATTAATGAAAGGTATTTGAACAGCATCTGCACTTGTATAAACTTTTGAGGCAAGGTATTAATACGTGAGGGTTTTTTTGTTGTTGTTTGTTTGTTTTTGAGATGGAGTCTCGCACGTCGCCCGGGCTGGAGGGCCCGGGCTGGAGGGCAGTGGTGCCATCTCGGCTCACTGCAACCTCCACCTCCCGGGTTCAAGCAATTCTCCTACCGCAGCTTCCCGAGTAGCTGGGATTACAGGCGCCCACCACCATGCCTGGCTAATTTTTGTACTTTTAGTAGAGATGGGTTTCACCATGTTGGCCAGGCTGGTTTTGAACTCCTAACCTCAGGTGATCTGCTTGCCTTAGCCTCCTAAAGTGCTGCCTGCAGGCGTGAGCCACTATGCCTGGCCCATGAGTTTTTAAAAATAGCTTTAAGTCGAGGATCTGGGAAGGTGTTTGATGGTACAAATATACCTATAATTCTTCATTTGGTACATACCTGTGTAATTCAGAAACAATGGGAAGATGACTTCATGGTAAATGAATCGTGTGTGTGATTTATATAAATCTCAATGTATTTTACCCTTGTAGGGAAACACTACTATGAAGTATCCTGTCATGACCAAGGGTTATGCAGGGTCGGGTGGTCTACCATGCAGGCCTCTTTGGACCTAGGTAAGTGTTTCTAAAATAACTGAATTGATTGATTTACATTTGGGGGATAACATTTTATTATTTGGGGAAGCAAAATAATAAATTTAACCATAAAAAGGTTTTATTTTAAAGACATGGAAACAATATTTATCTGTACCCCACCCTGTTCCAAAAAGGATTTGAAGGAACTTACAAAAAGTACAGATATTATAGCAGTATGAAATGAGGGATAAGAATATGAATGGAGTCAGGGTAAAGTTAGTGTGTGTGAATCTGTACCACACAGTACCATATAGATGCTTCATGTTATTGTAAACTTGCATCTGAATTTCTTAGTGGACAAAGCAGAGAGGGATGCAGTATCACTGGTGTCCCTAGTCTCACACACGCTCTGTGGCCTAAGCACTGTTTAGTTTTTTGCAGGATTCAGAAACTTAGGGAATAGTTTTCCTGTGGGTTTATGAAATGGACATACTATGTGAATAAAATTACTTCTTTTAGAGGTCTTTTAATTTTATATTTTCTCTTACCAGAAAAGTAAAATATTTTTTAAATCTAGGTACTGACAAGTTTGGATTTGGCTTTGGTGGAACAGGAAAGAAATCCCATAACAAACAATTTGATAATTATGGAGAGGTAAGCGATTATGTTATGACTTCAACATAGCATAAGTAAGTTTTCTTGCATACTTAATCACTCATGACAGAATGAGGGTATACAAATGATTCTCAAAATGAGCAGATTTTCTGTATATTTTCCACAGAAAGTTTGGATTTGGACTTTAGTGAAGAAATATTGTCAAGCTAGATAAATATGTAGTAGTTATAATTTTTCTTTTATGCCATTTGTCATCCCCTCCAAAATACATTACGTTGTCTTCTCTTTTCACCTCATTTTGATTTTGGCTTTGATACATGTTATTCTCATTTCTTATTATTGATCATGATGAGTCTAAATATAGTTCGTCTGGTGAGCTGAAATCTACAGTAGTGTGAATGAGCCTAAATATGTTGATTCTAACAAGCCTGTCAAATGCTTGTACTATTGTATATGTCATATGCTCTAATAGGCATTTTTGATTTAAATAATTATTTTGAAACACATACTTTTGATGCAGCTATATTTTAACTTTATTTAAGAATTTACTTTCTATTAATAGCATTTGACTTTCTGGTGTTCTAGGAATTCACTATGCATGATACCATTGGATGTTACCTGGATATAGATAAGGGACATGTCAAGTTCTCCAAAAATGGTAAGCTCTATATGGATCTTAGTAGTGAAAAGATACATGATATTCAATAATTGTGGTTTTTAAAAATCCCCCCACCCTGTTTTTCAAATCCCCGTCCCTCCCTCCCTGCCTTTACTTGAACTAATATTTATTGAGCATTGACTATGTGTAAGGTACCCTGGTAAGTACTGGAGGCACAGAAGAAAATGGAATAGACATTTGGGGCTTACACACTAGTGGTGAAAGACAGACATATAATACCATGTTAGGTGGTAGTAAGTGCTGTGAAGGAGGGTATAAAGCAGGGGAAGGAAGTGGAGAGTCATAGCGGTTTGGGGGTTTGTGCTTTTGTGTAGGGCAGTCAAAAGGCTTGATAAGGGACATTTAGGTAGAGATCCAAATGAGTTGGGTGGTAGGCCATGCAGATTTCTGCAAAGGGAATAGTAAATGTGGATGCCCTGAGATGGAAGCGTGCTTGAGGTGTCTGAGTCACAGCGAGGAAGCCACTAGATCTGGAGTGCTCTGGGGATAAAGGACGGTGGTAGAATGTTAGATGAGTGAGGTGGTGAGGCCAGGCCATGGAGAGCCATATGGGCCATGATCTAAACTTTGGTTTTTATTTTGAGTGAAATGGAAAGCCATGAGGGTTTTGAGCAGAGGGGTGGCATCATCTGTCTTTAGTTTAACAGTACCATTCTGGCTGCTTTGTTGAAGACACATTGGAGGGTGGGGTGAGATTGCCTAGGGATTGAGGGTAGTTAAAGAGAAGAAGAGATCTGAGGCCTGGGTTCCTGTGGTTAGGGGTCAGCAAATTGAGGAGAATCCAGCAGAGGGGAATGAGGAGGAAGGCCAGGAGGAGAACCAAGAAAGCATGGGTCCTACAGTCCTGGTGAAGGAAGTGTTTGAAGGATCAGGGAGCAATCACTGTTCAGTGCTGCGGATGGGTCTAGTCTAGCAAGATGAAGAATGTGCATTAACTGCTGCATTTGACAAGTGGAAAGCATTAGAGAGCTGTTTTGGTGGAGCAAAGGGGTGAGGGTGGGGAGCCTCCTAATAAGGAGCCAGTTCAATAGAGAATGAGATGAAAGAAAGTGGATACAGTGTAAATGGAAATCGGAGTTTCACTACAAAAGGGAGGAGAAAAATGGAAGGTAAATGGAGGGAGAGGTGAGTTCAAGGGAGGTTTTCTTGTGTGTTTTACTGTGAGAGTATGTTTATATGCTTTGAAATGTCTAATGGAAATGAACTTGTAGACAGGGAGTAATGAAAAATGTAGAGGGGTAGAAGTGACAGTTTCAGGAGTAAAGTAAAAAAATGAAGAAGCTGGCCTTAGGCAGCACAGTTTATCCATAGTGACAGGAGAGAGGCATGAATGCAGGTAAGCTGGTAGATTTGACATTGTCAGCATGAGGAAGGTCTTTTCTGATTGTTTTAATCTCTCTCTCTCTCTTGTTTTTTAAGGAAAAGATCTTGGTCTGGCATTTGAAATACCACCACATATGAAAAACCAAGCCCTCTTTCCTGCCTGTGTTTTGAAGGTAATTAGGAATCTAGTTAGAAAAAATTTGCTGTGGTTGTAAGCTGCTTACTCTTCATTATTTTGTATACGATGGTTTTCAATTAGGGTAGGAATTTTAATTTTCTGTTTTATTCAATGCTAGAATGCTGAACTGAAATTTAACTTCGGTGAAGAGGAATTTAAGTTTCCACCAAAAGATGGCTTTGTTGCTCTTTCCAAGGCACCGGATGGTTACATTGTCAAATCACAGCACTCAGGTATTATACCTGCAAGGGTAAGGATTTCTAGAATAGTGAGAATAATTGATGAGAACTCCAGTAAGTAAGGCGTCTCATAGTGAGTTACATATACTTTCCTTGCTGGTTTAGTCACACATCTTTTTTTAACACAGCAGTAAAATTCATTTTTAAAACCTAATTCATAAACTCTTAAGTATTTGGTTTCAGTGTAGGCATTTTGGGATCGCAATCATAACGGTAATGATATCTAATATTTATAGAATGTGTGCTTATTCAGTGCCAGGGCACCACATTAAGTGCTTTACATGGTTTAGTCTTCACAACAACCCTATAAGGTAGTAGTTTTCCCATTTTACAGACAACCTAACGAATAGGGACTTTAAGTGATTTGCCCAAGGTCACAGAGCAAATAAGTGGTAGAACTGAATTCAAATCTAAGCAGTCTGACTTCCAAGTTTATACTCTTATCCATTGTATATCTAATATTTAAAGTATATTTCATAACTTGTTTGTCACAAAACAAGTGAGTCATTTTTGTAGACATATCAATCAATTAGAATTATTCCAAGTAGATTTTTATTGTTGTTTTAAGAGAGGGGATCTCACTGTGTCACCCAGGCTGCTGGAGTGCAGTGGCGCCATCATAGCTCACTGCAGCCTTGAATACCTGGACTCAAGTGATCGTCCCACCTTGGGCCGCCCAAAGTGCTAGGATTGCAGGTGTCAGTCACCCCACCAGCCCAAATAGTTTTAATTTAAAGTAGCCTTTGTTTTAGAAATCTAAGGTTTATTCTGTTTGACTGTCTTCTCTACTTTTTGACAATTATTATGTAAAATGTTGATATTAGAATATTTGTCCTAATGTTTTATAAGTAACAGTATTATAAAGTGTGCTTTGAATGTGTTCTCATCTTTTTTATTCCCTAAGGTAATGCACAGGTGACACAAACAAAGTTTCTCCCCAATGCTCCGAAAGCTCTCATTGTTGAACCTTCCCGGGAGTTAGCTGAACAAACTTTGAACAACATCAAGCAGTTTAAGAAATACATTGATAATCCTAAATTAAGGTAAATCTTCCTTTTGTGCTGAAATGCTTATTGTCTTTTGGTTTGAAGTTTTTTGGAAGAAGAATAAGGTAGAGAAAAATGAAGTAGAAATTCAGTGTGTATACATAATACACGTGTGTGAGTATGTAAATATACTTTAATAATTTCCATATACAACTCCTGTTTGTTTGCTAAATGGTAAGTATGATTTTTTTAAAATTGAGATTTTTTTTTTCCTGTGTCTCTTACATGAAAAGTCATGGTTAGTCAAACAGCATTGGAGTAAAAATCTAATTTTTGGTTTTTTTTCTGAGACCGGGATCTCAATCTGTCGCCCAGGCTGGAGTGTAGTGATATGATTGTAGCTCACTGCAACCTTGACCTCCTGGACTCAAGCAGTCCTCCCACTTGAGTAGTTGGGACTGCAGGCACATGCCACCTTAGTAGAGATAGGGTTTCACTATGTTGCTTAGGCTAGTCTCAAACTCCTGGGTGCAAATGATCCTCCTGCTTCAGCCTCCCAGAGTGCTGGAATTACAGGCATGAGCCACTGTGCCTGGCCCTAACAATTTTTTGAAGAGAGCATTTCATTCACTGTTAAATTTATTTCTTCCCTAAATCTCTATAGAAAATGTGCCACTCTATTTCTAGCATGTTAGTAAACTTGGCGAGGTTTATTCTAGACTGCATCACGGTGGTGGCTTTCTTCCATTTGGACATTCAGATTGGTCACTGTCTAGTTATAAGACTCTTTCCACCATTGGAAGGATACCATAAATTAAAGTGACCTTGCTCAGTAGCAATCCCTTTGACTTTGAAGAAGGCTATACCATATAAGTAATACACTCTGTTAGTCAATTTGACACTTGATTTTTGTTAATTTTGTCTTTAATTACTTTTTAAACTTGAAACATTCACACACCATAAAACTCATTATTTGAAAGTGCACAATTCAGCCAGGTGTGGTGACTCACGCCTGTATTCCCAGTACTTTGGGGGGCCGAGGTGGGCGGTCACCTGAGGTCAGGAGTTCAAGACCAGCCCAGCCAACACGGTGAAACCCCATCTCTACTAAAATACAAAAATTAGCTGGGCTTCGTGGCAGAGACCTGTAATCCCAGCTACTCGGGAGGCCAAGGCATGAGAATTGCTTGAACCCAGGAGGTGGAGGTTGCATTGAGGCCAAGATTGCGCCATTGCACTCCAGCCTGGGCAACAGAGTAAGACTCCGTCTCAAAAAAAAAAAAAAAAGCAAGTGTTTCTTGGTTCATTGGTTTTTAGTATATTCACAAGGTGTGTAACTGTCACCACTATCAAATTTCAGAAGCTTTGAATATTTTGACATCACAAAAGCCTGTGTTTTTTTTTAGGTTTTTTTTTTTTTTTTTTTTTTATGAAGTCTCGCTATGTTGCCCAGGCTGAAGTAAGTGGCTGTTCACAGGTTCAGTCTTCCTACACTGTAGCCTTGAACTCCTAGACTCAAGGAATTCTCTCTCTTGCCTCAGCCTCCCGAGTAGCTGAGAATACAGGCACATGCCACTGTTTCAGGCAGGCCTGTCTTTTTAATATTGATCTTATTTACAGGTTGAACAAACTTATTTAGGGATAAATTATGTAAAATAATTACTAATTTTGTTTTGAAGATTGATGCATGTTCCTTATTCAGCAAATGTTCATCTACCTTCCATATGTGAAGTTTTAGGCTGGGAGCCAGGGCTTCAACAATGAAAATTAATCTTCCTTTCACAGAATTAAGTGTGAAAGTGTGGGGATAGTGTGGAGGGGAGAGAAACAAAACAAATACAATAAATGCCTTGAGCATACCATGTAACCAGGGCATCTGCTTAGTGTAAGAAACTCAGGGACGTCTTTATAAAAGGATTTGGGAAGAATGTAAAATGCTAGTGTGAATTGATTTTTGTGCTGTGATTATGTATAAAAATGAACATGATTATAGACAAAAGTTAGAGGGGAAGATGAATAATAAAATCAATTTATTGGTTAAGATGGTAAAGTCATGGGCCACTTGTTTGGTATTCGGTACAAATGGACATTTTCTTTCTTAAAACCCAGCTGAAGTCATGATCTTTGAATGAAGCTAAGCTGGCTGTCCCAGCCCAGCCATCTGCCCCTCCTCTGATACACTGACTGTACATGCCTTTCCCTGATCCTTACATACTGTCATGTGTTACTTTTCCTTACTTTTTAATTTTCTTAATTTTTATTTCCTTTTTAGAGCTATACTTGCTTTAAGTTTCTTGCTTTGAATATGCAAAGCTTTTATCTAACTCAGTTTTACATTCCTTAGTGCAGGGGTGGTTCTTTTATATTCTTCAACCCTACAGTGCTTTGCGTATAAGCATCAATTATCATGTGTATGTGTGTTTACCTTCTGCCAAGTTTATAGGGATAAATATATCTGATTATAAATGTGGATAAAAGTAAAAGTATTGTTGGAAAAAAAAATGATAGTTTAGGACAATAGTCCAAACCTAGGAACTTGAGGACCTCATTTAAAAATATAAAATGTATTGGTTCCCTCCCCTGGATATACTGAATCAGAATTTCCAGAGAATAGGAATTAGAATCTTTTTTTATTTGTTTGTTTTTTAAGAAAAGCAGCTCCTCCAGGTGATTCTTTTTGGTTTTGGTTTTATTTTTGAGATGAGGTCTCACTCTGTCACCTAGGCTGGAGTACAGTGGTGCCTCATAGCTCACTGCAGTCTCAAACTCTAGGGCTCAAGCAATCCTCCCACCTAAGCCTCCAGAGTAGCTGGGACTGCAAGCAAGTGCCACAGTGCTTGGCTAATTTTATTTTTTGTGGAGACATGGTCTTGCTATGTTGTGCAGGCTGGTCTCGAACTCCTGGCCTCAAGCAATCCTTGTGTCTCCGCCTCCGAAAGTGCTGGATTATAGGTGTGAGCTACTGCATCTGGCCTTTACTCTCCTGATACTGTCCTTTGGAAGTCTTAATTTTGATGAAATCCAATTTATCTGTTTTTCTCTTTTGTCATGGTGTTTTGATGTTGTAGTTAAGATAGACTATGCCTAACCCAAGGTCATGAAAATTTTATTTGTGTTGTCTTCTGAGTTTTATGTTTAGGTTCTACATTTAGGTCTGTGATACATTTAGAGTTAATTTCTGTGTATGGCATGAGAAAGGGTTTTAACTTCAGTCTTTTGCATGTGCATATCCATGTGTCCCAGTGCCAGTTGGCCAGTCATTGAAATGAGAAACATTCAAACACAAAAGGGTACTGTGAAAAGTGAGTCTTCTTTCACTCCTTTCCCCAATTTCTAGTTATCCTTTCTGGAGGCAACGTTTTAAATTGATTTTTGTATATTCCTTCAGGGCATTTTATATACA
Organism: Homo sapiens; assembly: GCF_000001405.40. Taxonomy (NCBI): domain Eukaryota; kingdom Metazoa; phylum Chordata; class Mammalia; order Primates; family Hominidae; genus Homo; species Homo sapiens. Next base: position 15,610,660 of record NC_000002.12, read on the forward strand.
TACAAGTATATATGTCTGAAAACATAGATTGAAACCAGGTTTTAAAGAACCTTGAATTATCCTAATGTAGAAGAATATGTAGATGAGAATAATTTTTTCCATGTTACAAGCTCACGCATTCTCTTTCGTGACTTTACCGCACTTCAGCAATAGATACAGCTACGGGGATTTAACTGCTTTGTTTCCCACCTTCCCCAGACTTGTTTTTTTTTTTATTTTTTATTTTTTAATTTATTTATTTTTTATTGATCATTCTTGGGTGTTTCTCACAGAGGGGGATTTGGCAGGGTCACAGGACAATAGTGGAGGGAAGGTCAGCAGATAAACAAGTGAACAAAGGTCTCTGGTTTTCCTAGGCAGAGGACCCTGCGGCCTTCCGCAGTGTTTGTGTCCCTGGGTACTTGAGATTAGGGAGTGGTGATGACTCTTAACGAGCATGCTGCCTTCAAGCATCTGTTTAACAAAGCACATCTTGCACCGCCCTTAATCCATTTAACCCTGAGTGGACACAGCACATGTTTCAGAGAGCACAGGGTTGGGGGTAAGGTCACAGATCAACAGGATCCCAAGGCAGAAGAATTTTTCTTAGTACAGAACAAAATGAAAAGTCTCCCATGTCTACCTCCTACTACACAAACACGGCAACCATCCGATTTCCCACTCTTTTCCCCACCTCTCCCCACTTTCTACTCCACAAAACCGCCATTGTCATCATGGCCCGTTCTCAATGAGCTGCCGGGCACACCTCCCAGACGGGGTGGTGGCCGGGCAGAGGGGCTCCTCACCTCCCAGTAGGGACGGCCGGGCAGAGGCTCCCCCCACCTCCCGGACGGGGCGGCTGGCCGGGCAGGGGGCTGACCCCCCCACCTCCCTCCCGGACGGGGCGGCTGGCCGGGCGGGGGGCTGACCCCCCGACCTCCCTCCCGGACGGGGCGGCTGGCCGGGCAGAGGGGCTCCTCACTTCCCAGTAGGGGTGGCCGGGCAGAGGCACCCCCCACCTCCCGGACGGGGCGGCTGGCCGGGCGGGGGGCTGACCCCCCCACCTCCCTCCCGGACGGGGCGACTGGCCGGGCGGGGGGCTGACCCCCCCACCTCCCTCCCGGACGGGGTGGCTGGCCGGGCGGGGGGCTGACCCCCCCACCTCCCTCCCGGACGGGGCGGCTGGCCGGGCAGAGGGGCTCCTCACTTCCCAGTAGGGGCGGCTGGGCAGAGGCGCCCCTCACCTCCCGGACGGGGCGGCTGGCCGGGCGGGGAGCTGACCCCCCCACCTTCCTCCCGGACGAGGCGGCTGGCCGGGCGGGGGGCTGACCCCACCACCTCCCTCCCGGACAGGGCGGCTGGCCGGGCAGAGGGGCTCCTCACTTCCCAGTAGGGGCGGCTGGGTAGAGGCTCCCCTCTCCTCCCGGAGGGGGCGGCTGGCTGGCGGGGCCTGACCCCCCCACCTCCCTCCCGGACGGGGCGGCTGGCCGGGCGGGGGGCTGACCCCCCCCACCTCCCTCCTGGACGGGGCGGCTGGCCTGGCGGTGGGTGACCCCCACCTCCTTCCTGGACGGGGTGGCTGCCGGGCGGTGACGCTCCTCACTTCTCAGACGGGGCGGCCGGGCAGAGACGCTCCTCACCTCCCAGACGGGGTCGCGGCCGGGTAGAGGCGCTCCTCACATCCCAGACGGGGCGGCGGGGCAGAGGCGCCCCCCACATCTCAGACGATGGGCAGCTGGGCAGAGACGCTCCTCACTTCCTAGATGGGATGGCGGCCGGGAAGAGGCGCTCCTCACTTCCTAGATGGGATGGTGGCCGGGAAGAGGTGCTCCTCACTTCCTAGATGGGATGGCGGCCGGGCAGAGACGCTCCTCACTTTCCAGACTGGGCAGCCAGGCAGAGGGGCTCCTCACGTCCCAGATGATGGGCGGCCAGGCAGAGACGCTCCTCACTTCCCAGACGGGGTGGCGGCCGGGCAGAGGCTGCAATCTCGGCACTTTGGGAGGCCAAGGCAGGCGGCTGGGAGGTGGAGGTTGTAGCGAGCCGAGATCACGCCACTGCACTCCAGCCTGGGCAACATTGAGCACTGAGTGAGGGAGACTCCGTCTGCAATCCCGGCACCTCGGGAGGCCGAGGCTGGCGGATCACTCGCGGTTAGGAGCTGGAGACCAGCCCGGCCAACACAGCGAAACCCCGTCTCCACCAAAAAAATACGAAAACCAGTCAGGCGTGGTGGCGCGTGCCTGCAATCGCAGGCACTCGGCAAGCTGAGGCAGGAGAATCAGGCTGGGAGGTTGCAGTGAGCCGAGATGGCAGCAGTACAGTCCAGCTTCGGCTCGGTATCAGAGGGAGACCGTGGAAAGAGAGGGAGAGGGAGACCGTGGGGAGAGGGAGAGGGGGAGGGGGAGGGAGAGGGCAGCGTGTAACCTTTGTAACTTCCCCCAGACTTGTTTTATTGTAGGCTTTTTTCCTCAATTACTTTCTCAACCTTAATTTCCACCTAAAATAAATGGATGCAGATCAAACAATGTAAAGCAGACTTTAATTTTTTTTTTTTTATATTATCATCTTGATATTTATTTCAGGGAGCTTCTGATAATTGGAGGTGTTGCAGCCCGGGATCAGCTCTCTGTTTTGGAAAATGGAGTAAGTTGTAGTTTTAATTTTTAAAACATAATGTCATGGGCTGTCGTTTTAGCAATACAGCTCTGTTTTGTTTCAAGAAAATTTAAGTGAGGCTGAAATTAGAGCAAGGTCAGAGGAGTATGTTTGTTCAAAGACATCTTGCAAGTGCGCCTTTTCTTCTCCTGGAAGTATACAAAGTCTCTCCCAGACCTCTCAAGCAAAATTCCAGCATACATGATTTTTTGTTGTTTACCCTCTGAACATTTGAGAATTTCCTTCTGGCCTTCATGGGTAAAGAGTCATTCTTTTTGGGGAGATAAGTGAAAAAGAAGAAACTGGAGTTAAGAACAAAAGTAGAGGTAAAATAGATTGCAGAGAAGGATAGAAGTTCCTGCAGTGACTCTTGGGAAGGATGAATAATGATAAGACAGTGGGTAATAGTTCCAGTGAGGAGAGACATGAGTTCAATTATGTGTAAGGGGAAGTCGCAAAGGCTGTGCTCAGCCATGCCATTACGAAGGACAAAGCTAAGAGGATCTGATCTCCACTGTTGGAGAAGAAGTTTAGGAATTTTTTTTTTTTTTTTTTTTGAGAAGGAGTTTCACTCTTGTCGCCCAGGCTGGAGTGCCATGACATGTTCTCGGCTCATTGCAACCTCTGCCTCTTGGGTTCAAGCAGTTCTCCTGCCTCAGCCTCCTCAGTAGCTGGGATTACAGGCACCCGCCACCATGTTGGCTGATTTTTTTGTATTTTCACCATGTTGGCCAGGCTGGTCTTGAACTCCTGACCTCAGGTGATCCACCCGCCCTGGCCTCCCAAAGTGCTGGGATTACAGGAGTGAACTACTGCGCCTGGCCGAAGTTTAGGAAATTTTTAACTGTTTATCAGTTCTGTGAAGGTAGGACTTCATGAAATATTTTTCGTGTGTGAAATAACTTACAGCTTATAAATTTCTCTTTTATTTCCTTTCCTAAATATTTAATCATTAAAGCTAAACCATCCGATATTGAGTCATGACAAGCAATTGTGTCCTTTCTCCAATTCCATTGGTGCTCTTGTCAAACTAAATTTTGTGCCACACAGACTTTACATTTGACCTGGTATGCCATATTAAGAGCAAGGAATCATATTACCATACTTGTTAATACTATTCTAAGATGAGTAATATTGCTTTGATATGTTTTTATTTAGTGCTATGGTTTTAATGTCCCCACCAAAACTCATGTTGAAATTTAATTGCCCATATAATGGTATTGGAAGGCGGGGGCTTTTAACAGATGATTAGATCGCGAGGGCTTTGTCCTCATGAATGGGTTAATGCCTTTGCTGTAGGAGCGGGTTAGTTATTGCAGGAGTTTCGGCCCGTTTTCCTCTCTTTGTTGCTCCTTTCTGCCATGAGATGACCCTCACTAGTTGCTGCTGGCACTATGCTCTTGAACTTCCCCAAACCTCCAGAAATGTGACAAATATTCTTTTCTTTATAAATTATCTACTTTGTGATATTCTGTTAAAACAGCAGAAAATGAGCTGAAACATTTAGTGTGTTTTATTTTATTTTAGTGGTTGTAAGAGAGATTTAATAAGTTTATTCCCAATCTTGCTTCCTCAAACCCATTTTTCCCATAAGATAATATGTTTCTCAATTCCTATTTTCCTAAAGCTTATAGAGCTTTTAGGGAATTAAATCTGCTTTCATCAGGATGTCTCAAAATTTGGTACTAACTTGAAGCAATTGGAAAGGTAGTGTTATACCAGAGCATTCTTTGCAGAATTCAATTCTACTCTACTTCTTAGGGGATCTAATATGATCTTTATCTGTTCTTCTCTCTGTCTTACATTCTCTGCTTCTGTTATCTTCCACCACACTCTGGTTCAGCCTTAGCCCTGTGTTGGGTCTTATGCTGGGGCAGAAGTCAGCTTGGCAATGAGAGTAGAAGAATTTTAGTTTTCTAATCTTTTAGTCTTACGGTATTATGCAACATGTGCCACTGAGGTCATATAAATAAAGATGTCTCACAGGCTTTTCTGATCTAACTGACTTAAAAAAACAAAACAAAACCCTGAGAGGCCTTGTGTCTGTCTTCATGCCCACTTTACCTGCTGAAATTCGGAAGGAGGAAACTCACGTGGTTAGAATACTGTACTAAACTGATGTCATAGAACCAGATGGTATTTTGTTCACTGCTGTGTACAGCACCTGTCTCAGTGTTTGGCACATAGTAGATTCTTAATACATTGGACAGATTTTATCTTCACATTTTCAGACAATATTTTCTAGGTTGAACTTGCTGTAATTATCAGTGCAGATGAAACAATAGCTTCAGAAATGTCTGCTTTATTTTTCATGGGATAATAAGTGCCTCATATTGGATCAAGTTAAAAGTTCTGTTTATTCGAGGGGTGAGATATTGAAGTAATGGAACTAGAGGAATAACTTTGCTAATAGAAAACTATATTTTTAGTACAGGGTGGAGAAAACAGGTAAAAAAGAATGGAAGTGTTGTTTTTTAATGCCTGCCAATTAAGGAGTAGAGGTTTTGAATTGTCTGATTTACTGAATGATCTTATGTAATACCTTATTTGTGCTCACATAAATACATCATATACACACTTTATATATTTTTATTTATTTATTTATTTATTTTTGGAGATGGAGTCTCGTTCTGTTGCCCAGGCTGGAGTGCAGTGGTGTGATCTCAGCTCACTGCAACGTCTGCCTCCCAGGTTCAAGCAGTTCTCCTCCCTCAGCCTCCTGAGTAGCTGGGACTAGATGTGCACGCCGCCATGCCCGGCTAATTTTGTGTGTGTGTGTGTGTGTGTGTGTATTTTAGTAGAGACGGGGTTTCACCATTTTGCCCAGGCTGGTCTTGAACTCCTGAGCTCAGGCAATCTGCCTGCCTCGGCCTCCCAAAGTGCTAGGATTACAGGCGTGAGCCACCGCGCCGGCCCATATACACACTTTAAAAATACCTCATCTTTATTGACTGCTTTCTAGAAATGGGTCAGGCACTGTACTAAAAACATAACATGTTCTTACTCAGTACTTACAATAATCCTCTGAGATGGTACTCTTCCCCATTTTTACAGATTAAGAAGAGGGCTTATATCAAATATTAAGTAACTTACCTAAGATCATACAACTCATAGGTAGAACTTTACTCTGAAACCTGTGTGTCTAATCACCATACCTATGGACTTGACTACAAGATATGTGTGGGAGAATGCAAAATGTTAACTGTTTGTACTGGCACCGAGGCTCACTGTTCTCTTCTATGTATGTTTGAAAAGTTTTATTTAGTATTCTAAACTTCCGTTTTCTCATTGAATAGGGATGATTATAGTAGTATTTACCTTAGTGGTAACATGAAATAAAACATGTACTTGTAAAACATTTTGCAGAGTGCCTGTTCATTATAAGTACTTGACAAATAGTAACTATTACTGTTTTCCTGGACAGTCTGATCACCATTACTATTAACTATAACCAAATTTATTGAGCACCTGGGACACTCTGCGTCTAGTGCTTTACGCATCTTATCTCTTAATTATCACAACCATCTTGAAAAAGAGAAGGTATTCCCCCAATTCAAAAATGGGAAAATTGGTACTAGAGGAGATTAAATAAATTAAGGTCACAGAGCAGAGTAGTGGTGGAACTGGGACTTGAACTCTAGGTTCCGTTGAGTTCCAGTGAATTCATCAGATTTTTGCTTGGAAAATATAAATTTTATGCATTAGAATGTATATCAGTTAAGGATGTCAAAATCAATTTTGGTCAAAATCTTCACATTAATTTCAAACCAAGTATCAGTTGAACATATGGCATTATCTGTAACTCCTTTTTTTTTTTTATAAATTTAGAGTTGACTGACTACTTCAATATGCATGTTTTTATTAAAAAGACAGTTATTGGTTGCTATTTTAACGTAATTATACTGTTTCTTTAGTTTTCATTAAGTGGTTGGTTTGCTTTTTTTCAGGTAGATATAGTTGTAGGTACTCCGGGAAGACTAGATGACTTGGTGTCAACTGGAAAGCTGAACTTATCTCAAGTTAGATTCCTGGTCCTGGATGAAGCTGTATGTTGAAATATAATCATACTTTTTAAAAAGTTTACTTATATTTTTTGAGATAAAATATATAAAATGAAGAAGAAATATAATTCAGTCATGATCCTACTACCTAGAGATAATCATTGTTATCAGTTTGGTATATTTTCATATACTTTTTATTTATATATTATTTTATGTAGTTGAAATCAAGATATGAGGAATCTGGGAAAAATTTTAAAAATGTAATGTCATAAGTATTTCCTGTAATTGTACATAATTTATAAATGCTGTCTAGTGGTCTATTATATGGCTACTTCATGGTATATTTAATTACTCTTATTTCTAGGTATGTAGGCAGATTTGATTTTTGCTCCAAATAACCAGCTTTGTTTGTACATACATTTTCTACATACTATAAATTTGTTCCTTGTGTCAGAGATACAAAATGTAGACCATCTGGAAGGACATAAATGTGTTTGAGTCTCTTAGACATACTTCCAAATCATTTTCAGGTTGGGTTACCTAGTTCCTCAGCACTGAGGGTTTTTAATTTTTTATATGAAAAGTCTGTTGAAGGATATATGTTAGAAGCTGTTGACTGAAATTTTCATTCTAGATTATTAGATTATGGTTTTGGATTGCTTATTGTCACTTTTTCATATTTTAGTCACAAGAAACTTAAAATTGAATTTATAAATTATCTTTATCCAACAAAATAATTTTGAAAATATAGGACTATGTATATGCATGAATTAGTTTCCTTATATTTTGTTTGATTTAGAAAAAAGATTTTTGATACTGATTAAAACTTACGTTTTTTTCCATACTGATTAAAAACTTAATTTATTCTTTGTTTCTCATGCAGGATGGGCTTCTTTCTCAAGGTTATTCTGATTTTATAAATAGGATGCACAATCAGATTCCTCAGGTTACCTCTGATGGAAAAAGACTTCAGGTATAAAATTTATCAATGCATCTTAAAATGCATGTAAACAATTGTTATGTATAATGTTACGGGATCCCAGGGGGTGTTGCTTTTCTGGCTGGAAACCTCTGCGGCTAGTGATGCCCTTGCCCGGGTTTTGCTCAGTTCCACCCACTTGGCCTGGCAGGCTGTGCTCAGCTCTCACTACCAGCCTGGACCCCATGCCTCCCAAGGGTGAGCCAGGCGCGGAGTGGTGAGGCGTGTATGAGCGAACGTGGGGTCTGGCCATGGCACACAGCCAGGCACATTGGCTGCGGCAGGGCGGGTAGCTCCAGGCACTGGCATGGGCACCGGCTCTCTGTGAGGCTGGTGGCCAGGCCCCGAGGCTTCAGGTCTTCCCCAGTTGAAGGTGGGGCTTCACCGGGGACTAGCCCCCTTCCGCCCAGGAGCCTGTCTGCCTCCTGCTGCTGTTCATGGTGCCCAGACTGTTCATGCCAAGGGACACGTGCAGGCCAGCACTGGGCCGTCCTCAGCCTGCCTTGGCCCTCCTTCCGTGTTCGCTGGCGCCCAAAGGCTGGAAGGGGCCAAAGTGGCAGTGGGTTGGTGTATCAATGCTACCTCAAGTGTGCACACCCAGCTGGCCCAAGCTTGAGACAGTGCCCAACCTCGGCCTTAACTTTGTTCTGTGATCAGAGTGGGTGTTGACAGCAGGGAGAGGCCAGGCAGTGGAAGCAGACATCTCCGAACCTGTGGGGGCAAGGGAGGGCCTTTTAGGGCCCCCCGAGTGCAGAGATGTCTGGGTCCGCAGCCATAACTTGGGCAGCTGCAGCCATGCCTGGGATGGTGGAGCTCCTGCCTGCCCTGGCTCCCACCACCACCCTGGGCCCAGCTCCATCTCAGGGCTCCTCTCTCTCTGCCCCTCTGTGCCCAACCTCACTGCTCCCCCTCTGGCAGGCGACTCGGCCCAGCCCCATTGAGGTGGCTCCCAGGGCAGTGGGCTCCAGGGTCCTCCCAGGGGTGGACTCTAGAGACTGTCCGCCTCCTCTCTGTGCCCTCCCCGCAGCAGTGGCGGGCAAGAGCGGCAACACGGGGCCAGGGTCCAGAGTGGTGGAGACTCTGGGCCTGGGAGCGGGTCCTGCCCAGCTTCGCGAAGGTTGGGGTGGCCCAGTCAGCTGCCTTGGGGATGCGGGGCACAGGGAACCCACCACCACCACTGCAGCTCCTGCAGCCTCTCTTGCTGCCGCTGCTCATGTCTCCCCGCTGCAGCCAGCTTGATGGCAGCAGCTGCTCCTGACGGCCTGTTGCTGCCATCATTAATGCTTATGAGCAGGGTCAAAGGGTTTTTGTTTGGTCCCCTCTCATTAAATTTATTACTATGTAAAATGTTTGCTTTACGTTACTGGACGAAATAGTATACTCAAAGGTAACAGTCTTAAAAGCTGCTTTTAGAAATAGAAGGAAATTTGAGGAAATTACTTGGGTGTTGCAGAAAACTACAAGTAAAAATTCTTAGTTACTTTGTCCTGTAGACCGTTTAGGGTGTGTATTCCAGATTATTAGTACTGTTGCCTGTTCGAAGGAAAAATAACTTCAGCTATTGAAAAATTGTTGTCTTCTCTGTAGTTATATCCTTCTTTCTTAGGAAGCATTTAAGAAGGACAAGCTTTTGAGAGAAGGGGACAGACAGTAATACAGGATTTTTGGCTTACAAAAATGACTCATTTTACTTAGTTTTTGTAGGGACGTGAGGAAGAGATGGCATGATTTCTATGTGACAGTGAGGGAACTGAACCTCAGAGAGGTTAACCTGCCCAAAGTCATAACTCTAGTTGTCGCTACATAGAGTAAGGTGTTGAACTTATCTTTGGAGTCTAGGCTAGCACACTTTGTGTTTCATATCAGTGTTTGTGTGATTTATTAATTATTATTATAAAAGTTCATCTCAATTTGGGGTTTCCTCTTCTTAGGTGATTGTTTGCTCTGCCACTTTGCATTCTTTCGATGTAAAGAAACTGTCCGAGAAGATAATGCATTTTCCTACATGGGTTGACTTAAAAGGAGAAGACTCTGTTCCAGATACTGTACACCATGTTGTTGTCCCAGTAAATCCCAAAACTGACAGACTCTGGGAAAGGCTTGGAAAGAGCCACATTAGAGTAAGTGGTTTATAATATTAACATTTATGTAGAATAAAGCAATTTATAAACTAGGTCAGCCTTGGGCTCTTAGTGATGCTTAAGGCAATCAGTTATTGTATCAAAGAAAAGTCCAATACATCGTAAACCCTTAGACCTTTAAAAAGCACTGAATAAGTGATGGACTCCATCTTTTGTTTTTCTGTCTTCGTAATATTACTTTTGTGATCAGCTTCCTTGATACAGTCTTTATAAGTAAATAACATATATTTATCTAATTTCAGATACAATGATTTCCATTTTTAGTAGTATTTTAGTAGGAGCCCTCATCTGTGTCCTCTTGATGTACTTTGTTCTAAAAATCAATTTCATGTGGTCATCTTGTCACTTTCTTCACTGTGATTAGATTTGCCTTTATATAGTAAGGTTATATTTATTATAAATATACAATATTTTAGAAACCACATTTTCATTATTATTATTACCTTTAAAAGTGGTCTTAGACCTATAGTTAATGAAAGGTTTTTCTGAATCTGAAGAATGATTTTGCCTACAGATTATATTATGAAGACATATATCTGAAATACAGTCTAAAGACAAATATAAATCTCCCTTTTAAAACATGACATATATTCTGAATCATTATTTAACCACTCCTCTATCCTGTTTTTATTCCTTGCTTTTGATAGACTGATGATGTACATGCAAAAGATAACACAAGACCTGGTGCTAATAGTCCAGGTGAGTTAAAAGAGTCAAATGTGTTGAAAGATTTTGAAAATGAAATTTATACCTTACCTATTCTCATGAAGGATGTGAGGTGACCTGCAAAATTAAAACAGGAAATTTGGAAATAAAGGCAACAAAAATAATAAAAAAGAAATGGGGAAAAGCTGATACTAGTCAACTTAGAGGAATATGAATCATTGAATTTATTTTTAATTTTTTGAGACAGAGTCATGTTCTTGTCACCCAAGCTGGAGTGCAATGGCACAGTCTCAGCTCAAGGCAACCTCGGCCACCCGGGTTCAAGCAGTTCTCTTCTTGCCTCAGCCTCCCAAGTAGCTGGGATCGCCCGCCACCATGCCTGGCTAATTTTTTTATATTTTTAGTAGAGATGGGGTTTCACCATGTTGGCCAGGCTGGTCTTAAACTCCTGACCTCAGGTGATCCTCCCACCTCGACCTCCCAAAGTTCTGGGATTACAGGCATGAGCCACCATGCCTGGCCTTAATCATTGAATTTAGATGTTAGTCTCCTGGCATCTAAATCACTTTTTTTTTTTTTGTTTTTTTGAGACACGGTCTCACTCTGTCACCCAGACTAGAGTGCACTGGTGCGATTTTGGCTCACCACAACCTCTGCCTCCCAGGCTCAAGCAGTTCTCCTGCCTCAGCCTCCCGGGTAGCTGGGATTACAGGCACGTGCCACTACCACCTGGCTAATTTTTGTGTTTTCAGTAGAGATGAGGTTTCACCATGTGGGCCAGGCTGGTCTTGAACTCCTGACCTCAAATGATCCACCCGCCTTGGCTTCACAAAGTGCTGGGATTATAGGCGTGAGCCACTGCACCCAGCCACAAATATTTTTGATTATCTAATTCTCATCATAGGAAAACAGCGAATTTTTCTAGAGAGATTATTTTATATTGACCCTGAATTCCATAAGAAATATCATGTAAGTTTCTCATATCAGGAATATTGCATAAGAAAGAAAACTTTCTTTAGCTATAGCTTTGCAAAAGATACTGAAATTGTTTTGAAATAGTTGTTGACTTTTTTGTGTGTGGTAGAATATACATAACATAAAACTTAGCATTTTAACTATTAGTGTACAGTTCATTGGCATTAAGTACATTCATATTGTTGTACAATCATCACCACTGTCCATCTCCAGAACTTTTTCATCTTCTTAAACTGAAAATCTGTATCATTAAATATTTATCAATTTTTAAAAAGCCTAACATTAAATTCCGCCTCAATGAAGATTCTTCTTTGCAGAGCTGAGACTCTTTGTTTCAGGTTAAATAGTGTTTTGAAAATATAGGAAGGTACATCATGATACAAGGTTGGTGCTTAGAAAACCTAGAAGAATGGATCTTAAACCCATTAGGCTGCATGTCTGACATGAGATGTTTCAGGTGGATCATTCATTGGTGAGGGTCGGACTCTGCTTGCTTCATGGTTGAATTTCAACTATATCAAAATGGTGAATTATCTGAAATCTTGATTAAAGATTTGAACTCAGTTTTATATGTAGGTCTAAATTAACAAGACACATACTTAGTTATCCTTATTGTTGGAGAAGAGCAGAGACACTGTTTGAAAATCTGTCATCCCAAATGCATTTTATAAAATTCCAGTTTTTATTGCTTCTTATATTTTTCTTGCATAAGTTTTGCTTAGTTTAGACTAACAATTAGAGATGATCAGAGAGACCTTAGAAATATGTTGGGTCACAGAATTAAAGTCTTACATTCAGTGGTTGAGGAATAACAATTATAGCACAGCTTCACACTGAAAAATAGAGAGTTGGAGGATGGTGACTAAAAAATTACTAGAGTTTTGTGTTAAGGTTTTTACTGCGTAGAGTGAAGTATGAACTTTCTGGTATTTAGATTGATTTAGAAAGTACATTAATTATTTTTAAAAGGAGTTAAAATAATTGTATAAAGCATTTATTGAGCATTTAGGGAAGTTCATGCAAGGCAGAATATGATTTGTTCTTCATGAGAGATAACAGTTTTGCTGTATGTATTTCTGTTAATTTGTACGTGTGTATGTGTGTGTTCCCTCATAAGGGGTACGGTTATGGGTGTTTATATACCCCATAAAGTAGCATAAAAAATATTAACAGAAACAAAAATAAATGAATGAATGGTTTAACTCACTGTTTTACTCTATCTTTACTTCTTGTCCTTATCTATATATAATACTTTTATTAAAACAAGTATTCTTTTTTAGGAAAATTAAGCAGTCAGTCTGTGACTATAATTATGTGTATTCATGACAAGTTCAGATTGAAATTCTGTTGGTTTTTGTTGTTGTTATGATATTCAAGAGATGTGGTCTGAAGCTATTAAAATCCTGAAAGGGGAGTATGCTGTCCGGGCAATCAAGGAACATAAGATGGATCAAGCAATTATCTTCTGTAGAACCAAAATTGACTGTGATAACTTGGAGCAGTACTTTATACAACAAGGAGGAGGTAATTTTTTCTCACTTGAAATAAATTGTGTTTATATCCTCTTGTAATAGATTATTAATCTCATGTTGATGCAATCTAGAACACATGCACAGAATTTAAAGCAGTTGATGGCATATTTTAAGTATCTATGCTTATTCAGTACTTTTCCATATGATAAGCCCTAGGAAAAACAAGAGAGAATTTTCCACGTAGGTACATTTTCATTACAGTAAACTTGAATCACAGCATCCTAAGAGTTTTATATTATATGGAAGAAGGATAAAGTAATTTATTAGTCTTAAAATTTAAAATATGATCACTGAAATAATAGAATGTATGTCTTTTAAACCAGTAGATGGGGAAAGGGGAATGAGGAAAAAAAACCTAAACAAGAGCAAGAAAGGAAGGGGAATAAAATGAGAAAAATTATGGTTAGAAATTATAGAATAAGATCAATGTTGGAAAAATCTGAATGTATGAGTAAACACTGTAAGTATCAGTGGACACGGTCTTCTGTTATAAAGCATGGATTGTTGGACTGGATGAAATCTAGCAATACGCTGTTTACATGGAGCATACCCAAAATCTGAGGACATAGAAAGATGGAAAAGGAATGAAAAAATATTATGCATGTGTCAGCTAAAATATTAACCAAAAGAAAGCCAGTCTAGCTATATTAATAAGAGTTGCAGTAGACTTTAAGACAAATATTACTAGAAATAAAGAGTCACTATGTAATAAAATATCCAAGCTACAATGGAAGTATAAGGGTTCAGATTTTATGCTTCTTATAACTTCGAGAATGTAAACTGTATTAGTCTGTTCTTATGCTGCTATGAAGAACTGCCTGAGGCTGGGTAATTTATAAAGGAAAGAGGTTTAATTGACTCACAGTTCTTCAGAGCTGGGGAAGCAAACACGTCCTTCTTTACATGGCAGCAGGAAGGAGAAGTGCCAAGCAAAGTAGGAAAAGCCCCTTATAAAACCATCAGATCTCATGAGGACTCCGTCACTATCACGAGAACAGCATGAGGATAACCACCCACATGATTCTATTATCTCCTACCAGGTCCCTCCCACATGTGGGGATTATGGGAACTACAATTCAAGATGAGATTTGGATGGAGACCCAGCCAAATTATATCATAAACCAACATGGAAAAATTCTCAATCAGTTGTTATGGAAATGCAAAATAAAATGACAGTATAATACCGTTGTACATGCTAAACTAAAAATACAACACCGAATTTTGGCTGTGGAGCAACTGCATACAGTTGTTGAGAATAGATTGTTGGTGAGAATATAAAATGGTATGAGCACTTTAGCAAAGGGTCTTGCAGTCTTTTATAAAGCTAAAAATGCTGTCTTATGGCCTAGCAATTAAACTGCTAGATGTTTACCCAGGATAAATGAAAACACATATTGACAAAAAGATGCTAGAATGGCCATAGCAGCTTTATTTATAATATTCTAAAACTGAAAACACACTAAGTGTCCATCAGTAGGAGAATGGATAAATAAAGTGTGAAATACAGTGGAATACTACTCAGCAGTGAAAAGGAACAGACTTTTCCTTGCTGAGTAAACACAGCAATGATGGATGAATCTCAGAAACCTTATGCCAAATGAAAGAATTCTTACTCAAGAATATACACTGTATCAATCTATTTATATGACATTTTTAAAAAGTCAGAACTAATCTGTGATGGAAAAAATGTCAGAACAGTAGTAGTCCCCACAAGGGTGGCAGTAGGGATAGGCTGGGAAAGGATATGAGGGTATTTTTTGGTGTGATAATGATGTTCTGTATCCTAATGGGACTTTCTCAGCAAATCTACTTAAGATTTGTAGATTTCTTGAATACAACTTTTACCTCAAAAGAAAAAACTAAACAAATATTGAATTCTAGTTAATTATATGCATGCCGAACTCTGTACTGATGTCTGCAATTTACATTGAAATGTACAAAAATATGAAGATGAGTTGATGGATGGATACAGGTATAGGTAGATATGTGGTTAAAGCAAGTATAATAAAATGTTAATTGTTGAATCTAGGTGGTGGATATACAACTGTTCATCCTTAAAATTATTTCAGTGTTGCTACGTGTTTGAAAATATAAATATTGGAAAAATATAAAAAGTAAAAATTGGCAGATATAGAAGGTAACATACAAATCCCATTATTGTACTGAGGAAAGACTAACACATTTTGTTATAACTGATGTACGTCAAGGAAATAGAAAACTCAAGAAGGATATAGAATATTTGAACTAATGGTCATATAAAGAATACATTACACTGTTCATTACAGTGAGTGCTTAAGTAACACATTTTTTTTTTCAAGTCCTGGCAAACAGACTTGCTTGGTTGTTATAGTGACTGTTTTGTAGTACTTAATTTTCTTCCTGTCTATGTTTTGAATGGAGGAGTTGATTATGTAGTAAGGAGTACTGTTGATTAAGTAGTAATATCCCTTTAGTTACTTTGATGCTCCTTCCCTAAATATTCTGGATGTAGATGTTACTTCTGCCTAGAAAACAAGTTTATTACACCATTACTAACACTCAAACACAATATATACCAGATTACAGGGGTTTAAAAGAAGGGATCAAAGGATCCCTCTCCCCTCCACACATACCCTAACCAGAGAGTTATAGTGTGTATTTGATACTTCCCTAAACCACTTGAATGCAGGATGCAATAAAATCTCAGCTGTATACCTCTAGAAGTTCTGGTTAGCTGTTATTTCACCTCTGCATAATTAATTTTTGTGTTATTCATTTTGAATAGATATCTGTCAAAATGTATTGTTTCCTTGAATTTTCAAGTATACTTACTGAACTTAATTTACCTTGGAGAATAGTTAAGTGCCATAATTGTTATTTTGTTACATCCCAGTGGTTACTCTTTTTGTTACTGTGTCTACTTGAAGAGTTTTCTTTTGGGGGGTTGGCTACCACTGCACTTGCCTCTAAAATAACACCTCTCCATCTTTACAGTTTGCTGCTTTGAATCTTCTGTGGCCATGAAACTAGATAACTATGTTGCTTAAAATACCTTGAGAAGAGAGCAGGCTTATGGGCATGGCCTTTTAGGAAGCACATTAACTTGATGATGCTTAATTTTGGTTCCTCCAAGAATGATCTCTTTTGCCTACTTTTTGAGTCTTAGCTTTATGGAGGATAGTGAGGTTCCTGGTGTACACATAGGCATTTTAGTTGGTACACTGCTTGATCCACTCCTCCTACAGATTGGGAAGGGTGACTTAAAATGCCCTTAAAAGCAGGACAACTTTAATGCTCCGTAGAGTTCATTTTAATGGTACTTCGTTTGTGACATAAATTGTGTTAACCATGGTTTATAGCAAGTTGGGGCATAGATTTTTATGGAATTGTGTGGCACTATTGTAGTCTGAATTTTATTGGCTTTTTTACATAGTCTTAGGCAGAAGATTTTCCAAGGTTAAATGCTTAATGTGCTTTTCACTAGGACCTGATAAAAAAGGACACCAGTTCTCATGTGTTTGTCTTCATGGTGACAGAAAGCCTCATGAGAGAAAGCAAAACTTGGAAAGATTTAAGGTACTGATACATAGTTGATTGTTTCCTTAATACTTAAGAGGGGCATTATATCTAGTTTTAAGCAGTTTTAATTAATATTATTAAAGCAATTATTGTCCTAGAAATTTCAAAATGTTTCTACCCTAACTAATGTGTCATCATCATGACAGGAATTAGTCATTGTTGACACTCAAATGGTAAATTATACATTCTCTATCAGCATAACACTACTATAACAGGAATTTTCAATTTCAGAAATTTTAGTTAAATTATTTCAGGTAGATATTTTTAGGAGAAGTATCATTGGATAGTTAAGCCATGTCTATGTGCCTTAAAAACAGTCTCCAGCAATAGCCATAAGGAACTTAATTTGTAGATTAATTAAGACAGGTATCAGAATATGGCTATGTAGAATTAAAGGTATTTTGATACTGTTTGGGGCAGACCTTTCCAGTTATATGCTTGCAGCACATGAACGGGTCATATAGCTCTTGGTGTAAGTGGGTGGGTAAGTAAATGGCTTGAGCCATTTAGAACTAAAGATCGGTAACCTGTCTACCTGCAAGCAGTCTCATTAATTTAATAGGCCCCAGTGTATAGCATAAGTATCATTTTCTAAGAAAAAAGATGGGAAGTATTGGGTTGAAGAACTTTGGCTTACGTTTCCATGCTGGGCATAATTGATGCAGATGTGAAAACACATCGCATGGCCTCGTTTGAATGTGTGCTACCCTTCTCAACCGTAGGCATTTTTCTGGACCATAAGTCAGTATACCCTTCTTCCCTCCCCCAGATCTCTAATTTTGCTGTGCCTTGAGGCACAAATGACATTGAAAGGCTAATTTGTATTTCTTGGTGAGCACCAGGGGCCTACCCTCATTTTCCTCCCCTTGAGAATTTTGTCTGTTACAAAAAATGTAGCCTCCAGGTAAAATATCTAGTATTCTGAGTTTATTTGAATTTAAGAGTAAAGATAATGCTTATGTCTGTACATTGTATTCTGTTTTGTCTTTCTCTTCAATTTCTAAAGATATTTATAAAGATTAAGCCAAGTTTTAGCAATAGTTTAATATCTTTGAGTAGAAAAAGAAAAGCAAAAATGAACCCAATCTCTGATTTAATCACCTTAAATGTCATGTTTCAGCAGATCATGACATAAAACTTCAAGACTTGGTCCAGTAAATTAGGAGTATGTCGACCTCTAATCTGATAGTAACACTTGAGTTTTTAGAGGTCTCATTTAGTGGAAGGATAGCATTTGTTTTTATTGTTTAGTATATGTGCTAACAAACTCCTTTCTCTCTTCACTGTTCTCTTTAGAAAGGAGATGTAAGATTCTTGATTTGCACAGATGTAGCTGCTAGAGGAATTGATATCCACGGTGTTCCTTATGGTAAAAAGCAACTTTTTATGCCTGTAGTGTGATTGTTACGGAATCTAAAGTAAAGCCTTCTAATATGTTTGAAAAATTTAGAAACTACTGGCAATTGTTAATAATGGTTTTTATTTATAGTTATAAATGTCACTCTGCCCGATGAAAAGCAAAACTACGTACATCGAATTGGCAGAGTAGGAAGAGCTGAAAGGTACTTCTGCAATTTTTTTTCCCCCATTTTTAAGCTTGTATGCTTTAGGAATAAAGTCTAATAGAAGGCTTTTAACCATCTTTCAGGATGGGTCTGGCAATTTCCCTGGTGGCAACAGAAAAAGAAAAGGTAATCTTTGTAGGGCTCTATTATATTCATTGTGTGTGTTGTGATTTTAGATGTTGGAAATAAAAGCAGTTTGATTTTCCCATTTAAATTTAATTCAGCTGCGTATGGAATACAAATGAACTTTTTAATGTCATCTTTTTTCCTATATTCATTGAATGGACAAATAATAGGGTGAAATTTAGAAAGGAAAAATGCAAAATATAATTTTTCCAACTAGCTTTATTGTACTCATTTCCACCAAAAAATATTTAAACATTTTCTGGCATGGTGCCATGGAAGACCTTTCATGGTGAGGGGAGATTTATTTTGATATAATTACAAATTTATAGAAAAGTTGTATTCATAAAGAGCTCCCATATACTCATTGCCAAATTCAGTAGTTGTACATTTTGCATTATTTGCTTTATTATTCTCTTATACAAAAGATTTGAACTTATTTTTCTTTTGAACTTTTTTATGTTAATATTGACATAGTATGCTTCAATATTTACTTTTTCATCCTACTTTTATCTGAGAATTCCTTTTGATATCTGACACCCATTTTAGGAAAACTTTTGGATTATTCTCAAAAAGAACTTTTTCAGAAGACCTATTTATTCAATGAGCTACTGAATAGTAGTGGTAATTGGATGATATATCATACCTATAATCTATTTTTCTAGTGCCTTGAGGACAGAAAACAATTAAAAACAAATTTAGAATAAGATATTTAGCATGTCTCTATCTCCATGCATGTTAATATTTTTTCCTTTTTAAATTTAGGTTTGGTACCATGTATGTAGCAGCCGTGGAAAAGGGTGTTATAACACAAGACTCAAGGAAGATGGAGGCTGTACCATATGGTACAACGAGATGCAGGTAAGACTTCGAGTTAGGCTCACAAATAATGTATTAAAATGGTAGAATAGAAAGCATTTATCTTCAAAAATTATATCTTGGCTTTTATCTGTTTGTCACTTATAAGGGAAAGTCGTAGTTGGTTATAATGTTATCTGCACTTTGCTAATTGTAAGTTGTGAATTTCTCTCTTCAGAAATCTGACTTCCATTTATACCAAGCATTCTGGCCTTTCCAGCTTTATTTAATGATGATAAAATGCAACTCTTTCTAAATGAAATTTTTATTTGGAAATTTTCTCTCCATTACTTAGTTACTATCTGAGATAGAAGAACACCTGAACTGTACCATTTCTCAGGTTGAGCCGGATATAAAGGTACCAGTGGATGAATTTGATGGGAAAGTTACCTACGGTCAGAAAAGGGCTGCTGGTGGTAAGCTTTGAATTATTTTAAATACAATTTTAAATGTAAATATACCTGTTTTGAACTTCGGTTTGGGAAGGCAGTACTTTCATTTCATTAGGTTAAGAGTATATTTTTAGCGTGTTAATCATTCCCTCCTTATTACCCTCATAGTACTTTGTCCATACCTGCCTTGTAGCATTTTTAAATTGTGTCATCTTTATGTGAATGAAAGACTTCAGCTTAGCTCTTTCTCTTGAAGTGTTAATGTCATAAGAGTAGTTGAACATTTTGTGGAATTAGTAGGAAACAAGAGCATAATAGGTGATTTTGAACAAGGAATCAGAAGCCTTTGACTTAACTCAGGTGGTAATTCAGCATATTATTTCCTCTGCCTGGGATGCCCTTTTGTTAGCTTGTTCCTGAAAAATTGTAAGACTCAGGCCTAACTAGTTGTTTCCGAGCCAAGGGTGGGTAGAGGTGTTGGGACAGCTGTTAGTGAGGCCTAATTATTTATTTATATTGAAATAATTGATTTAACATTTTTTAAAGTCAAAGTTCTGGAGATAACTTGCCCAGTAGTACATTTTATTGCTGCAAGCAAAGTTTAAAGTGATATAATTGAGCCAAAGTATTGCTGACAAGTTATTTCAAGCATGTCATTTACATTACTTTGTTATTTGTGTGTGATGCAGGTGGAAGCTATAAAGGCCATGTGGATATTTTGGCACCTACTGTTCAAGAGTTGGCTGCCCTTGAAAAGGAGGCGCAGACATCTTTCCTGCATCTTGGCTACCTTCCTAACCAGCTGTTCAGAACCTTCTGATTTTTACATTTACTGAATAAGATTTGAGTAATGAAAGTCTGTAGTCTTAAAACTCTAAAACAGTTGTACTGCTTCCAAGCAGCAGTATTTATAGTAACGTAAGCTATTAATGCTAACTCTTGCATGTCAAGAAACATTAGTCTTAGGAATTCTTCAAAAAATGGCATCCCAATGAAAATAAATTTGATGACTATATTTTCATGAAGGTTTGTGTCTTATTTTAAAGTTATATTGATATATTTTTTCTATTTCTTTTTTAAGAACAGTATGGGCTTATGAAGTAGAATTTATGGGTATGTGAATCTGGCAGAGGACTTACGTGGAACCACTCGGGAATATTCTAAAAGTAGGTTTTCAGATGGCTAAGGTTGTCTATGTGTATATTGAAGCTAGAGGAGAGTTGGAACATGAAGGGAAATTCGATGATCCCAATGTAGAAGAACTGCTTGGTTAGTTTGGAAGCATGGAAGTTTTGAGGGAGTCAGTAAAGGTTCTGTATCTAAGGACTGATGACTGATGTGATGGTGCCAGTGAAGATGTATCTTCTTTTTATGAACCTTGCTTTCCAGATGATGCATACCCATCAAAGTAGAACTAATCTGCTGTCCCTACAGGTCTTAAAATCAAACTTAAACTCAGGGTTTTTTTTGTTGGTTATTTTTTTGTTTGTTTGTTTGTTTGTTTGTTTTTGTTTTTGAGACAGGGTCTTGCTTTGTCACCCAGCCTGGAGTCCAGTGGCGTGAACACAGCTCACTGCAACCTCAACCTCCTAGGCTCAAGCAATCCTCTCGCGTCAGTCCTCTCACCTCAGCCCCCCAGGTACCTGGGACTACAGGCTCACGCCACCATGCCTGGCTAATTTTTTTGTATTTCTTTTTTAGAGACAGGGTTTCACCATGTTGCCCAGGGTGGTCTCCAACTCCTGAGCTCAAGTGATCTACTCACCTTGGCCTCTGAAAGTGCGGGGATTATAGGCGTCAGCCACCATGCCTGGCCCTGGAATATATTTTCTTAAACACTGGCTCTTGCCTAAAATATCAGAAGGAAAGGGAAAATGTAAATACATATAATTGAATTGTTGCTTTGTGCCTTTTGACTCTTAGTCTATAAGGTAGTTTTTTGGGGGAAATTATTCTTGTCCAAGAGTTTCCTTAAGAGCACAGGGTGTTATAATTTCTTATATGATGGTTTTCAAACCTTTTAGCAATGAAAAACCTTGAGTGAAACAATATATAAACAGATAAAAGCTGTAGTGAGAAAATCATTGTCTTGTATATTTGAGTTTAGGGTTTGTGTGAAATGATTATGAGGATACCATTCTTTCACTTATCTCTAGACCACTTGCTTTGGAGATGTCCTGGAACTACTATAACCAATCTCAAAGCTATGTGATGACAGCTCTGTGCAGTCTTCACGCACATTAATCACTCGTTTAGAAACGAACTTTTAATTGATGTGACAGCAAAGACAAGACTGAATTTCAGACATGTAAATATTAGAATGGAGGGGATCTTTCTAATCACCTTGTTCATGCCCTTGTTTTATGAGAGAGAAAGCTGAGTTTAGAGGAATGCACATTCACATGGCCTGGTGGTTAGAACTGGAAATAGAACTCGGGTTTCTTCAGTTTCAGCTTTTACTCTTTGGGCTGGCTACCTTTGGAGGATGACTCTCAGGTCCAAATTGCAAGGCCAGAGAGGAATCCTGGATAGAGCTCAGCAATGGTGGAGATGTTTTTTTCCTCTTTAATTACTTACTGACCAACTGGAATTACCCAGGGAACAAGAGTTTTCAAAGGAAGAAGCCACATGTAACCAGACTAGCCGAGGAGTTGTTTGGAGACCTGACTTGCTCTTTTTTCCTGCTCATATCACCATTAATTCTTTCCTTTATTCTCAGTCTTGCTTCCAGATGCTGATTCCTTCAGGCCATCGTATTAATGCCAAGAATGCAAGTAACTGTTAAAAGTCGGGTTAAGATGTGGTCACTGGGCCTGAGGGATGCTAATTGCCTGCCTCCTTCGGGATTGCCTTTCCCAGGTTCTGGTCAACGGGGTACGAGTCAAAGTGATGTGTACAACTTCCGGGCCTTGTCCTGCCCACCCTGTCCCTCTTCTCTCAGGCTAGAACTTGGATGTGGTATTAGTGAGCCTATTGCCACCATTAGAAAAGTGTAATACTTGGGGAGTGGCAGAACAAGGCAGAGGAACCTGGTGGCCTTGGGAAAGAGAGCTGCCCACCCTCTCCGAACTGCCTGTTATAATAACTTGATGTTATCTGAGCTGCTCATGTTTAGGGCTCTTTGTTACAGAACTTTAGCCTCTACCCCAACTAATATATAAAACACTAGAGGCCCTTCAAAGTCCAGAAAATGCTAAATATTAACCTTCATATGATAGTATTTGTGATTCAAAGCTTCCACTTGTCCATTCTTTAGTGCAGGAATTTTTAAATGTACTCACAGATCTGGTGTCTGTAGTTATATGTCAGTCTTAGAACCTCTGTAAACAGAAATGTCAAGACTTGCCCCAACTTTAACACATGATAGACATGGCCTGAGATCTTAGGAGCCTCGGTGCATTCCTTCTTACTCACAATCTAGTCTTTGACTGTTCATTCTCGTCAAAGCTACCTTCAAGCTTTGATTGCTAGAACTTGACTTTCATAGTGACTGAAGTGGTTTAGGGGAAAGGCTGTTTCATATCTTAATAAACTTAAGTGTTCTGCTCTAACTCAGGTTTATGTCTTTACTGTATTGCTAATTTGAGTCCCTTACTAGGACAGGCTCATTTAAGTGCAACAAGTTATATTTCATTTAAGAGAGCATAGAAAACCAAATAAAGGGACCAAATGCTATTGCCTTAGGATATTTGCCTTAAGAGAATTGATTCTAAAGGGTTCTAACTAGTGGTCTTTGTTATGAGATTGCTAAAACATTTCTGCACCTCCTTTTTTTATTTTATTTTATTTTTTTGGTTGTTGTTTTGTTTTTTGAGACAGGGTCTCACTCTGTTGCCCAGACTGGAATGCAGTGGCATAATCTCGGCTCACCCCAATTCCTGCCTCCTGGCCTCAAGCTGTCCTCCCACTTCAGCCTCCTGAGTAGCTGTGACTACAGGCATGCACCACCACGTGTGGCTAATTTATACCTCATTCTTAGCATATCTTTTCCTGTTAGTTACATGGAAATTTCAGACTAGAGTAATCCCCACTCCTCCTTACTTTTTATTTATAGTCCCACTTCCAGAGAAAGTCATCGCTAACATTTTGGTTCATTTCTTTTTTCTGTAAATGTTTTGGTCTATATACGATTCTGTATTTTTATTTAACATAAGCATTTTTCTTATAAATACTATAGTGGCTACATAATACATTGAATGTACTATTGTTTGTGTAACCATTGCACTCTTACTGCTCAGGTGCATTGAGGGGAGTTGGAAAGGATGTGAACTTTATAATATTAGTCTTGGATTTGAATCTGGCTCTAACTCACACTATAAATATGACAGAAGGCAAGGTCCGTTAAGCTTTGATTTCTTTATGAAAATGGTGAAAATTCACATTATTCAGGATCATGTTAAGCATTCAGCAAAATGTCTAGTAGATGAGGAGGCATGTGTACTGTATTTATAGTAGTTACATTTTTTGTGTTACACAGAATGCTGCAGTGAACATCTTCTGTCTTTTGAATTATTTTAAACTAGATTCCTAGAAATTGAGTTATTGAATTAAAGAGCCTGAATGTTATGAACATTTTTCAGAGTCATCAGATTGCTTTCTGAAAGAGTTGAGCTGGTTGACGTTAACACTAACAATATAGGAAGAAGTCTGTACAATTTATTTTACAAACTGAAGTATAGTTTGTTGCGCTCAAAGTATGCTTTCCTGATGTCTCTTCATATGGTGTGTGAATTAGTGCTGGTGAGTAGAGGTAGTCTCACATCTTACATGCAACTTCTTGCCTCCCATGGGCTCCCACTCCTGGTCCCACCATCATCAGATAAACAGGGACCTAGACTTGTTTTAAATAAGGTGCAGGCTTTTTTTTTTTTTTTTTGATTTCCTAATTTTTGTCTTTAAAGGTAGAAGTGCATGTGGCAATGACTGGGAACTGCCCAGATTAAAAAAAAAAATGTTGGTTCCTGGCCAATTCCAAATGGGTAAAGCTATTTAATCACATTCCTCTCCTTGTTCTGACTTAAAAGGGAACGACACACTATTTCAATTTGAATGAGATTTGTAAAATATCAAAAAAGTATAGATAAATATAAAATGAGGTCCCTGATAGGTTCTCTTGCAGTAATTTTATCATTTCTCTATAGATGTTGACAGTTTCTAAAGTCCTACCAGGCATTTTTTCTAAGTGACCTTATTTGGGAGGAAAAAGGAATATGTGTCAGAAGGGAAAAAATGTAGTGGAACAGGAAGGAAAGGGAGGGATACTATTTTGCTACTCCAAAGTAATTGATAGAGGATTCCTTTGGAGGGAGGAGTGGAGAGGGAATTTTTGCAGTTGTTTTCCATTCTACTGCTTTAAATCATTACCTTTCATTTAAACTCATTTAAATGTCTACTTTTTTCTGATGGATTCCACTCTTTCTGGT
This sequence comes from Homo sapiens, assembly GCF_000001405.40. NCBI lineage: Eukaryota > Metazoa > Chordata > Mammalia > Primates > Hominidae > Homo > Homo sapiens. The sequence goes on from NC_000002.12 coordinate 15,635,510, forward strand.
CAAAAGTATTGAGGGGAATTTGAAAGACAAGTCATCAGGTAGGCCTGGATTTGATCCCAACAATAGTTACTGACTTCTAGAGCTAAATCACATGCAGAGATCATTAGATATAAGGTGGGAACCAGGAATCTGCATTTTAACAAATTCCTGAAATAATTGTGTTCATGCAGATGGACCTTGAACCACAATTCAAGACACACTGTTACAGAGAAACAACTCTTAGAGCTTTTATTCTCACTGCAATCTTTTACTTGAGGATTTGGTTAAGATCTAAAATGACGTCTGAAAGACAGATGCTTGCTGTGTTAGAATCATGTCTCCTAGTTCACTGCCTTTGGACCCAAGATGTCCACCTTGAGTTCTGTTTCCTTAGCTTAGTGGTTCTTAACCCCAGCTGCACATTAAGGTCCCCTAGGATACTTTAAAAGAAAATACCGGTGTCTGCACTTCACCTCCAGAAATTCTGATTTAATTGCTCTGGAGTGGGGCCTAGATGGCCTCAGTGATGTTAATGTGCTGCCAGGCTTGGGAGCAGCTGCCTTAAACTGAGTCTGACCCTAGATGTTTCTTGGTCCTATTGCAAATCCTTGTGTCCTTTGCACCCATCCAAGCCAATGTGTCTTAAGGTTACATATAGTCAGACTCAAGCTGGAGCCCTTGTTGAAATATTATGTAGTGGGGATTATTGTAGAGAAACACTTTGATAGAAATTGTAACATATGTAATTTTTCAAGAAACTGATAAGATTATTCACCACCCGTAGTCTACTCAGAGGCTACTCACCTGTAGCCAAGTGAGTTTAATTCCCTTCAAAATAGTCACTTTGGGGATTGAGGCAAGTCTTTTTAAGGATGCTTCAATTTTTCAAAACCCATTTGGCCTTTTCTCTGTTTTAGACGTTGCTACTTTGTTTTTATTTAAAACATTGCCATTGCTTTAGATAGGACCAGTTTATACTCTAAAAATCACTGGTTTAACCCAATACTTTACCTCACATCTTGTTCTCCAGCTGGGTAACTCATTCTGTTCACCAGAAAAGACTGTGATTGGTTGCTAGTTTTGTGTTTCCTTGAATTGAATCCCAATTTAAGGATAAATATTTGCTGCTGCCAAAGTAGGACTTTGAAGAGGCAGCCAGAGGATGTTTCTCTGCAGGGCAATAATTGGGTGTGAAGGGTTTCCAGTTTTTTGTGGTGGATTAGAGTCTCGGGGAAGACACTCTGAGATAGAAAATCCTGATCAGAACAGGAGTCGAGAGAGAGGAGAGGCCGGTAGGGACAGGGTCAGTTGAATATTGGAGCAATGTTGTTTGATAATGAGTTTTGATTTTCCTTTTCTACATTGTGATTCTCTTAATACCTTCAGATGTTTGCTACCTAGGTCGGCAAGTAGGTCTGTCAGTATGACTTGCGTATGAAAGAGAAAGCTCTTCTGTGTTTAGACAAAGTAATGCTAGGAACAGGGTGTGGGAACTGATTAGGATCCTGTTCTGTGGGAAATTGGTCCCTAATGGTAAGAGGGGACAAGCAACTTCTCTGGAGTAGTAGTCTAAAGCTCAGAAGAGTGACAATCAGGCTTAGTGGCAATCAGGCTTTGTAAGCATTCTCAAGAATCCTTAGGTGCATTGGGGAGAGAATTGGCTAACTTACAGACACACAGGCTGAAAGCTTGAGGTATTTTGTTTGGCTCTTAAAGGCTAGCAATTTGGAGACATTGGCTTGCTTATACCCATATCATAAAATTCTGTTCACTTAAAATATTGATGTTAATTCTATTGGTTGTAATAAACTCTATCGTGTGCTTCTGCCCATAAATTATTATTCATTTTCCCACTGTTGTTAACCCAGCACCAAGAGAATACTTACTTACAAAATAACGCAAATGCATGGGGCCCCTCAACGCCAGCCTTCATGGGGTTGTGATTCATTATTTCCCAGTTGAGTGCACCAGGTGGCGCCAGTGTCACAGGAATACCCACAAAGAACACTGTGCTGGTGTATTTTTACCACTTGGGGTCACTTAAGGATTACCCGACTCCCTTTTTTTTTCATCTGAGCAAATCACAGATTCAAAGGAATTATTTCCCATTACATTTGACAGAGGCTGTGGTCTTTTTTTCTGGATCCTGAAGGCCAAGAAATGAGCATGAGGGTTTTATTTTTCTGTGAGTTGGCCCCGTGCAGTTTGTGCTCCAGTGTGTTCTCCTGTCACAAAGCACTTGCACATCCACCACACCAGCTTGCTCCTGGGCTCAGCACTGGGGACTTCTATGTACAAAGAACTTCCACACATGTCAAAATTGCCTTTATGCTAATTGCTATGCTCATTAACATCTCCAGAACTCGGAATGCTTTTTCTCAGTCATTTCCTTTGATTCTGCCTGTCTCTGAAAGCCCAGATTGAATGAAATCAGGTGAAGTATCATGTCAACAAGTCACTGCTGCCTGCTAGTCTTTCTGCCACTTACACAGTGGATCCTAGGCATTACGGCGTTGCCCTTCAAGAGCATGTTGGAGATTTGTGGAATGGTCTTCAACTGACTTTGCCTGCTTGGGGTTGGGTTTGGGTGGGGGTGAGGGCAGGATGTGTGGGCTTAGACAGACCAAATAATGAACCTCATGACTTCAAATAGTAGCTCATGGCTACTTATTTGAAAACCATAAGTGATGATTGGACACCCCAAGTGATAGTCTTCCACAATGTCCCTGCTAGCCAAACAGGGAGATTTGGGATTTTGGATTAAGAGATACTAAGTGGAAAAACAGCCAGACCTGATCTGTCCTTCTGCCTTCTGCTTTTCTCCAAAGAATAGCTTCTTGGGTGGGAGCAGGAGAAGGCTTAGTCACTGTTCAAGAGCAGCCTCTTCTGGTATAATTTATACCTATGACAGGAGCCCATTTGGCCTTTACCATTTAAGAGTTGTTATTAATCCATGTCAACCCCCATTCAAGAGCCTGTGATGGGCCTTGATTGTGTTTAAGTCCAGACTAATTTGGGCACTTAGGGCCCTCTAAAATCTAGTCCCAACCTTCCTAGTCCTATTTCCCATACTCCTCAAATCATATCAAATCTGGACTCCTTATTCCCCTCCATATATAACAATGGATAAAATTTATGACCCTTCACTATATCAGGTACTGTTCTAAGTGTTTACCCATCCTAACTCAATCCTCACACCAACCCCAGAAGACAAATTTTACTGGTGTTCCCATTTTCATAGATAAGGAAACTGATGCACCAAGAAATTAGTGATTTGCTGAAGATCATGTGACTAGGAAGCAGTGGAGCCAGAATTAGAATCCAGGCACTTGTCCACTACTCCCTGCTCAGTCCTGCTGCTTAAAGACCTGCCTCAAAGAAGGCTGCTCAAAGTCCTGCCTTCTCTTGCCTGTCAAAATTCCACCCATCCTTAGGGACCTGAGTCACTGCCACCTCTCTTGTGGGGGCATGAGAACATCATGCTTTTGAATACCAGCCATGAGCCAGCTATTTTGTATTTTGCCTCATGTAAGAGCCAATGCTATCATTTTTTGCAGATAAGGAATCCAAGGCCCAGAATAGTGAAGTCTAAGTACCCCAGGTTGAGGTTTTTTTTGTTGTCTGTTTGTTTGTTTGTTTTTGAGACAGAGTTTTGCTCTTGTTGCCCAGGCTAAAGTGCAATGGCATGATCTTGGCTCACTGCAACCTCCGCTTCCCGGGTTCAAGCTATTCTCCTGCCTCAGCCTCCCGAGTAGCTGGGATTACAGTCATGTGCCACCATGCCCAGCTAACTTTTTTGTATTTTTAGTGGAGATGGGGTTTCACTGTGTTGGCCAGGCTGGTCTCGAACTCCTGACCTCAGGCGATCCATCCTCCTCAGCTTCCCAAAGTATTGGGATTACAGGTGTGGACCACCACGCCTGGCCCTAGGTTGAGTTTTTCAGGCCCCAGAGCCTGTATTTCTGCTCTGTTGCTCTCTCTCCAGGAAGGCCTCTAGTACATCACCCTTTGTCTCGTCCTTATACTTTATGATGCAGCTTTTAAATTTTTTCGTTTTTCTTTTTCTTTTTCTTTTTTTTTTGAGATGGCGTCTCACTCTGTTGCTCAGACCGGAGTGCAGTGGTGCGATCGTGGCTTATTGCAGCCTGGACTTCCTGGGCTCAAGTGACCCTCCCACCTCAGCCTCCCAAGTAGCTAGGACTACAGGTGCACGCCACCACACCCAGACTAACTTTTAAAATTTTTGGTAGAGACAGGGTCTCTCTATGTTGTCTAGGCTGGTCTCAAACTCCTGGGAGCTCAAGCGATTCTCCTGCCTTGGCCTCTCAAAGTGTTGGGATTACAGGTGTGAGCCACTGTGTCCAGCCTGCAGCTCTTAATTTTTAAAAACTGCTGTATGACTTTTTTTCCCACTCTCTGTTTCCAGGTGGGTTAAATTCTGCTTCGGTGAAGGGTTTCTGGATGTCCTTTTTCTCTCCCTACAGTGTGCACAGTGGGTGTACAACAAATATTATGATTAGCTTTTCATAAAATGGGAGGGTCTATCAACTTAACCTGGAAGAAATGAAAGTTCCTCTGTGGATACTGAGACCCAAAACAGAAAAACACCTAATGACTTTTAACCCTGAGCAGGAATCATTATTCCATGGTCCTATCCAGGACAGGATAGAAGACCAGGATGGTTTTCAATGGGAAAATACAGGTTTTGGCTTCTTCAAGAAAACCTTGACCAAAGCCTGAGCCTGATTTTGAGCATATGGGCCCAAAGCTCCAGTTTGCTATGGCTGAGTATTCAGTGTTATGGTGGACCGACACTTGCACAGAAACATGTGAATTCATCACGGTTATTTTTGCAGCATTGGAGTTGGCAAACTTCCAAGTCAAGAACTTTCTGCCTTTGCAGCTCTTGGTTATTTGAGGCTGGATGACTCACTTTGTGTAACATCCTCTTGTTTTCCTCCTTTTCCTCCCCGGGGCCCCCTCCCACCTGAGGAGATCGGTAGGGGCAGAGAGGGTTGTGGAACTCAAGCCACTGTTGGCAGCTTCTTTTCAGTTAACATTTTTTGGGGAAGCCATCTTTACCCCCTTCTTGCTCTTATGAGGCAGGTCACTTCCCCCTTCTGTATCCTCAAAACCTTTTGTTCCTTCTTTTATTAGAGCGTTTATGTTCCGATATTTTATTTGACTGCTTAAATAATAAATAACAAATACATAATAAAATTTCCCTCAGTGTCTCTTTCTGGATAGAGTAGGGTGTTTAGGACAGGTCTGGTTTCAGTATCCTCAGTACCTGAGGCAGATCTGGCTGAGAAAAGGTGATTTGGTAAATGTTTGTTGAGTTGGAGGGAAGTTTAGATGGATGGACAGGTAAATTATCACGAGAAACTTTTGTGAAGGAATTTTAGACACCAGCTAGCATAATTAGGGTGAGAAGTTACGATTTGTCAGCTAGTTAATTTGTATTTTTTGGGCAGGAGATCTGCACATCCTGAAAATTAGGCCACAGAAGTAGACAGGTTCTAAGCCTTGTCTTTCTCTTTAAACAGGGTTTGTGTTTTTCAGGCTGAAGCAGTACTAGCTTAACCCAGGACAACTGGTTACTTTAGAAGGAAATCTCCTCACCACTGCTGTCCTACACTCTGTCAATTCTTTCTGAGACACAGCAGCAACATCCACAGGTGGCAGGCAGGCTGTGCCTCAGGGCTTTGCACTCCATCTCCTCTGCAAGTCAGGAATATTTATTTTACTTGAAGGAAACAGATTCAAAGAGGTGAGGTAACAATTGAACAATAATACTTGGAGACTTCAATACACTGCTTTCAATAATGGATAGAACAACCAAACGGAAGATCAATAAGAAAACAGAAGACGTGACCAACACTGTGGACTCACTAGACCTAAAAGACATCTGTAGAACATACCACCCACGAGCAGCAGAATACACATCCTTCCCAAGTGTACATGGAACATTCTCCAGGATAGACCCTATGTGTAGAAGTCAATAACAGAAAGGACTTTGGGAAATTTACAAATATGTGAAAACCAACAGCATACTACTAAACAACCAATAAGTCAAAGAAGAAATCACAAGGGAAATTAGGAAATACTTTGAGATAAATGAAAAGGGAAACACAACATAGGAAATCTTATGGGAGTAGGTAAAGCAGTGCTTAGAGGGAAATGTATAGCTATGCATGACTATATTACAAAGGAAGAAAGATCCCAAATCAATAACCTAACCTTCCGCCTTAAAGCACTGGGGGAAAGAAAAAAGAACAAACTAAACCCAAAGCAAGCAGAAGGAAGGAAATAATAAAGATTAGAGCAAACATTAATGCAATAGAGAATAGAAAAACAGTTGAGAAAATCAACAGAACCAAAGGTTGGTATGTTGAGAAGATCAACAAAGCTGACAAACCTTTAGCTAGAAAGAGGTGAGGTAATTTTCCCAAGGTGACTCCAATAGCAAATGGCAGAGCCAAGATTCCAAAGCAGGACTGTCTAATGTCAAATCTGGGGTTGTAGCTTTGTCTCTCACCTGGACTAGGAGTGTGTCAAGGATCAGGAGCTTGTCTTACTCATGTGTGCATCCCCAGTGCTTTGCTCTGTGCCTGGCACACGTAGGGGCTCAGGAAATATTTGCTGAAGTAAAATGAAAAGTAAACCTCCTCCCCACCCTTAGCAACCATCTGTGTGAGATGATAAATTATGCTTCCAATGCAGATCAAGCTGAATTGCACTATTTCTGATGAGAAAAGCTGAAAACAGCAAACTGCTTGTCCTTAAAAATAAACCCTTCAGCTTCAGAGATTTGGCCCAGAAATGAACCGTGTTATAGCTCAAGCCCTGAGATTGAGTGTATTACCCTGGAGCCAGGGGTGATGGAATTTGTGACTGGAGAGAGAAACTCGATCACCTTGACCTGGCCGCTGGATGCAGACTGCAGGCTGGTCTGCCCTTGTTCCCGGTCCCGGGCCCCGGAGGCTGAACACCACTCACGGGAGGGCTGGCTCAGCTCAGAGGGACAGCTGATCCCACAGAGCTCAAGACACTGAATCGTGTCCGCAGACCGATAGAACAAGGGTTCAGCGATGGTTTCCCAGCTGAGCCAGACCACATGGAGCCTAGCTTCCTGATATTTCACAAGGGGTGAAATGTAAAGAATGTTGACTTTCATTAACCCAAGTGCATGTCAATATGTCCTGAAAGGCTGGGAGAAGGTGAGCCCAGGTAGATTCTAGAGCAGGATGCCACCACATGTTCAGGCTGGAGTGACATGGCCAGCTGTCCTGGGGGGCAGGGGAGGACAGAGACCCTTCACCAAATGCCATCTCTTCTTGGCCTCACAATGGCTGCGTGAGGACAGCAGGGTGCAGGCTGCTTGCCCATTTTCCAGAAGGACAAGATGAGGCCCTTAGAAGTTGCCCTACTCACAGCCGGTAGAAAAATGAATCCAGTTTCTTGGACTCCAACGTCTTTCTGCCCGTCCCCCGCCTCCCGACTCTCACCTCCTTGGAGGCTTACGGGGCTCTGTATAAGTTTCCCACAAAAAATCCGTGCTGCTGGGTGGAACGCGGGTGCTGTTCACATTCGTGTGTGGTTTTCCCTGGCTTATATGCAACAGCTTCTTTTTCTCTTTTCTTAATTTAAAGGTGACTCTTCTGGAAGTCCCCAAAGTGGAATTGACCCTAAATTGAAAAGAAGATCTTTCTAGGGCAAGAGCTTTGTTCTTGTGAATTTTCTGCCTCACCAACCATGGGGAATGTGAGCTGGGGGGGAAAAGTCTGTTAAAGCTGGTCATTCATTTCAGGGGGCCAAGGAGCGATTCTGAAGGAGCAAAGTCTCCTCATGCTCTTGGCCTTTTGATCTACTCAGGCTCTGTGGCAGGAAGACAGGGAGGAATCCCTGATCACCCACAGCCCTCCCCGCTGCTGTTAAGGCAGTATGATGATGGGGGGTGGAGCTGGAATTAAAAATAAAGAAATACAAGCTTGAATTCTACTTTAACATGAACAATCTCTAATTTTCATATCATAAAATGAATAAAATAATATTTTTTCCCATAGAAAGTGATGAACTGGTACATGTATTTTAACCAGTTGTAAAATGTCTCCTTCCCTGTATCTGTGTCTCCCGCTGTATGCCACCACAATATCTGGCACGCATGCACTGTTCCAAATGTTGGGTTTAAAAATTTCATTTTATGATTAAAATAGAGAAATATTATCAGTGAATATTAATATAGCATTTAGTGACACAGCAGTTAGGATTAGGTTCAATTACATACAGCAATGCACTCAAAATATGGTGGCTCAAATACAAAGGATTTATTTTCTTTTTGATATAAAAAAGTGTATTTGGGAGTTTTCAGATAAGGTATAAACAAAAAAAAAAAGAAGGTGTAGAGGCAGGCAGTCTGGAGCTAGGAGCTAGTAACGTCAGCCCTTCATCATCAGATATCCCAGCTCCTTCTGGCTTTCCGCTTTTCCATGCTTAGCTCATGACGTCCATCCTCAGAGATGCCGCATGATCTCACTTGCTGCTGGAGCACAAGCCATCATATCTGCATTAAGTACAGCAGAAAAGAGAAAAAAAGAGAAAGCCAAAAAGGAGCTCCCTTTCTGGTTGTCTCCCTTTTAAAGAGTCTTCCCAGAAGTCTGATGCAACAACTTCTATATACAGCTCATTAGCTAGAACTTGGGGCCACATCTCCTCAAGAGAGGCTAGAATATGTAGGGTGGTTTTTTTTTTTTTTTTTTTTTTAAGTCTGGGAAGATTGGAGTTCTGTGTCTAAGCCAGAATGGAAAGTTGGATGTTGAGGAGGCAACTAAATGTCTCTGCAGCATACACATTATGTAAATATGTGATGATGGGGTCATGTGAATCTCATGTCCAGGCATGTGCATTTTTCTCACCAAATTTATTCATTCATTAGTCAGTTACTCTTCATGGAATCTGCTTGCAAAGCACTGGACTGGGTGCCATGCACACATAAATGAAGAAGTGAATACCAGGTCCCTTTCCCCCTAGTGCATGGGAGTAGATGGCAGAGAGGGTACAAGTAAGAGTCACAAGTGCAGTGATGGAATGAGCAAAGAGGACCCAGAGCTCCTGGCCCAGCCTGGGGGTTCAGGGAAGGCTTCTAGGTAGAGGTGACAATGATAAGCCTTGAAGGATGAGCAGATGTTAGTATCTAGAGATAGGAATGCTGGCATAATTAAGCAGGTGTTTGTCAAGTAATCCGCTTTGCTAGCATGCACCATGACAAAAAAATTCTCAGAAAGGCCCTCTGAGCAATTCCTGCTTCACTAAGATGGTATGAAGAGAAAATGAGAGACTTTGATTTGCATCAATTTAGGGACCTTCTGATTACAAATGACAGAAACTTCAACTCTGTCTTAGGCAAAAAAGGAAATGTATTTGTTCACATAATGGAGAAGCCCAGACTCAGGCTTCCGATGGCCCTTAATCGAGGATGTCACATGGTGACAGTGGAGCTTGGTTTCTCTGCCTTCTGGATTCCCTAGTCCTCTGTTCTCTGTGTTGGCTTCATTCTAAGTCTCAGGCTCAGAGCTTTTGAGTCCAGCAAAAACTGAGAGCTGCTCTCGTAGAAGACCCAGGATATACTATGACAGTTTGAAGAATGGGATCATTTGTCCAGTCATGACCAATCACTCTGGCTGGGGGAATTTGGTGCGTGATTGGCCAGACCTAGGCCAGCTGCTCACTCCATCTGTAGAGCTGGGAGCCCCACTAGAAACTAAAAAGATGAGGCTGGAAGATGGTCCCTGAAAGGGATTTGGAGAGCTGTGGTCAGAGGAAAGGGGTGTGGAGACTGGGTGGCCAAACAACACATATCCACTGCTACTAGATATTGGTCGGTATGGAAGGCATTGGTGTGGACATTTACAGATGAAGATGATAAGGTTCAAAGAGGTTAGATAACCAGCATCCACAGCGCTGAGTGGCAAGTGGTGGCTGGATCCCTGGTTTCTTTGACTGCAAAGCTTATGCTCTTGCTACCCACTGCTACCTCCCAGCATCACACTGTTGGATCCCATGCAGTCCCATGGCTTGGTGGTAGGGGCTGACCTGCCTGGATTCAACTGAGTTATTTGCCAGGGCAGCCATGGTCAGCCAACTCCTGGTGTGATATAGACACTTGAGGGCCAGGTGCAGTGGTTCATGCCTATAATCCTAGCCCTTTGGGAGGCCAAGGAAGGTAGACAACCAGCCTGGGCAATGTGGCGAAAACCCATCTCTACAAAAAATTAGCTGGGGGTGGGAGCATGGTTGCCCACGCCTGTAGTCCCAGCAGGGCTGAGGTGGGAGAATCACCTGAGCCTGGGAAGTCAAGGCTGAAGTGAGCTGTGATCATGCCACTGCCCTTCAGCCTGGGTGACGGAGTGAGACCCTGTCTCAAAAAAGAAAAAAAAAGACACTTGATACATCATTTTTGAATGAATAAATGACTCTATCCTCAATCTGTGCTGGAAACTGTAGTGCAGAGTGTGGGGTTGAAAACCACAAGCTTGTCTGAATTCCATAACATCACAAGAGAAACAGGAAAAGTGAAATTTGCCCTTCTTTTCAAGAACAATGGCCATTGCTTGACACTCTTTGAACTGTCAGCAACGTCACTTCACCTCCTTTCTGAGGTGCATTTTGCATGTGCTGCTCAGCAGGGTCACAGTGGCTGCCGATGAGGCGTTGTCGACAAGGGGACTAGCACAACTGGAAACTCCTTTGCATATTTCCATATCCTGGGCTCTGGCCTTCACGTGGTTGTCACCAGACTGTATTTATAAGACAGCATGAGACAAGTGGCCCTCCCGTGCTCACACATGGCATTTGAGACTCTGATCTGGACCCTACTCAACTGCCATTCACTCAGTCATTCTGAATTTTTTTTTTTTTTTTTTTTTTGAGACAGAGTCTCACTCTGTCACCCAGGCTGGAGTGCAGTGGTGCCATCTCGGCTCACTGCAACCTCCGCCTCCCAGGTTCAAGCGATTCTCCTGCCTCAGCCTCCTGAGTAGCTGGGACTACAGGCCCATGCCATCACGCTGGGCTAACATTTGTATTTTTAGTAGAGAAGGGGTTTCACCATATTGGTCAGGCTGGTCTCGAACTCCTGAGACCAAGTGATCTTCCTGCCTCGGCCTCCCAAAGTGCCGGGATTACAGGTGTGAGCCACCGCGCCCTGCCAGTAACTATTTTTTAAAACTCCAGTGTGTGTTCAGCAATTCCATTTCTGGATCTCTAACCAAATGAATTGAAAGCAGAGACTCAGACAGACACATGTCTACTGATGTTCACGACTTTTTTCACAACAGCCAAAAGGTGGAAACAACCCACATGTCCATTAATGGGTGAATGGATAAACAAAATGTGGTGTATTGATACAGTGGAATAATATTCAGTCTTAAACGGGATTGAAATTCTGAGGCAGGCTACAACACAGGCGAACCTTGAGGACATTGTGCTAAGTGAAATAAGACAGACACAAAAGGACACATATTGCAGATTCTGGTTACAGCAGGTACTGTGGTCAAACTTAGAAAGTAGAATAGAAGTTTCAGGGGCTGGGGACGGGGGGAAGGGGACTTGATGCTTAATGAGTACAGAGTTTCTGTGTGGGAAGATAAAAAAGTTCTGGAGATGGACGGTGGTGATGGTTGCACAACACTGTGAATGTATTTAATGCCATGGAATTGTACTTAAAAAGGGCTACAATGGTTTTATCTTATTTATTTATTTTGAGATGGAGTCTCACTCTGTCACCCAGGCTGGAGTGCAGTGGCGTGATCTTGGCTCACTGCAACCTCTCCCTCCCAGGTTCAAGTGATTCTCCTGCCTCTGCCTCCCGAGTAGCTGAGACTACAGGTGTGCACCATGACACCCAGATAATTTTTTGTATCTTTAGTAGAGAAGGGGTTTCACCACGTTGGCCAGGCTGGTCTCGAACTCCTGACCTCAGATGATCCACCTGCCTTGGCCTCCCAAAGTGCTGGGATTACAGGAGTGAGCCACCACGCCCGGCCGGCTACAGTGGTTTTTAAAAAAGAAGTTCTAAGAACGAAATGAAAGTTTAAAACAAACCAAAAAACAAAAAAGAACCATTGCGATGAAAATGTTCCAGTATTGATGGTGGTGACAGTGGCTCTGGGTCTCCATGGCGTCAAAGTCATTCCCAGCCCATCCTAGACATAGAGTCGCCTTCCCCGCAGCAGCATCCAGCTTGTCCCAGATGGGCAGGACTGGTCTTTCTTCACTTCCCACCAGCACTAGCCCCGGACTGCTCTCACGCTGAGGGTGGGATAGCTCCTGGGTGTCATATTTGCCACTTACTGGGCATTTTCAGGTCAGATACAGTATCTGTGAATTCACTAAAAACTGTTGAATTGTACACTTGAAATGGTGAATTGTATGGTATATAAATTATATCTCAGTAAAACTGTTGCTGAAAAACCCCTGTGTGCTAGGCCCCTTGCCAGGTGGTGGTTAGCTAGACCAGCACCCTGGCTTCTTCTGGGACTCGGAATTTTAAGGCAGCCCTTCTGACCTGAAAATGCCCTCTAGGTGGCAAATATGACACCTAGGAGCAACCGCAGCCTCAGCGCCGGGAGCGTCCTGGGGGCTAGTGCTGGTGGGAAGTGAAGAAAGACGAGCCCTGCGCCATCCGGGACAAGCTGGCTGCTGCTGCCGGGAAGGTGACAGGGAAGGCGACTCCATCTCTGGGAACAGACAGGAATGACTTTGACATCATGGAGACCTGGAGCCATTGAAATGGGCTTTAATGTCGAATGCAGTGGTTCACACCTGTAATCTCAGCACTTTGGGAGGCTGAGACAGAAGGATTGCTTGAGCTTAGGAGTTTGAGACCAGCATGGGCAATGTGACAAGACTGTCTCTACAAAAAAAAAATACAAAAATTATCCAGGCATGGTGGTGTATGCCTGTGGTCCCAGCTACTTGGGAGCCTGAGGCAGGAGGGTCACTTGAACCTGGGAGGCGGAAGTTGCAGTGAGCTGAGATCACACCACTGCACTCTAGCCTGGGCAACAGGAAAGAGAGAACGCAAGAGAGAGAGAAAAGGAAGGAAGGAAGGAAGGAAAGGAAGGAAGGAAGGAAGGAAGGAAGGAAGGAAGGAAGGAAGGGGAAGGGAGGAAGGAAAGGAAAGGAAGGAAGGAAGCAATGGAAGGAAGGAAAGGCAAGGAGAAGGAAGGGAAGGAAAGGAAGGAAGGAAAAGAAATGTGCTCTAGAGCCTAGAGAATGGAAAACCTACCTTGACCAGTGCCTCACTTTCCCCACTGAACAAAATGACCTGAACACTCTTACCCACTTTTAGGGCATTTTTTGTGTGTGTGTCTTTTATAATTTTGGTCAGTTTAAGGCCTGTGGCCAGTCAGACCACACATCATGTACTCAGGTGCTAAACTCCCTGAACTCAGAGCTAACAGATCACCAATTCTTCCTTCAGAAAGGGACTCCAGTGTTGACAAGGCCAACCTGGCGCAGTCCATTTGGCTTCCTGCTGCTGCTTGCAGACACCTGTCTGTTTCTTCTTCTGGGGAGAGACACCCTTCCCTGGCCCAGGAACTGAGCCACCTCCACAGACTCCACAGTGCTTCTGAGAGAGCCTGTGTCACCACGTGCCCTGCAGGGACCTCCGCAGGATTGTGTGGCCTGGCACAGGGAAGTGCTGGGGGAAGTTTTCAGGGCAGCGTTGAACACACTAGGAAAGGGCTTTTTAGCCGGGCACGGTGGCATGCACCTGTAGTCCCAGCTACCCGGGAGGCTGAGGTGGGAGGATTGCTTAAACCCCGGTGGCAGAGGTTGCTGTGAGCTGAGATGGCACCATTGTGCTCCAGCCTGGGCAACAGAGCGAGACCCTGTCTCAAAAAAGGGGTTGGGGGCTTTTATAAAAGAAGTAGCTGAGGAGAAATGAGGGCGGTGACAAGAGGGCAGGTGACCTTCTCTGGAATCCCACACCACCTCCTGTGCCCTGCTCATCTTTGGAGTGTGGGCTGCACTTCCTCCTGTTTCCAGAAGCGCTGCACCCCAGGTTGTCCTCAGTGCTGTGCTCCCATCTCCCTGGCTCCCCAGCTGATCCAAGCACCACTGTTTCTGTGGCCAGCACCAGGGTTCAGAAACTGAGCAGCCCCCTGCCAGGCTCCAGCAGCCCCGGGGACCACCACAGGATGCCCTGGCAGAGCAGAAACAGGATACTCGGCCGGGGACCCCTGAGAGGAGACCAGGGCCAGGAAATGCTTCTTCCTGCTGCAGGGACAGCTCAGTGACCTGGAAAGGTGTGGGCCGGAATGCTCATGTTTCCACAGTGACATCATCACTGGTGGAAATCGGAGGATCAGCACCTTGGATTTACCCGACGTGCACAGTCTGTGTTGTCCCCAGGGAGACCCTGGCAGCCGATGTTTTCCTGATCTGGAGAGGCTCATCTTGTGCTGCTGCCACATATGACTGCACGACTGGCCCAGTTCACATAACCGTGGAATCTCACAGATCCAGAAGAAAAACGAGGGTGTGAACCCTGGACCCCAAGCAGCATAACCCCTCCAGCCTCCAGGCGGTGCAGGCTCCTCCTGAGTGCACACTTCCAGGGATGAGAGGCTCACTTTGTCTGAGGCCGTGATTCCACAGCTGGGCTGACTCTAACACCAGGGACTCCTGTCTTTCTCCATGGTGCCTCATCCCCCACCCCGCAGATCAGATAAGTCTCTCAGTGCTCCATGAAGTCCTTCAGAAATACGTCCATCTGGGCTTCTCTTCTCCAGACCAAAAAAACCAGCACCCCTTCAACTCTGCCCCTTTAGCATGACTTAAAACCTTTCATCCTCTTGGTCACTATTCTTTGATTATATTCAAATGGATAAAAGGTGGAAGCCAGGACCAACCCAATGCTTTAAGCAGTAAGTAGGGTCTGGCTGCTGTGGGATGGAGCAGGGGCCTCACCTTCCCACACCTGGATGTTCTCCTTCTATTAATGCAGCCTTCAGTGGCTCTAAGTATGGGCAGCTGCCAAGGCTTAAGAGAAGCTCAGCTGACCCCCTTCCAAGTACTCCCCCTCCCCAGCTATTAGGCTATCCTGCTCTTGAACAACAATTGTCTTCTTCTGAAATCTGTGCTTGCCCCGGGAAAAATTACCTTGCTAGTTCCAGTGCATCAGGATCTCCGCAGCTCTGATTCTGTCCTTCTTCTCAATGTTTTGTTTTCAACTCATGAAGAACAGTGGTTCTCCTAACCCCCACCCCAGTTTCTGACCACCTGACTTTTAGGTGAACACCTCATCTTTCCTGGGAGATGCCGGCACTTGTGGGCCCTGAGCAGTGGCTGCAGAGCCATACCTGGCAGTTTCCTGCAGGTCACCGCAGCCTCTCTCTTTCCATCCTGCCCCTTGGAGCATGGTGTCACCTTCTTGTGCCCATGTAGGAGGCGAATTCACCTCTCTCGTGCTATTCTCTCTCTCTTCTTTATATTTTAGCTCTGTCTCTCCAGGCTTGGTTCCCCATTCACTTCTGTCCTCACCAAGCACTGTCCTTGTGCAGGCCACTCTGCTAGTCCTTGACGGCAGGGCTGGGTCCTTCTCTTCACTCTGTCATCTCCAAGGACTTGCCACATAGAAGGGGACATAGAGACATCAGCAACTCATGGGAAAGCACAGAGAGCTGGACCATCCCTCCTGCAAGGGCCAGGAGGGATGCTCCAGCCCCGTCCCATCTGGTAAGAGGGAGTTGAGGGCCAGCTCAGGTTTCGACACATGCCTGGCTGTGAACGAGTGCAACAGGGAGTCGACTCAGGGCTGATGTGCTCTCCTGTGCTGTGTGCCCTGTCCCAGTGCCTGGCCAAGGAGGTGCACGTAGGAGCAGGTTCCTCCCGCAGAGAGGGGTGTCTTTTAATGTTCGCCAAATGGGTAGAAGGGCCCCATTCTCTCTCATCCAATTCAGTGGGCCCTGATTTGATTGTTTGTGGTAGTTTCATGGTACCTACTTTGCCAGAGCTATTATGCCTTTGCTTTTTTCCTTTTCTTTGAGATGAAGTCTCGCTCTGTTGCCCAAGCTGGAGGGCAGTGGCATGATAGCTCACTGCAACCTCAGCCTCCCAAGTTCAAGCGATTCCCCAGCCTCAGCCTCCTCAGTAGCTGGGACTACAGACGCGTGCCACCACACACAGCTAATTTTTTTGTACTTTTAGTAGAGACAGGGTTTCACTATGTTTCCCAGGCTGGTCTTGAATTCCTGACCTCAGGTGATCCGCTTGCCTCGACCTCCCACAGTGTTGGGATTACAGGTGTGAACCACTGCGTTCAGCCTTTTTTCCATTTTTTTTTTTTTTTTTTTGAGACAGAGTCTTGCTGTGTCGCCCAGGCTGGAGTGCAGTGGCACGGGCGTGATCTTAGCTCACTGCAAGCTCTGCCTCCCAGGTTCACGCCATTCTCCTGCCTCAGCCTCCTGAGTAGTTGGGACTACAGGCGCCCACCACCACGCCTGGCTAATTTTTTTGTATTTTTAGTAGAGACGGGGTTTCACCATGTTAGCAAGGATGGTCTCGATCTCCTGACCTTGTGATCTGCCTGCCTCGGCCTCCCAAAGTGCTGGGATTACAGGTGTGAGCCACCGCGCCCAGCCTTTTTTTTCCTTTTTTAAAAAAATAAAATAAAACAAGTACTAACTTCCCAGGCGGTTTTCCTGCCAGTTTTCCAGCTTTCCTTGGTGAAGTTGTGCTCCTGTAAATCACTCACGGGGATATTAAATAAATGCTGATTGTTGAGAACTCTCGCAGAGGGAGACCAGTGCTCAGATCAGAAGAGTCTCCCTCCAGCCTGAGGTTTGAGGCGCTCCATCTGAGTCCTCTTCTGTCCTGCCTTGTCCACCTTCCTGCCTCTGTGCCTCGGCTCAGATGGTTACTTTGTGCAGCAGCTGGGAGACAGACTTGGAACCAGGAGTTCTCCAGGCCCCGCCATGGTCTCTCCCTGCAGCCCCTCCTCCCATCCTGGCTGGCTGGTGAAGTTCTCAGCACCGGGACTCACAGGTCGCCACCTGGAAGAAAAGCCCCTGAAGCCCCATTTCGTTTAAACAGCGCAAACCTGAAGCACAGGCTGATGTTTAGGGATTGGGCTTTGTCACAGGCCAGTTTTCCTGACTAACAAAAATTCTAGGCACCTTTTATCGAGTGCTCTTTCTACCCCAGGAGCTCTGGACTCATTATCTGCTTTTATCGCCCCAAAATCTCTTCGAGGTAGGCTATACCACCTCTGCTTTACCAATCAGGAAACCAATCAGAGAAGTTACATAAAATGTCCCAGAGTCTCACAGCTGGTCCATATCATGGGCCTGGGATTCGAACTTTGACACCTGTGACTCAGAGCTCATGTTCTTTCGGCTCCACTGCTCTGCCTCCTTGGAAATAATACTGATGAGCATCCTTCCTCCTCCCAACTCGGGCCCTCTGGCTGCCCAATACAGCCATAAGTCAGGCTCTGTCCCAAGGTCCAGCCCAGTCAGGCCATGCTAGCCATGGGCTGGTAATGGGACCCCTGTGGGTGGGGGAGGGATGGACGCACTAATGCACTCAGCCCTCAGGCTGGAGATCAAACGGCCCAGCAGAGAGAGATGTAAATCACCCCTCAAAGAGCAGCAGTTCCAAGTGACCGGTGAACTCAAAGATTCCCACAGACACCCAATACCCCCCTCCAAGCCTCCCTGCTGCCCTGTGGGTGGGGGCCTAGCACACCCTGGGAACCCAGGTCCACCGAGGCCTCACAGGCCTCACCTCTTCACTTAGGATTCTTCTGCGGCCAAACCCAGGACTGGGGTCCCTGTAGTAATTAACATGCTCACCTTTGTGAAATGGTGTAGAGCAAGCCGATCCCAGATTCAAAACCTCCAGCCACTTCCTGCCTGGGTGATGTGAGGCAAGTCATTTAACCCTGAGTGGTTCTTCATTGATAGCATAGGGATGAGAAAAACAACCTCGCACTGTTGTTGGGAGACGAAACAGGTAGCGTGTGAAACCGTGGTGTCTGGTTGACACTAGAAGGTGCTAGCTCCCTTCCCCACTGTAGCCCTCTGCAAAATGTTTTACAACTTGTACCTCATTTAAACGTCATAACCTTCAGCAAAATGGGTATTATCATCTCTGCCCTTTGAGGAATTAGAGAGGTCCCATCTTAAGCCAGGAGCACTTGGCCAGCGTCAGGACATGAACCTGGCACCGCCTGACGCCAGTTCCCTCTTCACTTCCCTACTTGTTTTGAGACACTGGAGACCATATAGTTTTGTAAAAATGCTCTGCAGAGGTGAAGCGTGTCCTCGAAAGGAGATGGTGCCCCTCACAGCCGACAGCCTCAGTGCCTGTGCTGGGCCCCTCTGATAGCATGAGCAGAAGGTGGTACTGGCCCTGCACCTTCTCCAGCCCTTTGGTGAAGCACCTGTGGCTGCAGATTGGGCGGCCAGGAGTTGCAGCCTTCTCTGGGCTCCCACATGGAGGCGACTGCGCAGATAAACCCAAAGCCTTGGGCGCCCCGGCCCCTTCTGTGGCCTTCACACCTCCCGGCACTGCCCCTGCAGCCTGAGCCCCTGAGCTTGGTGGGAACTGAAGCCCTGGGCCCTGCCCCCAGGGAAGCCTCTGTCTCCAGCGGACCCCTCCTCAATCCGGGGCCTGCTTCTCATCTCCCAGCGCCATGGGCAGGATCCCGCTATCCTGTGAAAGCCGAGGAGGGAGGAATGTCCCATGAAAGGTGCCTGAGGAGGCCTGGCCAATATCAGGCCACCAAATGGCAGGTGCCAGGTGGTTAGCATTAATGGAGTTGTCGCAAGGGAAAAGGTTTTATGGGAGGAGCGGTTGCTGACTCTGACATCCCCCTTGGCTGCCATCACCAAGGGAGGCCCTGGGGGTTCATCTTCAAACCCCTTCTCCACTCAGGCCCTCTCCGCCTGCCCTCGGCTGCGACACTGGCGTAAGTGACATCACTTCTCACATGCACTGTCGTCAAGCCCCCTGGCTGGTCTCCCTCCACTCAGGCCCTCTCCCCCTGCCCTCAGCCACGACGCTGGCGTGAGTGACACCACTTCTCACGGGCACTGTCCTCAAGCCGCCTGGCTGGTCTCCCTCCACTCAGCCGCAGGGTGCCCCGTTGCTCACTCCCGTGTGCAAGCCCTGCAGTGGCCGCCCATGCCTTCAAGCCCTGGGGCGTGAACTTGAGGCCTTCAGTTCCCAGTGAGCCTCCTCTCTCCAGCGCATCCGGGCCTCTAACTCCACTGAAATGCCCAGTTTTTGTGCTCTCTGCACATAACTCTGCTGGAACTTAACACTCTAAATGATGGCATGGAAGGAACGGGTGCCCATTTGGGGCTTGCCAATGTGGCCAGGAGCCTCCTATGGAGTCAGGAGCCCCACACTAGGGCGAGGTGTGTTCCTCCCCTTTCTCCTTGGGCAGTGATTCCTGAGGCAAGCAGAATCCCCAGGAAGAAAGGGTGAGCCGGGCATGGTTAGACCCGAGGGAAGGGCCAGAGCTGCCCAGGCATCGTCAGTGCCAGGATAGATCGTCCGGAGCCCCTGTGTCCTCATGAGTGAACAGAATGTTTCAGATCCAGCTAATTCCTCATAAAGCAATGTTTGTGAGGTTTCATTATCTCATTTTGTCTACTCTGGGATATTCCTTACATTTTCCAAAATAGAAGTCAAAACCAAATAAGCAGACAGTAACACCAAGATGCCGCCTAGGACTGTCTACTCCTCTCCCTTGAGGTGAAGCTCCTCTTATTCAGATTTCATCCTCATTTCCACAAAATAAAACCCAACCTCCTCAACCTGACTTTGATGCTCTTATGCCTCAGATTTCCTTTATTTCCATTGTTATGTCCCACTGTGACCATCCCCATCCCTACACTCTGGCCACCCTGGAACATTTGCTTGTCTTTAGTCTCAAGTCATACTTCTCCTTCTTTGGGCTTTTGCTCTGGCATAATCTGGCAGGATTTGGGAAGGCTTCATGGAAACCGCATTGGCAGTGAGTCTTGAAGGTGAAGCAGTAAGACCCACACCCAAGACATGAGACGTGGAGGTGAGTTAGGGAGGAGGGTAGGGGCCGGGCCACCAAAGTCCGTGGATGCCTCGCTTCTCAGGCAGTGGAAGCCGCAAAGTTGTTTTAAGCATGAATGAGACATGTCAACCTTATGGTCTGTGAAGTGCACACTGACAACTCTACAGAGAATGAACTCAGAGAGGGAAGACTAGACTCTGGGGAGAGAAATTAGGGACTGTTGCAATAGCCCAGGTGTCAGGTCATGAGGGAGGAATTCAAGGAATATTTAGGAGATATAATCAGCTGGCTTTAGTGATGTGAATAAAGGGAGGGAGAGAGACTAGGGTGCCTCCTCAGTCTTAGTGGAGTGATTGGGGTGAGGAGGAGGAACTATGGATGGAAAGATGATACGTTCACTATGTTTACCTTCTCTAAATTGCCTTTTAATAAAAATCTTCTAAGGGTATTATATAAAAATACCTATTCTCAGGGCCTACCACTGACCTGTGAAATCAGAATATTCTGGGGGAAGGGCCTGGAAATCTGCATTTCAAAATGCACCTCAGATGATTCTTACCATCAGCAGAGTTTCGGAAGCAATGCCCGCTGTTGGGATGGCATGCCGCTGGTTTACCCTGGGACCTCCCCTGGAACTGTGAGTCCCCTGAGGCCTGCAGCTACCTCTTCATCTTTACTTCCCTAGATCCCAGCTCAGGGCAGGAGAGCCCACGGTCAGTGTTTGTTGAATGAATGAGCTGATCTCCAAACCATGACCGACTGTTTCCTCTTATAAACTGCGACGAATATCAGCTATGCCTCTGACTGTGGGGTTGGTTGGTCAGTCCTATTGTACCATTTGTCCAGATTGGATTCAAACCCTCTTACTGCATCCCATCTGCCTATCTAGTTTGAAGGTTTCCTTCCAGGGTGACAGTCTCGTGTACTCTATAATTTCAAATATTAACTACTGGAGGCTTCTGCTTTTTGGTTTTTAAGTTGAACAATAGCGAAAAATAATTGCACTTTTTTTTTTTGTAATAAGAGAGGAAATGTTACCAATAGCAAGGTCTTCAAAAGGCCACTTCGCAAACGAAAAATTTACTTGAAGGCACACACTCTTTTGCTGGAGGCCAGGCTTGGTATGTTTCTGATTATACTGCTGACCCTCACCCTGAAAATCCTTTGTAGAAGGGCCTTTTTTCTAGACAGCCTACTGATGAGCAAATGATCTAACAGATTTCACACCACATAAATTTGAGCCTAATAAATGGCTTCAAATTCAGACCTCCTAATTCTGGTTTCAGAGAGGTAGTTCCCTTTACAAAGGCAATCATGTAGACAATTAATAAACACACACACAGCACCGGGAAAGGGTGAATTCTGCCTCAGCCCCCACCCCGAAAGCAAGCTCCGAATGACTGGCTTCGTGAAATGTAGATTTACCTTAGGCTTCTTGTTCTGGCAGAAGACACGGCCGTGGTAAGGAAGGCCCACTTGGTCACGGATGTCTTCTGCCCTGTCCTGTACAGTAGCCACTAGACATATGTGGCTATTTAAATTTAAATGTATATTAAAAATTAAAATGTCTGTCCTTTCGTGGTACTGGCCACATTTGAAATGCTTGGTCGCCACATGCTGTTAGGAGCTACTAAATTATAGTTCAGGATGGGACTTTGCTATTGTCTCAGGGAGCTCTAGTGGACAGTGCTTGTCTATTATTTGGGCAAAACCTCTCAGGGCCCAGATTGCTCCTGTTTTGTCCCAGTTGTTGGCAACTGTACCTCCCCACCCTGGGACTGTGTTATTACATTATTCTATATAA
Organism: Homo sapiens; assembly: GCF_000001405.40. Taxonomy (NCBI): domain Eukaryota; kingdom Metazoa; phylum Chordata; class Mammalia; order Primates; family Hominidae; genus Homo; species Homo sapiens. The sequence continues at coordinate 15,657,358 of NC_000002.12, forward strand.
ACAAAATGAAGCAAAGTTCATACTGAAGAAAATTAGGGATTAAAAAGAAATCCTGGCTGGGCGCGGTGGCTCACCCCTATAATCCCGCCCAGCGCTTTGGGAGGCCAAGGTGGGCAGATCATGAGGACCGGAGATCGTCACCATCCTGTTTAACATGGAGAAACCCCATCTCTACTAAAAATACAAAAACTTAGCTGGGCATGGTGGTGGGCACTTGTAATCCCAGCTACTCAGGAGGCTGAGGCAAGAGAATCGCTTGAACCTGGGAGGCAGAGGTTGCAGTGAGCCAAGATTGCACCACTGCACTCCAGCCTGGGCGACAGAGCCAGACTCTGTCTCAAACAAAACAAAACAAAACAAACAAACAAAAATCCTATTGTTAATGACAAAAAAAAAGGGAACCTTGTTGTAAATCTGCTGAGGAGCTTGTTTTCTTTCAGCTCGTCGCTATTTTGGGTAGCATATTTACAGCTCTAGGGGAATGAACCCAATTATTTGGGGCCAGAAAATAAGATCTGTGTTCTCATCCCAGTAAGATAACTCCTCTGCCTCAATTCACCAGGCAATCGCTCTGGCTGCTAAGGGCCGGCATGTATCAGAGACTGTTAGGGGCAGCGAGGGCCCTGGACATCCCAAGGTCCACAACCTCGTGCAAGGGTGGCAAGAGCAGCAATGCGAGACTGTGCCAGAGCCACGAGGCCAGCGTGTAAGAGAACCAGTCCTCCTGCTTCCTCCTCACAGCTTGTTCTTAGCAGACAACATGCAGCCTCTTCCACCTCTTGAGCTTTGGTTGATTTCATTGTAAGATGGAGGAAAGACTTGGCCCTGAACTGTGGAGCGAGCTAATTCAATGCCAAGCCAAATCACATGCTTATGGGATTGCAGAGGTTCTGGGAGATGTGGCCCTAGATCTAAACTGTTGTAGCTCATCCCTAAAGATGGTCTTTTCAGCTTCTACAGTGGGAGATGGGCTTTGCCTCGTAAGATGAAGGATTCTCCAAACATGAGGAGGAGTTTCAAATTCGGGGCAGCCCAAAAGAATGACAAATGTCCATCAATCTTCATACACAGATGCGACACACTGACATAATTTCATCCCAGGCATCACTCGTACAGACCTCTGTATCTTACTGTTTGACGTCTTTGTTTGTGGGGTGGTGGAGGTGCTATCTTAAAGACATCTTAAACCTAACATGTCCCAAAACTGAACTGATGATCACCCTTCTCAAATCTGATGCTCCCCAATATTCATTATGTTAAAGAATAGCACCACCATTATCTGAGTTAAATTAGTCAAAAAAGTCCTGGAGTTATTCTTGGCACCCCACAACCCCCGCCTTTCCATAACCAACTCATCACCAAGCTCTGTGGATTTTACCTCGTCAAGCTCCCCTGAGTCTGTTCATTTCTCTTCATATTCACCAATATCTTGGTCCAAGCTACCATTATTGCTAACCTAGGCTATTGCTATCGCCCCCTGATTGGTGAACTGGTGCCTACTTTTCCTCCCATCTCATCCCAATGTATTCTCCTCATTGAAACCAGAGTGACCCCTGAAATGAAATCTAACCTTGTCATCTCCCTGTTTTCAATTCTTCTATGACTTCCATTGACCTTAGGAGAAAGTCAAAGTTCCTTAATTGACTGCAAAGCTTTACATGGCCTGCTCCTTTGGTCTCACTGCTGAGCACATCTTCCCCCAGCTCTCATTTCAGATACGTCCCACAGCACTGGACAGTCTCTCACAATCTTGCATTTCTTTCTCCCGTAGAGTCTTTGCTTTTTTTTCTTCCCAAATCACTCCTCTCCACCTTTCAGTTCTTGGCCTGTTAACTCCATTCACCCTCCCCGTCTTAACTCAAGCATTACTTCCTCAAGAGTATCTTTCGTGACTTCCCTGTCAAAATCAAATCCCCAATACAGGGGACCTCTACTTTAGAGTCACCATTACAGCTGCAATGTCACATTTATTTGTGTGACAACTGGACAAACATCTTTCTTCCCAACTAGGTAGTCAGCTCCATGCTGATAGGAATCATGCCTCTGTCCTCAGCAAAGAACCCCTGGCCTGGTTCATAGTGAGCATGCTACAATATGAAATGATTGAAAGAGCTGCATGACTGAGTACTCGACCTGGGCTTGAATCTTGGTTCCACTACTTCCTTAGTTTTGTGAATTCAGGTGAATCATTTAATCTATCTGAAACCCAGTTTCCTAATATATACAAAAAGGAGAACCTAGTAACTACTTCCCAGGGACTCGTGAGGATATATAAAATGTGATTGAGTGCCTGAAGCAGCCACAGTATCTGGTACACAGTTGGTATTCAGAAAATGGTGATTGTCATCATCCAAATGTCTCTCCTGTTTGAGAATCTTCCCCATGGGAAGTCTAGGTATCCTACTTAATATCTTTGTAAAGTTTGTGTTTTTTTTTTTTTGCAACCAAAAATTCCATATGAAATGTAGCTCAAGTCCAGACTCACAAAATAGAAACATCAAGATTCAAACTTAAACCACTCCTGCTTCTAACATTTTTTGAGTGCTTACTATGTGTCAAGAGCCATTCTAAAAACTTTACAAACGTTAACTCCTTCAATTCTATGAGCGCATCAGTCCTAGGAGGTGTGTACCATTATCCCTTTCTTACCCAGAGGAAACTGAGACACAGTAAGGTTAAGTAACTTGTCCAAGGTCACACAGCTAACAAGTGCCAGAGCCAGGACTCATACCTAAATGGTCCTGAAACGTCCTTGCTTTTAATCATTGCATTCTGCTATTTTATTTGGCTTTTGTAGAATTTGCTCCCAAAGCAATGAAAAAGTGAACAAACAAAATGCTTGTAACATGTCATATAAACCATCCCCCTATCATAAGATCAAAATTATATAAAAGAGAAAAATGTACATAAGCTTGTCACTTGCATAGAATAAAGACATGAAAAGAAAAAGCCATAATAATTGAATGATAGAAATTTGGATAGTTAAAACATTTTCTTATTTTGTTTTTCACCTGTTTCCTACATTTTCAACACTTTAAAATGTGTTGCTATTATAATCTAAAGAAACATAAACATTATTTTTTTAAAAAAGAAAAGTAAGTGAATTTCTAATTAGAAAAAAAGAAAAAGGAAGAAAACAAGAGTACTGCTGTAATCAAAATTCAAACAGGGAAATAAGAAGAGGGAGCATGGATGATGCTTGTCTACCTGAAGCATTGCTCCAGGAGACCTGTCTTGGGGCCCTGTGCTCCAGGCCCATCAGACAGCTGCAATTCGCATTCTTAGGCAAAGATCTCTTGGAATTTTAAATAATAACCCTGGGCCACAATTAGCCCACTCAGTATTGAGCAATAATGGGTAGTAGTAGCTGAGCCTGAACTCTCTGTCTTCACTACAGTGGAAAAACCCTAGACTGAACTGGGATAGAGAAGACATCTTGGGCTCTAGCCTGAGGTTGACTGCCCCCTCAAGGTGTGCCTTGGAGAATCTGTGGCCCCTTCATTAGCCAAAAAGCAGCAGCCATGTCTGCTTGATCACCCTTTAAACGTGCTGTGAGCTGCAAGCATACCAGCAAATCCTCACTCTTGCAAGTGCTTTGCATAGCTTGACTCATTTAAGCCTCAGGACAACACCGCAAGTTAGATATTATTATCATCCCAATTGTACAGATAAAGAAACTGAGGTACAGAGCAGTTAAATAACCTGCCCAGGGCCATAGAATTAAGTGTAGAACTAGGATTCTAATTTAAGGAGTCTGACCGTCTAGTGAATTTATGTGGCAATAACCACTATGCCAAGGGACATCTCTCAGCTTTGAATAAGATACGGTATGGAAAAGAGTTTGGAACAGTTCAAAACGCTGGATAAATGTCACTTGTTAGTTTGGGACATTTTAAAGGAAGTGGCTTCTTGGGCAATGTTTCAGAATGGCTGGTAATTAGGAAATAGGTATAAATCTAGAAAGTTCTGAACATAAATAAAACATTTCCATCTCTCATTGAAAAAAACTTTCCACCAAGGACACAGGAGAGTCCCCAAACAGGAAAGAGATACTCCTTATTCAATAATGTGGTGGTTTTGTGTTTATATGTTCGGCTCCAGTAATCTGCCTTTCGGACAGTAGATATATCATGTAATTAGGTTTAGGAAAATTGCTTGGGCAAAGTGACCTTGAAGCTCCTTTCCTCCCTCCATCCATGCATCTATCTATTCATCAATGCAGTGAGCAGAAATTTGGTGCAAGTCCTATACTTGATCCATACTCCAAAGTTGGGTTACTTGCTCTGATGTGGTATTGTTTCCAAGCCTCCTGGGTGGAAGAAACCTAAAAAGGTCACCTGGTTCACTCATTTGCCCACTTACCCTCTTCCACCTAAACTATCCCCAACAGATAGGATGTGGTTCTGTTTGCAGGGACCTCCAGGCAAGATGCGTCTCTGGCCTTCCCCTGGGAAGCCCTCATCAGCCCTTAATCAAAATGTTTAGGGCCCGTGGGAGAGCTAGCGGAGTCCCGCTTATCAAGGTGGGATTTATTTACTTACTGTCCAAATCATTTCACATCAGATTGGCTTGTTGTTCCCTCCGCTCACCGGCTGGAGAGCGGAGGTGACAGATCACACCACTGCTTATTTAACCAACCATAAACAGGACTTGAAAGAAGGGAGTTTGCTGCACATAGCTCATCTTTGGAGAATCCGACACGCATCAAGTTGATGGCAAACTTCTGTTCATTATCTGAAAACACTTTTTCTACTTTTTTTTCTTTTTCTGTTCCCAAAGGAAGATGTTTACTTCAGAAAACTCACTCGTTTTACCCCACTGAGAGGAGAGGAGGGTGGATCTAAGCCAGAAAGTTGCTTCCAGCCCAAATGGCCTGGGCTGTTGAAGGTTTTCCTTCCCACCGACATGGGCCTAAGGATAGGAGGCAGTTTACCAAATTTTATGGCTCCCTAAGTCTATCCAGTTTGCCAAAACCTCCTAAACTAACTGTTTTAATGGCATGGTTGGTTATCTACAACTTGGATGGCAATATGGCTAGATTATAGTGGAGCTGTAATAGCTTCATAAAGGTTGATCTTTATGACATTCAGGGGAAATATGTCATCCCATATTTCATGGAATAACTTCAATTTAAAGCGTTTTGTTCTTTTTTTCATTGCTCAAATGGAAGGAGGGGGTGAAGTAGTGGACATCCAAGAAGCTAAAGAAATAAATTCAAGAGAAAAAAATTAGGATAAAGATGCTGAGGAAAATTACCCGGATTAGGACAATAAAACTAGATGGGAAGGTAAAATAATAGCAGAAGAAAAAATGGAAGGATAACCCAATGCTTTGTTTAATGACCATTCTCAAGACAAGCTGCCCCAATTGAAAGGGACTGAAAGTGAGGTCACAGACACACACGCAGCATGGCAGGGTGCACACATGCATGCTTACCCTTTTCTAGAACCAGTGAACGAGATTTTAATGTTGTAATCTCCCCTTTTGGAGGAAAAGACGACCTTTTGGTTAAGGACAAATGTTCAACACCATGTCCACGCTCACGCCAATGTCCACAGGGGTCCATGTGTGATGCGAGAAGCCATGGGTTCCCTGAATGACCGAGGCCGGTGGAGACATCTGCAGTCCCTTTTCCTTTGGACCCCCTGGGAGTCAAAGCTGATCAGGCCCTCGACTCACCTGCTGTGTGGCATTATTTTTTTATTTTTTAAATGTTTTAGATGGTGTCTCTCTCTGTCACCCAGGCTGGAGTGCAGCGGTGCGATCTCGGCTCACTGCAACCTCTGCCTCCCGGGTTCAAGCTATTCTCCTGCCTCAGCCTCCCGAGTAGCTGGGACTACAGGTGCCCGCCACCATGCCCAGCTAATTTTTTGTATTTTTAGTAGAGATGGGGTTTCACCATGTTAGCCAGGATGATCTCGATCTCCTGACCTCATGATCCACCTGCCTCAGCCTCCCAAAGTGCTGGGATTACAGGCGTGAGCTGTGTGGCATTATTTAGGGAAAGTCCTTTAACACTTGTTGAGACATTCTTGGAGCCCTGGAAATGTGAGACCTTCTTGGGGCCCTGGGAACTCTCACCATTTCTTATGCATTCTCAAATGATTGGGGTGATGAAAAGAGTCCAAATTATCCATCCCATGGTCTGAAGGGCCAGAGTGCAAACGCCTGATGCACATACTCAACGTGACCATAAATCCCCTGGTTTTCTCCTCTGTCCATAGGATGAGAATAATAGTCCCCACACTGGGTGCCTGTGAGAGTTAGGTGCCTGGGACACAGTACATCCTCATCAAATGTGAGCTCTCTACCACCTTTACAAGATGGTTAGTCAGGGTCTTATCAGAATTTGATATTTCGAATGAAAAAATGTTTCTGTGTTTCTCTACTGTCTACCAAATATGAAAAGGCATAGCAAACAGTTTCGTGGGTCCTTAATAAGCTAAACATAGAATTACTATATGACCCAGCAATTCCACTCCCAGGTATCAACCCAAAAGAATTAAACACAAAAACTTGTCTAGAAAAGTTCACAACAGGCTTAGTCACAATAGCTAAAAAGGTGCAACAACTCAAATGTCCAACTGACGAATAAACAAACAACATGTGGTATATCTGTGCAATGGAATAGTATTCAGCCATAACAAAGAGGGAAGTGTGATACACGCTGCGGCATGGAGGGGCCTTGAAAACTATCTTTGGTGAAAGTGAAAGGCACAGAAGGTCTATTTTGGAATAGCCAAATCCATAGAGACAGAAAGCAGATTAGTAGCTGCTGAGGGCTGGGCAGAGAAAGAGAGGGTGACCATCTTGTGGGTACAGGGTTTCCTTTCGAGATGATGATGTTTTGAAACTAGATTGTATGACGATTGAACAATGTTATGAACGTACCAAATGCCACTGAATCGGACACTTTAAAATGGTAAATTGGATGTTATGTGTATTTTACGATGATTTTTAAAAGGTTATAGCAATGAAGGCTCTATAATACTGCAGTGTCATCGTGGAGGATGCCGTTTGAAAAATCTGCAGTGAGCCTTCTTGGATGACACATGGCTGTGTAAAGATGTATTTTTCCTCCGGCTCCATTTCGTACCAGCTCCTGAGGCCCCCGGCACACAGTCTGTGTGTAGCCTCCTGCCCACCCGTCGGGTCTCCACGCTGCTAGACAAAGCCCCTTTCTTACTCCGTGGTCAGGAGGAGCTGAGGGCACCGTGGATGCGTAAACATGGGCAGGAAGGCAGGCCGCCTGAAAGCTTCCAAAAGCCCCTTTCTGACAAGTGAAAAATGTTGGTGACTTGAAGTCACAGGGCCAGGCTTTTAACAACCCTCAGCGTATTTATTTAACCCAGTAAATACGTTTATTAGCAAGGCCGCCTCCTTTGTAGAGCAGGTAATGGATTCCCCATATGTTTCTGCTTTGCAGGCCGGGCCACGACGGCTCACACCTCGCTCTCCTCCTGCCTCCGAGGTTAAGACCTCGGTGTGTTGCCACTTTCGGCCTCAGCCCCTCGTGTGTGTAATTACAGCCGTTCCCAGAGAGAAGGAAATCCCCGGGCTTCGGCCTTAACTAGCCCCGGCGTTACACTACCAAAGGGCATGTCTCAGAGGGGGAAGAGAGAGGTAATAAAGCTTTCACGTTATTAACTTTTTCCTTCTGAAAAGAAGCCTGAAAAATGCCATTGCACCACATTAAAGGCCGTATGTGAGAGCCGCCACCGCCTAATGAGGGGCTCGGACCCCGGGCCACATGCGAGGGCTTTGGGGGCCCCTTTTAACTGAACCTTGATGTCGTGCCAGCCCTGGGGGTGCGGCCATGAGGTGGGGAGGGGGTTGGGCTGTGCCCACCCCTGCTCGGGGCTGAGGTTTGCACCTGACTCAGGGGATGCAGGCCCAGACAAGCAGGATGCCACCCAGGACCAGCAGAGGTGAGTGGGGCCCGGATCTCAGATGAATGAGCAGGGTTCCTCTCTAGAGCCCTGTGTGGAGGTGACAAGGAAGCAGCAGGAACAGAGTGACCAGGGGGAGGACAGGTGTGTCTAGCACTGGGCTGCCCACCTGAAGGTGTGATGAGCCACAGGCCACATCTGGGCCAATGAGCCACATGTGGGCCGAGGACCCCCCAGAGCACGACGCAGGAGTTGGGACCACCAGAGTGAACTGCAGTGTCACCGAAGACGCAGCTTCCAGATCTTTCCCCCAGATCTCAGGCATCCTACCCCATAGGCCAACAGAAAGATTTTTAACCATTTTAACATGTTTTGATGTTTTGAGACTGGGTAAGATTTCTTGCCTGGGCATTCCAGGGAAATCCAGCGCTCATGCTTATGCGTCGTGAGGCCGTGGAAAGACACAGGACTGTTGGAGATGACACCCAGGTGTGTGCTAAGAGCTCGGGCGGGCCCCTCTGCTCTCACTCTCCTGAGGCCACAGTCTGGGCTCCCTCGTCCACACTGCAAGGCTGTGTGTGCTGAGAAGGGCTAGGGGGCAGGCAGGAGTCAGGAACCAGGGTGAGCAGCTCTCCTTCCTTCACAGTCCCTCCCCACGCCTCCCCAGCACTGGGCTAGGAGAAAAGTGGGCAAAGTCCTGTGGAGGGTGGAGAAAACTAGCCTAGCCCCTAGAGTTTGCTTCCTGGTGCAGGGGATGTTTGCCTTCTTCTGGTCCTCTGGTCTGTTGGACTATTTTGCAGGCACCCTGCCTGGTCCAGGGAGACTTCACCAGCTCCACTCTTGGAAATCTGTGTCTCCCGTCTGAAAGCTTCTGGGGATAGGGGCCGCTTTCCTATTTACTTGCCCCACCATAATACTGACTTTATGGCCTCATCAAAACAAGCCCTGATCTGGAACCACTGCGTGTAGTTGTGCAGGCTGGGTGCGGGCAAGTTCCTGGGATGGTGAGGCGATCGTGTTCACTATGGTGTGAATGGAGCCCCGCCACGTCCCACAGCCATGCAATGAGAAAGCCCTGCTGATCTGTCCAAATTCTGGCATGGGAGAGCTGGCAGTGCCCATTGCACAATGAATGCACAGATGTGGAGACCAAGACCCAGGGAGAACAGGGTTCAATTGGTATTGAATTCGCCCTTGCAATGAACAAAGCAGTTTTGCACACCTTTTCTCATTTAACGCTCTTTGTGAGAGCACACAGGTGTTAATAATCCTATTTTACATACAGGTAAAGTGAGAACCACCCGGGCAAGGGACTTGCCCAACTGCATGTGGCCGGGCATGGCAGGACCAGGGCCTGGGTCTCCTGATATCTCCTCTAATGGTCTTGCCACAAGACATGGGCCACCTGCGAGGCTGCTAGACTCATCCCCAGCCTTTGTAGGTGAAGGATGTTTAGGCATCTCTGCATCATCTGTATCTGTGTACTCCTTGAAGGTAGCTGCTCTCCTCAACCTCAACAGATAACTCTGCGTTTAAATGTCAACTCTGCTAGCTGACTCCTCATAGGCAAAGCACTGATCTCATTGTCCATTTATTCATTCAACAGGTATTTATTAGTGGTTGCTGTGTGCCAGCCATGGCACTGGGGATGTCATGGTAAACAAAGCACACACAAATCCCTGCTCATGAAAACGCTTTACAGGTCTGGGCACACAACAAGTGCTCAATAGTGGTTGGTTAGGGCCTGTAGCTTTGACCTTCATCTGCCCATTATCCTCGTGCTCTGTAGAGACAGCCATGCTGTGAGCTCTCCCCAGAGAGAAGGAGAGGCACTCACAGCCCAGCTCTGGAGAGCCTCAGCCCTTGGAACTGGCAAGGGAGGCGTGGGAAAACCACCCGTTCGTCCCGTGCTTACATTTCCTGGGCCGGAGTGGCTGAACATCGCATGCTTGAGCTGGTGATAACGTATTCCACCACTAAGTGCTCTGAACATCAATGCTTGCCTGGGTGAATGATTTTCCCTGTTACACCAAGCATGTCCTATACCAGGCACTGTGCATTGTTTATTTATGGGGTCAAAGGAAGAAGGGGGATGCCAGTTTCCTCCTATGTGAGATGGGAGCGAGGTAGACCTAGAGACAATCCACAGAGAGATGGCAGTCATTCGATGTAAGTGTCTGTGTGAATCACCTCAAGGTGCTTGGCATATCGTAGGCAATAAGAAAAACGTGCTACCTATTTTTATGTTTTTTATGATTGGAGACATAAAATTCCAATCACGGAGGGAACATGTCTTTGCTTGCAACAGACTCAAATGTCTGCCAAACTGCTCCGTGATGTTTTCTGGGAGGGACTTCACAGGTAAGATCTAGGATATAAAGGCTTGGAGGTCTTGGGGTAAGCTTCCCCCCAGCTCTGCCCCACACATACAAGTACTCATGGCAAAACTCTAGTCTTCATTAATCAAGAACAGCCTCTGACTTTTCCAGGAAGCTTTTTTGACATTTGAAAGGAAGAAATCAGAACAGGCACGCTGAGGCTTCTAGGCTAGAATTCTCCAAGGCAACAGCTGTTTGCATGTTTGTCTATCAAAGCCTGCATGTTAGCACAGTTGAGGTTTGGAAGATGAGAAGAATTTATGGGTAGCAGGGAATAGGTAAATGCAGAGAACAGCCTCTTAGAAGCATGCTCAAGAAGAAAAATATTAAACTCAAGTGAAAAAAATGACTTTCTCCTCCAGTGGTCTTCTCATGCTTGGACTGGATCTGAATTACTTTAGAAGTAAGAGAAGGTGAGGTTGTGATGCTTTTGGAAATTTTAAAGGGGCTTTGTTTGAACTCTCAGGAGCACTCAGGGAATGATGCAGCTTCATGGCATGGAGCAGAATCAGACATTAACACAAATAATTTCAACCTACTAAGCGGTGGGTCAGATAGAGGTAAATGTTTGAGCAGAAAATCCTGGCTAGGATATGTGAGTTGCTTTGAAAGCAGGTGTGAATTTGTTGTTAGAAAAATAGGAAAAGGCACTTTAGGCAAAGGGAACAATCAGTGCAATTGCATTTTGGCACAGAGGAGCCTAATAGGATTGGGGGATGTTGAGTAAGAGGATGTGGTTGGAGAAGGAAATGGCAGGGAAGAGCCTTGTAAGGAAGATCTCAAAGGAGTGGATCTAACAACTCTAGTTACTGGGCAAGTATTGAGGATATTTTTTTAGGTAGGGTATGTAATAAGATGTGTGTTTTAAAAATGTATGCGAGAGGCTGCTTCCACTGTTAATCTGGTTTGATAATTGCGAAAGCCTCTGTCGACAACAAAGATCTGAATGTTAGTGAGCAACAAGCCGACAAAATATTCCCCACACAATGACAAAAGCATATACAAAGGTGGCTGAAACATAGCTGGGTTTGAAATGCCTCTGTCTGTCCTGTCTGGGAGTGAGGCTGTCGAATCCCTCCCCTCCTCTGGGGAGGCTGTCTGTCCTCATGGGAGCCGCAGGTCCAATATTTTTGTGCTTGAAAACCCTGCCCTCGTCCACCCCAGGCGGCTCACAGCTTTCAACAGAGGATTACTTAGAATAACAAGTTAATGACTGTCCTTGGATTAGCTGAAGTTTGCTGGGAGAAGCAGACATGCTCAGAGTTCATTTCACTCAAGTCTGACGTGGGTGAGTTGAGAAAACACGTTGCAAATTCCATCCTAGGAAAACAAGAAAAGAATTCTTCACGATGTCAAAGCAGCATCACCGGAAGTGTGTGTGAAAATGGAGCTTCCTTTAAAACTATAAAAGCATTTGTGCCTATCTTCTGAGTGTGGCAGAGTGTCTGGGTGGCAGACCTACCTGGGAAATGACAAGCAGGCCATGGGCTCTGTTGTTCTTAGGGTCAAATGATCTGGGGCCCCACAGGAAACAGCTGGGGGTTTAAGTGTGAACCTGGAGTGGGGAGACGTGGATCAGGGGTGGAGTAGGGGGCAGAGGGAGACAGAGGAGAGGCACCGCTGACTCTACTCAGTCAACACCAGAGACCACCAACAGCCCAAGCTTCTAGCAGCTCCCTGCTCCCAGCCCTCCAGCCAAACCTGTCTGATTCTCTTCTAGGTTCTGCAGGTGTCTATGCTCCTTCATTCATTCACGCAATAAACATTTGATGTCCTGAACTGACTAGGGTTCTATTGGGAGGATCAAATGGCACAAAACCTCTCCACCAAATGCTAAATCTGGAGCCTGAAAAGCCCTTCAAGGGCACCATTCACTATGGAAAAAATATATAGAAACAAATACCACAAGTCGGGGAGCTATGCATAGACTTACAGCCTGTCTTTGTCTTAGAAAATCTCCAGGGCATTGAGGAGACTGAGTCAGCTGGCATTCTAGGAGCTAGGGGCAACTAGACCTAGACCCTGCAGGACAAGCAGAATGTGGCAAGTGGAAGGAAGCAGGGCAGGGAAAATAGCAACACCTTGCTTACCGGGAGCCAGCCCCTACCACCTGCTGTTTCGAATCTGAACCAAGCAAGGCCATTCCTATTCTAGTAGGAGGTGGAGCAAGAAGTCCGATTCCTTCCTCCTCATAAGCACCATGATTGCAAAGGCTCGGAGTTTTTTTTTTTTTTTTTTTTTTTAACTCATAAAAGATCATTTTTTTTTGTTTTGTTTTTGTTTTTGTTTTTGAGACGGAGTCTTGCTCTGTCGCCCAGGCTGGAATGCAGTGGCGTGATCTCGGCTCACTGCAAGCTCCGCCTCCCAGGTTCACACCATTCTCCTGCCTCAGCCTCCTGAGTAGCTAGGACTACAGGCGCCCACCACCACACCCGGCTAATTTTTTTTATTTTTTATTAGTAGAGATGGGGTTTCACTGTGTTAGCCAGGACGGTCTCCATCTCCTGACCTTGTGATCTGCCTGCCTTGACCTCCCAAAGTGCTGGGATTACAGGCATGAGCCACCGTGCCCAGCCGACTTATTTCTTAAGACTGAATAATATTCCATTGTGTGTCCAGCCCACATTTTCTTTATCCATTCATTGGTCAATGGACATTTAAGTTGTTGCCACATCTCAGCTATTACGAATAATTCTGCAGTGACACAAGAGTGCAGATATCTCGTTGAGTTCCTGATTTTACTTCTTTGGGATATATACCAAGAAGTGGGATTGCTGGATAATATGATAATTCTATTTTTAATTTTTTGAGGACACTTCAGCCTGTTTTCTAGAGCTGCTGTCCCATTCTACATTCCCACCAAAAGTGTTTTAAGTGTTCCAATCTCTCCACATTTTTGCCAACCCCTATCTTTTGTCTTTTTGATAATAGTCATCCTAATAGGTGTGAGGTGGTATCTCACTGTGGTTTTGATTTGCATTTCCCTGATAATTAATGATGTTGAGCATCTTTTATCTGTTGACCATTTGTATGTCTTCTTTGGAGTGGCTCAGAGAGGTTAGGTGACTTGTGAAAGTTATAGCTCAGTGGCCGAGTGGAGACCTGAACCCAGTTGATGTGATGCTTGTCCATGTTCCTCTTTACTTATCCATGAAGAAGGGGTCTTCTGGATTGAGCCAGGAGGTGAACTTAGAGAGGCAGTGGGAGATAAGGCTGGGGGGTCCTTCTGGTACAGCCAGAGGTCTGGTCTGGAAGGCCCTGCAGAAGAATTGCCAGGGATGCAGTAGGAAATGGGGATTTCCAGTCCCCACTAGGAAGGAAGAGCTTAACTAAAGCATGGGCTCCGGCTGCTCCTGAGCCCTGTCCTTCCTCCCTGGCCTTGTTGGAGACTCTGGCTCTGAAATCGGAAGTTCCTGAGGGATAAGAGTCAGGAATAGTCTGTTGAGAGTTGTATACAGGAAGTGAAAAACACAGGTAGAGCTGGAAATAGTGTAAACAGATGACCCTGTGCTTTTCCCTGGCCTCCTCAGGGGCAGCTTGGCCTGGCAGCCTGGCAGGGGACCTCAGCCTTCAGGGGCCTCAAGCTCTTGAAAAGAGCCACTGAGATGCTCTCTGCTGATGGCCTCCTAGCTCTGAGTCCTCCCGGGCTGGGAGGCTGTGGACATCCACTTTGTAATGAAGTGTATCTATTAAGGTAGCCCAGAGAGGCAGCAAACACTCAGGTTTTGAAGCCAGAGATAACTTGGGCTTGAATCTCACCTCATTCCCTTATTGGTTATATGACCTCAGGCAAGCAGCTAGATAGAGCTGGGCCTCAGCTGTCCATTCATTACCAAGAGGGCTGGAAGGTGGAGAGGTTGGGGTTATAAGATCTGTATCTCAGGATGTTCACTGAGTTCACATTTTTAAATTGAGCTACTACTCTGCACAGGCACTGTGCAAGATGCTAGAGATTTTGAAGGGTTCATGAGATAGCAGATAACATAGGTTCTTAACCAATGATGGTCACCCTTCCTAGCACATAGTAGGGCTTCATAAATGCATTTATAGTAGCTGGCCTCTAAGATGGCCCCCAATTACATTACTCCTACTTTTTTTTTTTTTTTTTTGAGACAGAGTTTCACTCCTGTTGCCCAGGCTGGAGTGCAGTGGCACAATCTCAGCTCACTGCAACCTCTGCCTCCTGGGTTCAAGCAATTTTCCTGCCTCAGCCTCCCGAGTAGCTGGGATTACAGTCATGCACCACCACGCCCGGCTAATTTTGTATTTTTAGTAGAGACGGGGTTTCTCCATGTTGGTCAAGCTGATCTCAAACTCCCGAACTCAGGTGATCCACCCACCTCCACCTCCCAACGTGCTGGGATTACAGGTGTGAGCCACCACACTTGGCCCCCAGTTACATTACTTCTTAGTATTTATGTTCCTGGGTAATCCCCTCTCACACTGAATCAGGACTGGTCCCATATGATCCAAAGAATAAGCAGAAGTGATGATATGTGACCTCTGAGCCAAAGTCATAAAAGCACTGTAGGTTCTGCCTTGGTATCTTGGACCACTCAGTCTAGGGAAGGCCAGCCACCATGCTATGGGAATACTCAAGCCACCCTGTAGAGAGACTCACGTGGAAACTCACTGAGGCCTCTTTCCAACTTGCCAGCTATGTGAGTGGCCACTGTGGAAGGGGGTCCTCCAGCCTCAGTCAAGCCTTCGGATGACAGCAGTTCAGCCATCGCCTGACCATAACCTCAGGAGAGAACTACCTCACCGCTCCCAAATTCCTTTCCCCCAGAAACTGTGAAAGGTGATATACATGGCTATGGCTGCTCTGGACCACAGGGTTTTGAGATGACTTGTAATGCAGCAATAGATACTTATATTCAATACCTAGAAATGACCACCCCCTCCAATCCTGAGGCTCCCCCAGGCCCCTCTGACCATTTTACTTGCCAACCCCAGTTCTGGGGCCACACTTCCCTATCTCTCTTCATCTCTGTTGGTTTCCTGGGCTGTTGAGAGCTACACTCAAGGCAAATCTCACTGCTCACCCACTACTCCCTGCTCTCCAACATCTTGGCTCCCAGAATTTGAGCATGCCCACTATGGCTGCCTGTCTTTCTCCATGTCTACATTCTCTACTGGCTTCATACCTTCCATCCCTCCCACAGCTCCCTCACCTGCTGCTTCACAGGTAAAGTGGAGGTCACCCACAGGGCTCGTTAGCCTCCATGGCACCTTTCCTCTTCTTTCTTTACAAATCTGTGTTTTCAGATCTGACAAGTGGATCTGACTGCCACACTGATAGACCTGGAATCCCTCCAGTGCTCTCCAATGCAGTGGGATACAACTGTAGTTCCTTTGTGCGGCGGTTAAGGAGGCACAACCCCCTCCCCAGACCTTATACTCTAGTGATTCCAGTGTGCTTAACCTCGGTTGGTAACTATTTTTACTTGATCTTACTGTTTTGAAAGATTTCGAGAAGTAGAAAATGAAGGTTGGGGAGGCATAGCAGGGACCCTATGTCAGAGAAGGTGGCTCCCCTAATCATGAAGGGCCTTTTGTGCCACACGGAGGAAACTTGAAAGTGCTTCTGCAGGTAATGGGGAGCCATCAAAGGCTTTAGAGCCAGGGCAAGAGTGTGGAGAGATAAATAATGAGCACATCAATGGTTTTACTTCATTAATGATGATTAGCAAAGTGCTAGGAAGCAGGTCTTTGGCACCTTCCTCTGGTCTTATTTACACCTGCACATCTACTCCTGTGCTCTCTTTTTTTGCAAAGGTCAGGGAGAACTTCGGGAGGCCCTTTCCTAAAAAACCGTGAATACGCGCAGGAGTCTGCAGCGGGCTCAGTTATGTCTAAGGCACTGGAGGAAATTGTCATGGATTTGACTCTCCCTCGGGAGGCAGAAGAAGGCAAAGAGACTGGGTCCAATCCTAACTCTGCTGATAGTATACTGAGGAACGACCCTCAGTAAATTCAAGACTCTTCCTGAGCCTCCATGTCCTCATTTGCAAAATGGGGTAACACTGCCTCCCCCACAGAGAGGAGATACTGTACACCCAGCAACTGGAACACAGTGGGAGTCAGTAAGCACTACTTAACACCAATCCTCATACCACAGTGACAGCTGGAGACAGGGAAAAATCCCATACACACAACAGCTCAAAAACATCCCTTTAGAAAAAAAAAAGAGAGAGAGAGAGAAGAGACAGGAGCATTGGACAGGAAGAAAGGAATTAGTGCTGTCAACGGCAGGTCGGTTTGTCTTAAAACCTTTCAAATTGTGGAAAGGACTAGGAAATGTATCTCCTGGGGCAGGAGGCAGTGGTTGAGAAGGCTCTGCACCCCCACAACTGCCTGTACGGGCAGCCAAGTGTGCAACTGCTCAACTGAGTGGAGCATTCCAGAGGAGGGTGCACCTGGGGCTTGGGAAGCCTCCACAAAGAGGTGAGCCAGTGGCCACAGGCTGCAGCCCCGCTGGGAGCAGGCAGGGTGAGGCTGGGAAAGAAGGGACGCGGAAAGAGGCGGGAGAGCACAGTGAACCCTGGATACATTATGCTAAATGAAAGAAGCCAGGCACGAAGACCACATAGGGAATGATTCCATTGATAGGAAATGTCCAGAACAGGCCACACCAGAGAAACAGAAAGTAGATGAGTGTTTGCCTAGGGCCTGGGAAGAGTGAGAAGCGACAGCCAATAGGGCCAGGGTTTCTTTCCAGGACAGTGAAAATGGTTTACAATTGATTGCAGCAATGGTTGTGCAACTCTGTGACTATAGTAACCATGGAATTATATGCTGTAAGTGGGTGAACTGTATGGTATGTGAATAATATATCAATAAAGCTATTTTTTTTATAAAAAGGCCCAAGATCCAAGGGAAAGGCATATATACCTTGATGTGTTTGCCACAGAAACACAGCAGGTTCAAGAAAAAAAAAAAAAACAACTCCAGGAAGTTCTCCTAGTGCAACCTGCTCATTGTCCCAAGTGGATGACTGAGACCCAGAGAGGCAGAGTGACTCATTCCTAGTCCCACTGCTACTTGCGGCTGTGGGAAAAGCAGTACCATGCACCGAGCCGTCCTGGGGTGCCAGGCACTGTATGGGAGTCGCCTGAGTTACCTAAGCATTCCAGCCACACCACCCTGTGGGGTGCAAGCCACGCTTTCTATGTGAGTAATGCAGGTGGGGTCACAGGACTGTTAACTGGGAGAAATGAATGTCAAATTCCTATTTGATTCCATTGTTTTAAATCACTGAATCTCTGAAGAGTCAGGATTTTTACCATTGTGCAGTAGAAAATCCTAAAACCCAGATGTAGGCTTTTTCCTTCTAAACTGTCTTGTGTGGATAGTCCCTAGGGCTGAGGTCCAATGGCGACAACGCGAGAATAATAGGCTGTGGCTAGGGTATTTTGAGTACAAGAGCTAGGTAGGCCTTTGGAGATATGTGGGCTGAATGCGCTTTTATATATGTGGTGTGTGAAGCCCAGAGAGGGCAGGAGGTTTCCCCAGGGTCACACAGCAAGGCAGCAGTGGTGGAGCTGAGATACGAACTGGGTCTTTGGACTCTCTGTCCAATGCTCCTTCCATGCAGCTTGCGGCCCCCTTCAGTGAGGATGGGTGTAGGGAAGAAGAAGGCAGGGGCTGCTGGATGTGCTGGCAAGGTGGACAGCTCCACGGGAAAGCGGAGGGGCAGGCAGCCATGTTCGTGGGAAGTGCAACCCATGTAAGGCGGGAGGGACAGCGCTGTTAGAAAACAGGTGGAGGGAGGGGAGATGAGGAGGAGTCCAAGAGTGCTGTGGTTCCTCTGAGCTCCCTGGATCCTAATGATGGCCCGCCCTTTGGGACCAGGGGAGGGAGGTTGCTGATAAAATCCCCAGTGGCACATGGTCTTTGACCTGCCAGTGCCAGTGAGGACTCTGCTCAGCTTTCCCAAAGCCTCAGGGAAGGAAGGGGAGGCGTGTCTCCCCACAGCACATGGTCGTGGGGTTTGATTGGCTCTGACCTAGGTTCTAGCCTTAGTTCTGTCTCTGACTCACTGTGAAGTCTCAGGCAAGTTCTTTCTGTTTCATCATGTGTAAGATGGGAATAACGATCACAGCCATCCTGTGAGAGGTGAGGATTTGAGGAGCCTGTCTGTGAAATCTGGGCACTGCTGTTCTGTGACTGTGATGGGGGTTTTGCTGCGTGTAGGCTGCTCCCAGCTGCAGAAACACATTTCCTATCTCAGTTTTAATGCCTTCTGGAGCCGACGCCCCTCTGATTGAAGCCAAGACCCCCATAGGGAGGGGATGCCATCTCCCAGGATAGAGAATGAAACTGCGACCTCCCAGGAGAAGGGCCTGGCTCTTATTCACCTTGGGGCCTGCCTCTGCAGAGTGGGGGCCCATCAAGCCCCAGGAAGGAAAAGGGAAGGCAACTAACATTAGGTAGCATTTTTTTTTTTGAGACAGAGTCTCACTTTGTTGCCCAGTGTAGAGTGCGGTGGCCTGATATCTAGTCACTGCAACCTCTGCCTCTTGGGTTCAAGTGATTCTCGTGCCTCAGCCTCCCAAGTAGCTGGAATTATAGGCACCCACCACCACACTCCACTAATTTTTGTATTTTTAGTAAAGACGGGGTTTCACTGTGTTGGCCAGGCTGGTCTTGAACTCCGACCTCAGGTGATCCGCCCACCTCGGCCTCCCAAAGTGCCAGGATTACAGGCATGAGCCACCGCGTCCAGCCACATTATATAGCATTTGTCCTTATACTCTCCAGAGCCATTATTCCCATTCTTTTTTCCCAATATGATTAAGTGATTTTATTTAGTCTGAATTTCCAAAGTCAGTGAAAGTATGCAGTCATTGTAATGGTATTATCAGTGATAGAATCACTCAATAACCTTTAGCAAAACTAAAACTAAAACAAAAAAGCAGGATTGGGAGGATATTAAAACATCAAAATATTTTTTAAAACAGAAGCAAACCCAGGAAATTAAAAGTATTTATGCAAGTTCTAAGGACATACTTTAAAAATTTCACTTGACACAATATACAATGATAAATGGCAAACATTTTATAAGCCAGTATGATTGAGATTGACCTACAGGTATCATGAGCTATTCCTTTATAAGAAAATTTATCTAAATGATCTTTCCCAGAACTTCCTATGATGGCTAGGAAAAGAAACTGAGGCAAGGTGTGGTGGCTCACGCCTATAATCCCAGCACTTTGGGAGGCCAAGGCAGGCGGATCACTTGAGGTCAGAAGTTCGAGACCAGCCTGGCCAATATGGTGAAATCCCATCTCTACTAAAAATACAAAAGTTAGCTGGGCATGGTGGCATGTGCCTGTAATCCTAGCTACTTGGGAGGCTGAGGTAGGAGAATTGCTTGAACCTGGAGGCAGAGGTTGCAGTGAGCTGAGATCATGCCACTGCACCCCAGCCTGGGCAACAGACTCCGTCTCAAAAAAAAAGAAAAGAATAAAAACTGGAATACGAACCAAAAGGCAGAATTTTCAGTTGACACTAACTAAATGACAACTTTCCCAGGTCAAGGATAAAGGCTTAGACATCTTCATTTATTTTACCATGGTTAGATTGGTGCATTCCCCTTAATCTCTCAAGTTTTTGAAAGGACTAAGATTTAAATATCATTCTGTTTTTATAATCTCCATAGCTATTATGGCTCCCATTTTAAGTAAATCTGTATTCTAAAAATTAGGATGCCAAGGCTTAAAAAGGTGAAGAAATGTACTCAAGGTCATTTGGCCAGTGGAGAGAGGGGCCTGGAAGGAAACCCAGTTCTGCACAAGCCTGAATCCCATCCTCTTTCCAAAGCTGCCCAGAGCAGGGGAGGCTGGAGGTATTTGCCTGCAGTCTGATTTTGTTCAGAGCTGGCTGTGGGCCAGGCCTCTGCGTTTACTGAAATGTTCTGGGAGTTATTGGGGGAAATGGAGCTTTGAACTTACCTAGTATAACACAGGCTGGTTCTCAGGATCATAAACATGTTTCTGAACCTAATTAAAGAGCCTTGTGAAAAGGGCGAGAGCAGGACTGAGACATGACGGTCAGTCTCAAAACTCCCCGTGGGCCTGAACGGGAGCTTGGCTTTTCCCAGACTCCGCGAGAACCAGCCCTCTCTGGGGGCAGAGAGTTAAGAGGCTTTCGAAAGAAGAAAAGGCTCTTTTACAGTCCTGGCTGGGGACCTGGGCTGTACCGGGGAGGGAATGTAGGAGGCATAATTGGGGCTTGTAAAACATTTCCAGACAAAATCACTTAATGTGTTTTGGAGAGTAAAAAGCAACAGTCCACAAAATCTATAAATTTAGGCAGTTTTCTTCAGAGTCAATAGAGCCAGGTCGGGGGATCAGAAGGGGTGGCCGGGTAGTGTTAAATGTGCCATGGATGGCTGCAGGTGAACTTGTCTCTGGGCACGGGACCCAGGAGCAGCCAGACCCTTGGGTTTGAATTCTTGCTCTACCCCTCACTCACGCTGTGACCTTGGACAAGTTATTGATCCTGCTAGATCTCAGTTTCCTCCTGTGGGAAATGGAGATAAAATACTTAGCACCTTATGGGTTTGTTTGGGGAATTAATGTGCTACCATATCCAAAATGCATGGAACAGTGCCTGGCATGCAAGGTGTGCTTGTATAAATGTTGCTGTTCTTATTCTGCTCCCCTGGGAAGGGGCTGCTACCTGGATGAGGCCATGCTGCGTTTCCTACGAAGCAGTCCATACCTTTCAGAGTTCCTGGAGCCCTCGTCATGTCTTTCTTGAATTCTTTCTCCCAAGTTTTCCCTGACTCCCTTTCTGCCAGCAATGGTTATTCCCATCCATTTCCAACAGCGTCCAAAATAATACACTTCTTCCATCCATCCCTTTCCTTATCAAAAAGCTTTGTTATCATGTCTCTATCTCATTCTCAGCAAACTGACAGAAGAACAGAAAACCAAACACCGCATGTTCCCACTCATAAGTGGGAGTTGAACAAAGAGAACACATGGACACAGGGAGCAGCGGGGCGGGGCATCACATACCAGGGCCTGCTGGGGGGCTGGGGGGCTGGAGGACTTGGGGAGGGATAGCATCAGGAGAAATACCTAATGTAGATGACAGGTTGATGGGTGCAGCAAACCACCATGGCTTGTGTATACCTATGTAACAAACTTGCACTTTCTGCACATGTACCCCAGAACTTAAAGTATAATAATAATAATAATAATAACAACAATAATAATAATAACAGTAAAGTTTTGTTAATGCCCCATCCAACTCACTATAAAGCTCAAACTTCTGGGCCTTTTCAACCCAGTTTAACTCTCTGGGCTGTGTCCAGCCACCTCCCCTTGTAGCTGCCAGTGTGCCTAATGTTTCCATTTTCCCCTCCTTCCAGGAAAATGGTAAATTTTGCACTTTGTGGCTCCCTGATGGTTGGCTGGGGGCCAACAACTGGTTTTGGCCAATGAATTGTTAGCAGAGGTAACATGTGAGCTGGAACTCGTCTTTCCTCTGCCATGACAACTGGGACCATGGTCTAGACCAGGTGTCAACAAACTTTTCCTGTGAATGTGTTCAGCTTTGTGGGCCAAATGGTCTCCATTGTAGCTTCTCAGCTCTGCTGTTGTCATGTGAAAGTAATCCTGGATAACAGGCAAATGAAAGAGCGTGACTATGTTCCAATAACATTTTATTTTAAAAAGCCAGTCTGGCCAGTAGAGCTTTCTGCAATGCTGGAAATATTCTATAATATTCCTCCTGTCCAACGTGGTAGCCACTGGCCATATGTATCCATTAAATATTTCAGTAGCCTCATATAGTCCATATTGAATGGACAGAGTAGATAGCAGCCGTTTCATCAGACGGGGTCCTAGAGCAAAGACAACATGGGAGTCACTGCTGACCATGATGGGCATGCATCCTGTCTAGTTCTTGATGTTATAAGCAACTGAGATGGGGGATGTTTGTTACTGCAGCATAACCTAACCACTCCTGACTTACACACACCTCACTCCCACCTCCTCCTTTCCTTTGCTCTCATCTAAGCATTTCATGCATGTCCAGGCATCCAAGCCTTTACTCATACTGTTTCCTCTGCCTGGAATACCTTCTACTGTTCTTTATTTCATGGGCAAATGCTGCCTCATTGCTTAAAGTTCAGCTCACACGTTATCTTCTCTTGGTGGGTTTCCAGTGGCCCTCCATATCACCTCCATGCAATAAGAATCACCTGCAGCTTCCTCAGGACACTTTTTTTTTTTTTTTTCCAAGGCAGAAGAATTTTTCTTAGTACAGAACAAAATGAAAAGTCTCCCATGTCTACTTCTTTCTACACAGACACGGCGACCATCCGATTTCTCAATCTTTTCCCCACCTTTCCCCCCTTTCTATTCCACAAAACCGCCATTGTCATCATGGCCCGTTCTCAATGAGCTGTTGGGTACACCTCCCAGACGGGGTGGTGGCCGGGCAGAGGGGCTCCTCACTTCCCAGTAGGGGCGGCCGGGCAGAGGCGCCCCTCACCTCCTGGACGGGGCGGCTGGCCGGGCGGGGGGCTGACCCCCCCACCTCCCTCCTGGACGGGGCGGCTGGCCGGGCGGGGGGCTGACCCCCACCTCCCTCCCGGACGGGGTGGCTGCCGGGCGGAGGGGCTCCTCACTTCTCATATGGGGCGGTTGCCAGGCAGAGGGTCTCCTCACTTCTCAGACTGGGCGGCCGGGCAGAGACGCTCCTCACCTCCCAGACGGGGTCGCGGCCGGGCAGAAGCACTCCTCACATCCCAGACGGGGCGGCGGGGCAGAGGCGCTCCCCACATCTCAGACGATGGGCAGCCGGGCAGAGACGCTCCTCACTTCCCAGACGGGATGGCGGCCGGGAAGAGGCGCTCCTCACTTCCTAGATGGGATGGCGGCCGGGCAGAGACTCTCCTCACTTTCCAGACTGGGCAGCCAGGCAGAGGGGCTCCTCACATCCCAGACGATGGGCGGCCAGGCAGAGACGCTCCTCACTTCCCAGACCGGGTGGCGGCCGGGCAGAGGCTGCAATCTCGGCACTTTGGGAGGCCAAGGCAGGCGGCTGGGAGGTGGAGGTTGTAGCGAGCCGAGATCACGCCACTGCACTCCAGCCTGGGCACCATTGAGCATTGAGTGAAGGAGACTCCGTCTGCAATCCCAGAACCTCGGGAGGCCGAGGCTGGCGGATCACTCATGGTTAGGAGCTGGAGACCAGCCCGGCCAACACAGCGAAACCCCGTCTCCACCAAAAAAATATGAAAACCAGTCAGGCGTGGCGGTGCACGCCTGCAATCGCAGGCACTCGGCAGGCTGAGGCAGGAGAATCAGGCAGGGAGGTTGCAGTGAGCCGAGATGGTAGCAGTACAGTCCAGCTTCAGCTCGGCATCAGAGGGAGACCGTGGAAAGAGAGGGAGAGGGAAACCGTGGGGAAAGGGAGGGGGGAGAGGGAGGGAGGGGGAGGGGGAGGGGGAGGGGAGGGGGGAGGGGGAGGGGAGGGGGAGGGGGGAGGGGGAGGGGAGGGGGAGGGGGGAGGGGAGGGGGAGGGGGGAGGGGGAGGGGTGGGGGAGGGGGAGGGGAGGGGGTGGGGGAGGGGGAGGGACTCAGGACACTTTGTAAGTAGAAAGCTGTAGTGTAATAATTTGCTTATGTTTTCCACTAGATCGTGATCTCTTGGAGGAGTTGCTATCAGATTATATTTCAATATCTCCTGGGATATTGCAATAAGTGTTTGTTGAACTGATTTAACATACTCCAAACTCAGGGTGTGGTGGCCTCTCAGTGTCCTTAGTGGCCTCCTCTGGCCCTGGGTTCAACTTTGGACCATTTCCTCCTATTTTCATCTTATTCTCCTGGCCACAGTGATGTACAGTCTCTGAAATTCAGACAATGGTGATGGTGGAGGATGAGGAGAAAGGGGGAAAAAAGGGGACACCTTACTAGTCTTATTACATACTGGTATAAAAATATCAATTTGATTACTATTTCCTAAAAAGGGACTCTATAGTGAAGAACAATTGTGACTTGAAACACAACTGTAGCTCTGCTAATGGTTTCCAGAGCTGGTCATAGGCTCTTGGAGTTAGTGCGTCACTAAACTGGTATGTGTTTAGGAGTCTATATAGTTCAAGACCTTACTCTAAAGATTTCTTGTCAACAGGGTATGGCTTGTCAAAATGCTATTTTATTCGTTCCATCATTTCCATCCTATCTGACGAAAGACATTAGTATTTCAGTTTTCTGTGCAAATATGGAAACATCATCATCAATACCCCTTACACATATGCATCACTTTGTGGTTAACAAAACACTTTCTATGTCACCTGGAGCTACAAATAGCCTGGAAGAAGGCGGGGCACATTTACAGCATTTGACTCCTGGCAGCCCAGTGCAGGGAGGTGATCTACTCACTGGTAAGTTTGGATGTTTGATCTCTCCAAATCTCACGCTGACATTTGATTCCCAGTGTTGGCAGTGGGGCCCGGTGGGAGGTGTTTGGGTCTTGAGGGTGGATCCCTTGTGAATGGCGTGGTACCTTCGTCGTGGTAATGAGTGAGTGTGCACTCTGTTTATTTCCCTGAGAACTGATTGTTGAAAAGACAGTCTGGCACCACTTCCTCTCTCACTCTTTTCCTTCCTCTCTTGCCATGGGATGCCTGCTCCCCTCTACCTTCTGTCGTGAGTAGAAGCTTCTTGAGGCCGTCATCAGAAGCAGATGCCAAGCTTCTTTTACAGCCTGCAGAACCATGAGCCAAATAAATCTCTTTTCTTTACAAATTACCCAGCCTCGGGTGTTTCTTTATGGAGACATAAATGGACTAAAACACCCCAAATTACAAGCAAGCTAGAGCCTGTGTGGGTACTTGAGCCTGGACTCCCAGCTCATAGGCCAGGGCTCTGGGCCCCCAGACATATCCCATATCCTACTCCAACTGCCCCATGACCCGTGCCCTACCCATCAGCACAGACTTCGTCCCAGGGCGGGGCAGTTGGGGCAGATCTCTAGGGTTTTTGCCTAATCCTGAAGTCATAAGAATTCTGTATCCTTTCCCTCTTGGAAACCTCCAGTCACAGAAATTTAGAACAGATGGGAGTTTTTCTAATTACTTTTCAAAAAACAAGGCCTAGTCCAATAGCAGTCCGATACACAGAAATGGTCAAATTATTTAAAACGCATTTGTAATTTTTTGATATTTCTTGCAAAAGGAATAATAGACTAAGACTTCCTTCAGTACCAGAAAAAAGGACATGATATATACAATTTCTGCCTGTGAAAGGGGTTGTTCTTATCCTCCATTAAGTTTTAGTCTACCTAAAGGAACAGTAACAAAACAAAATGGTTGCTGCAGATTCTCTCCAAGCTACGTTGCACCCCTTCCATGAGGGTGACTGACCTGGTGTGAGGGGTCTGACCCTGTGGTTCCCCGCTTCCCAGCTTGCAGTCTTTCCCACCCCTCCTCACCCTCACTTTTGTTCTCCAGGCCCAGCACTCCACGGCCCAACAAGAAGCAGAAAGAAATGGCCAATGGCACCATCACACAAAGATGGGCTGCAATAACATTTCATTTTGGAGACTAAAAAATCCAAAATGGCAAAAAAGACAAAAGGTTAAATTTCTTTTAGCATTAGTGTGCGAATTATGAAATCCCTTCATTCCCTTATGGTTAATTGCCTCCTGAAATGTCTGTTGTAACCACACTGTCCAAATAGATCTACCAAAGATGGAGGAAACCCGTACATAAACCATAAGCAAGTGCAAATATTAAATATGGGTGCAGTGACGTAAAACATGTACTTTATAAATTAGTGTAATATTAATGGGAGAATAGAGTGATTAGATACACTTCATATGCTACATAAAGATATATGTTTCAAAAGGAATAAAAAAAAATTCATAAAGATGTTTATGAAAGCGTTTCCACAAGAGCAAAAAGCTGGAAATGATTGATGTGGGCTGTCATTGGAGAAACACTAAGTTATAGCATACTGTAGCCATTAAAAAGAATAATTATGAGGACTTTTCAGACCATAATCTTCAGACCAAAAATGTTAATGACAGAGGTAAGTGCAAACAGTAGAATTCTAATTGGAACCTATGCTGTGATGGAATTTATGAAAAATCTTGTCTCCGTGTGATCTAGGAGCAGAAGTAAAATGTAAAAAAGAAAATAGCATGTTAGGATGGGGTTGGGGGGACAAAATAAATATACATTTATGTTTATATTTATATTTATATTCTAGTTTCTTGAGACTACTTGTCAATGTACCCCCAAACAACAAACTACTTTTATTATCTATACTATGATCTTTGAATTATTTGAATATGAAATGTTAGATCTGATTCCTTAGGGTTTAATTAAAGTAAAATGTATTAGCAAAAGAAAAAGGATGAAGATACTTATACATAAGAACAGAGAACAACATAATAAACAAATATTTGACCACTATCAAATCTGGGTATTTTGCTACACTGGCTTTATATTTTAAAAAGAAGTAGAACTTTATAGATGTGACTAAAGCCCCTTGGGTCAAAAGAAAAGAGGAGTTTTTTGTTGATTTAATACCTTAGTTATTTTTGCTACATCACCTTTTTTTATTAACAATTTTCAGGAGGACAGGGGATGCAAGTTTTAAAAAGGCTCTGGCTTCTTAATTCAGATTACGGCTGTGTGTGTGCATGGCTCAGCACCTATATACTCTATCTCTCAGTGCGGACACTGAGAAAGTGCCTAAAACTAGCTGACCCTTTGCTTCCTCACCTGTAAAATAAGGGAGAGGGATTATACATATCTCAGAAGATAAGGATCAAATGAATGGTGTTATCGAGTTTATACGAATTTCTAATGAGGAATAGGAATTAGCCAGGCAAGGCGGGGAGAAGCTTTCCAGGAATAAAGAACAGCTTTAACAAAAGCTCAGTGGTACAGCCTGGAGGAAACTGGTAATTGTTCTTGATGGCTGGGGTGTGAGCCTGGAGCATAGGGGAGGGACAAGGTCACACTGAGATTGTGAGTGTTGCTCCCCTTTAGGCAAGGAGCCTTGCCTACCTGTGTGTCTCCTGTGTCCGCAGCCCTTCCCTACATCCCAGGCCTTCGTGGTTCCTTTCTCTGGCCTCTCACAGCCCCAGCGAGTCTTCAGTGGAGACTCTAAAGAGCCTGCGGAGGTCACCTGTGTCCCTGCCTGCCTCCTCCACCAGATGATGGCTCTTTGATTAATACCTGTCCCCTGTGCCTTTCATGGTGGAGGCCTCGGCCAATGACTGATCAATAATAAATGAGTGAGGGGAAGGAGGGTGAGGGCTCCTACAGGCGCCGCTCCTCAGACCTCACACAGAAATCAGCCTGCTCCCTGATCCAGCAGGAAGGAGGAGGATTCTGAGTACTTCTCTGAACATCACCCCGATGCCCCATTGGAATCTGCTCTAAGAAGGGATCCTGGAAGAGAACACCCAGCTGCTTCTTCAGAGTCAGGTCATTTCCCTCCCTGAGTCCCAGCCCAGCTCACCTTATACCTCTCCCTGCCCCGCGGCACCTCTCCTGAGACTGAAGCCTGGGAGGTCAGTCTTCGTGATGTCTCTCTATCGAAAGTGTAGGTTCCTCTGGGATTCAGAAAAGCCACCAAATGAATGGAGACTTCCCTGTCTCCAATGCCAACCAGAACCTGTCCACCAGGTAAGATGCTGTGGGTCAGGAGACAGAATGCTAAGCCCCAGCTTCACATCAGAGAGGCCATTGTTTCCGTGGGTAATGGACGGAGAATAGAGAACCGTGTAGTTTCCATCTGGTCCAGTTATCAATTGCTGCATAACCAACGACCCCAAAACTTAGTGGCTTAACACAACGCAATCATTAATTTTGCTCATAAATTGATAATTTGGATGGTGCTCAGTGGGGACAGTTCATCTTTGTGCCATAGGGCATCAGCTGTATCTGCTTGGCTGAAACATGCCCTTAAGATTCTTAGAGGACCTTGGGAGGCTGAGGCGGGCGGATCACAAGGTCAGGAGATCGAGACCATCCTGGCTAACACGGTGAAACCCCATCTTTACTAAAAACACAAAAAATTAGCCAGGCATGGTGGCGGGTGCCTGTAGTCCCAGCTACTCCGGAGGCTGAGGCAGGAGAAGGGCGTGAACCTGGGAAGCAGAGCTTGCAGTGAGCCGAAATCGCCCTACTGCACTCCAGCCTGGGCGACAGAGCGAGACTCCGCCTCAAAAGAAAAAAAAAAAAGATTCTTAGAGGAACTTTCGTCTGTCTGAGAGATCCTAAGAGGCACTCATACTGGATTTATATTTGGCCAGAGTTCCTTTCTTACTTTGAGAATTGTTTGTATCTGGAAAGACTTGGAAATGAAAACAATTGACTTTACTTTTACTTTTAATTTTTTTTTTTAAGAGATGAGGTCTTGCTCTGTTGCCCACACTGGAATACAGTTGCATGACCACAGCTCATTGCAGCCTTGAACTCCTGGGCTCAAATGATCCTCCTGCCTCAGCCTCCCAAGTAGCTGGGATTATAAGTGTGAGCTGCTATTCCTAGCTATTTTAAACTTTGTTTGGAGTTGGGGTCTTGCTATGTTGCCCAACCTAGAACATTTAATTTTTGAGCCCAGCTGTTCCGGGTTCTTGAGCTCATCTCCCTCCTCTCACATTTTATCATAGGTAGTAAGAAGTCAGGAGGCACTTTCAATATCTGCCTGGAATCTCAGCTAGATCATCAAGATTATTAGATACCTTCCTATTTTCCATGTTACTGCAGGCTACAGTGTTGCTAAACTTTCTGCCACTACATGGCAAGGATCCCCTTGACTTTAAGATTTCTATAATATTTCCAAGATTTTCCTGAATGCCCTCATTGACAATCTTCTCAAGGCCCTTAAGGTTTTCACTAACATTTTCTTTGTGGCTGTTAGGCTGTGTGGTCCCAAAGCCAATGTCTACATTGTAGGACTCTATTATGATAGCACCTGACTTCAGGTACATATATCTGTTGTAGTTACCTGTTGCTGCATAACAATTCAACCCAAAACTTGGTAGCTTAAAACAACAATGATTGGTAATTTTACTCATCTGTCTGTATTTTGGACAGGTTTCAGCAGGGTCAGCTCATATTTTTGATGTATGACATAAACTGGGGTGGCTCAACTGGGGCTGGAGCATCCTGGAGAGGGCTTATGTACATGCCAACATTTTGGTGCCGATGGTTCCTTCCTCTCTACATAGGCCTGTCCATGGGGCTGACTGGGCTTCCTCACTGCATGGAGCCTGGGTTTAAAGAACAAGCACAAGCATCCCGTGAGACTACAATTGGAAGCTACCAGTTACTATTGGTCAAGTAGTCACAGAATGAGACTCAGGAGTAGAAACATAGGTCCTATGTCACATTTGAAGAAGAACATGTGGGGTGGAATGTATTGGGATCAACTTTGAAAAATACAATCTGCCACAAAATTCTTGCTCTTAGAGGTTTAGATTGTTGTTTAAAGCCACTTGGGGCCAGGCACAGTGGCTCACATCTGTAGTCCCAGCCCTTTGGGAGGCCGAAGAAAACCCAGCCATGCTGTGTCTAGACTTCTGATCTCTAAAACTGAAGATAATAAATGGACATCATTTTAAGCTGCTAAATTTGTGTTAATTTGTTACATAGTAATAGATAACTCTGTTAGCTTCCCAGGGCTGCCATAACAAAATACCAGAAACTTGGTGGCTTTAAGCAATGGAAACTTACTCTTTTACAGTCCTAGACACCAGAAGTCCAAAATCAACTTGTCAGCAAGGTCCAGGGAAGAATCCTCCCTTTTCTTTCCCGGTTTCTGGTGGCTCCAGGCATTCCTTGTTTTTACATGGTCTTCTCTTCCTCTTATATCTGTGTCTCATCCTCTTCTGACTCCTATAAGGACACTTGCCATCAGATTTAGGGTCCACCCAGCTAATCCACAGTGATGTCCTCATCTGAAGATCTTAATTACCTCTGCAAAGACCCTTACATGGAATAAGTTCACATTTACAGAGTCTGGTTATTAGGATGTGAACATATCTTTTTGGAGCCACTGGGAGATAAAGATTCTTAAAAACAGGAGAATGGGCTGGATGGGGTGGGGAGGGGATGGGGTGGGGAAGGTGGGCTTCAAAGTTGGATTCTTGAAGCTGAGCGCTTAGATTAGGTGGCAGTAAATGCAGGAACAAGCAAAGAGTGGGGAGGGACGGCAAGTGTCCTGCACGATGGACTTAGAACCTGGCCTGACTTTAGGAGAAGCAGGTATGTGTGCATGTGGGTCAGGCTGGCCACGGGCCCGGGAGTTGGGGAGGAGGGATGTCCACATGAGTGCACTCTTGCTGAATGGAAGACAGCACCAAGCCTAGCATAGGTGAATATCCTTTCTTGCATATTTCACAAGACCTAGGCCTGAGCTTACTGGGAACATCTCTCTGTAGCCACCAATGATCATCTCATGACCCTCTCCAAGAGAAACACCCAGGCACTAATCCGAGGGTTTGCATATATTGTGTTGGTTAACATTTTCCTAAGTCCACAAGGTAGGAATTATCATCAGCATTTTACTCAGAAGTGTTTGCTGAGTTTCAGAGCAGTGAAGTGACCTGCCTGCGGCTGTTCCCCCATCAGCTGGTCAAGCTGGGGTGTGAACCCTGCCTGTACAAGTTCAAAGCCTCTGTTTTCTTCACTCCAAGGAGGAATATAGAATTGGTTGGAGTTTTGAGGCTTTGAGGCTTTTGAGGCTTTTCCAGCTTTGAAAGTCTATGAGAGTCTCAGGAATATGAGGCTGGGTCTTAAAAAAAAATGTTTTCAAATACTCAGCTGAGTATCTTAGGATCTGAGAAAAGGAGGCTACGCTATTTCTTTAAAAATGAAGAAATCCTTTAAAGGCTATATTCATTATAGTTTTTCCTCTTGAAGCTTTTCAATCTCAAATTCAAAGCAGAATGTTAACAATAAACTCTGACTTTCTAGAAATCAATTGCAATCTCCTTTTTGTTACTTTAATTGTACCACTTTGTAATTATTGAGGCTTTTTAAAAAATGAGCATGTCTAACTTCTCTCACACTCCAGTTCGGATTCTTCTTTTGAGAAGAAAAAAATGCATCCTCAACAGGTGCTTTTGGCTAAAATCACAATGAACCAAGAAGGGAATGAGCGTGATGAATGGAGCTCCTGGCTGCAAATGCACGAGGGTGTCTGTCCTCGTGCTGGGATGCACTCTTGGGGTGCCAGCACAGAGCACCAGAAACCGGTACCCAGGGAGCCCAGTATCATTTGGCTTTGTCTCTTTTGTCTCTTTATTCTTTGTGTCTCATTTGTTGTTCTGTACTTTGAGCAATTCTGTATTCAGAAATGGCTATGTTGAACTATTTTTGGTCTTTGGAAAAAAATACACCCCTCATAACGAGGAACTTTGCTTTTGGGGACCTGAGAAGCCTTGATAAGCCAGAGCTTGCATTCCTGTGCCAGGTGTTGAGATGACATCTGTTCCTTCCGCAGAGACTTATCTGCTGTAACCCAGCCCCAGGTCCTCTTCTCAGCATCAGACACAGTGGGAACAAGCCCTGCCAGCTTTCTGCCCTCTCAGAGCACACCTTCTAATAGAACAGAGAGAGCAAACTCACCAGATTACAGCTCTGTGTCACTGTGTCACTTGCTCCTCTGATTCTCGCAGTCCACAATTGCAGACCCCCTAGAAGTACGGAGCTTACAAAGGGCAGGGCACAGAGGCTGGCAGAGAACCTCCTCGGGGCCAGCCTTGCTCCCTTACCCTCTCAGCAATACCAGGTGGTAGGTGCCATCGCCATTCTGGAGATGGGCAAACCGGGGCTCAGAGCAGTGAGACCATTTGAGGAAGTCAGGGAGCCAGCCCAGGGTGGGGCTCCTCACTCGGGGGCAGGCATTCCTCAAACACTTTCTGCTTCCTATGCTCTGAAGTCTCCCTCCCAGCCTCGGTGGAGGAGGGCAGAGGCAGGCACGCTCACATTTCCTAGCCTTCCGCTCGTCTCTCAAGGCCAATCCTTTCTTGAATTGCTGGTTCCTTTGGGGCCAAATATGCACTTTCTTCTTTAGGACGGGGGATGCTCCCGTCCAGGACTCCTCATGCACGGAGTCGGCTGAGCCCCTGTGTGGGATGTGTGTTCTCCCACTTCCTCCTCCTGTGTGGCATGTGCCCTGCCTGCCCTGGGACCTTGGTCCCCATACAGCTCTGGTGGCAGCAGGGAGTCACCGGCAACATGGAGAGAAGAGGTGGAGGCTCTGTTGCCACAAGAACATGCGGGAGCGTTACTAAGAGATGGCCCATTCTAGCAGGAGAAAACCAAGCACTTGAAGGCACTTCACCTTGAGGCCTGATAGGGAAATACCAGTTTCCTTTATCTTCCCACCCCGCCACGTGAAACCACAGACACCTGTGGAGAGTGAAGCCACGGAGCCCATGACAAACGCCCGGCCAGAGGCCAGAGCAAGCAGCAGGTACGGGAGCGGGGCAGGGTTTAGAAGACAGGATCTCTTCAGGAGGGATGAAGGGACAAATAGGGGGAGACTGGGGACAAGTCTGGTTCTTGCAAGGTTGACAAGGTTGCAAGAGTGACCAGCCTGGGCTGGCGCAGAGGTGACTCATGCCTGTAATCCCAGCACTTTGGGAGGCCGAGGCAGGCGGATCACCTGAGGTCAGGACTTCGAGACCAGCTTGGCCAACATGGTGAAACCCCGTCTCTACTAAAAATACAAAAATTAACCGGGCGTTGCGGTTGGCGCCTGTAATCCCAGTTACGCGGGAGGCGGACACAGAAGAATCGCCTGAACCCAGGAGGCAGAGGTTGCAGTGAGCTGAGATCGCGCTGCTGCAACTCCAGTCTGGGCGACAGAGCGAGACTCCGTCTCAAAAAAAAAAAAAAAAAAAAAAAAGAGTGACCAGCCTGTGCTTCCTCAGCCTCTCCCATGGTCCCCTCCTCCGCTGGCCCCATCTGAGGAATGTGTGCTGCCCAGGGCTGAAGGGCCAGGTGCTCCGAGCCAGGCTCTGACAAGGGCTGTTGGCAGAAAAGGTTTTCTAAAATGGCTTCTATAGCAACCAAAGAGCGGAGAGAGGCAGCAGCCTGGCTCCTGGTTGGCTTAGGGATCGCGGGCTGTACGGAAGGCGGCAGCAGCTCTGCGCCTGCGCAGTGAGGGGAGCGTGCTAGAACAGGAGGGTGGTTTGGGAGGGCTCTGCACTTCCTCGTCCCCCACCTCGCGTTTGAGGAACGCGAGGTGAGAGTAGAAAGGAAGGCACCTGGCCTGCAGCCTGCCTCCTTTCTTCCACAACCTTGGCTTTATCTCCCACCAGGAGGGGACCTCATGGAACATTCCGGCTTGCTAGTCCAAGCTCCGTCCGTTCTGACCCCCAAACAGTCATCTCTTTGCCACGCCTTGGACCTAGGAGTGAGTACCCCGTGACCCAATCAGCCATTAGGAGCATAGACCCTGGAAGCAAGCTCTGAGGTATTTGGGCGGCAGGGCATTCCTGGGTCCTGGGTTTATGGAGCACGATCCAGGGACTGGGGAGGGACATAGGCTCGGGGTGGCACATTTCCTTGGCCCAGCAGGTTCTGCTCTCTGTAGGGAGGAGCGCTGCTGCAGGGAGACCCGGCGGGACCTCCAGATCTCCAGGGAGGGCAGGGCCTGGTTGCCTGGGTCTACGCATGGTACTGTTTATAATCTGGATCCCATCTCTGTGTTGAGCAGCAGCTTCAGGCTGGAGTTTGGAATGTGGGACTCTCAATCTTATGACACTAGATGCCTTCCAGTGTGGGTGGCATTCCAGGGGTCCTGCTGATGACTCCCCAAGAAGTAGTAATTGAGACAGCAGCCATTGCTGGGGGTCTCTCCCCGTCCCCCTTGTCATCTTCCTGGTGGTCCTCGCTCTGAGTGTGCCATTTAGAGTGACCTTGGGCAGGTCGTGAAACCTCCCTCAGCCTCAGTTTCCTAGATTGCCCCAGCCTGCCCTGGCTCTGGCTTCCTTCTCCCATCACTCTGGGGCGTATCTGGCTTTGTGCTAGAGAGGCAGCAGGCTTGGGAGAGCCGCAGGCTTGGAAGGGCCGCAGGCTTGGGAGGGCGGCCGACTAGACAGTTGGTTTCATTCACTAGATTGTCTTCACAGCCCAGTGCCTGTGCAGGATAAGTGCTGGCCTCCTTGGAGGTAGGAACCACTTGTGACTCACATCTTCATGCTTAGTGTGCATGGGGGAAGCTCAGTGAATTTTGTGACGTGAGAGAATGAGGGAAAAGAGCTCCTAGATGGAGCCCAGCCTGAGCAGTGTCCACAGGCCATGTTGGGACAGAAAGTGGGACAAATGTTGGAAAGCTATGCCCTTACCAGTTTTTATCCCTTGGTACAAGGCTAAGGGGTAAATACTTGTGGTATTCCAAAGGAAGCTCCAAGTCACGTAGAACTGCCAGGCCAGGGGTCTGGCAACAGTGTGGGCAAGCAGGCCTTCCAGAGTTGGGTAATGCGAGGGTGGGTGGAGTTTGAGAGGCGCAGATGATGATGATGAAAACAATTGCGGCAAACTGGCATTCCCATTTAGGGCACTCCCCAGGCCCGAAAGGACTGCTCTTCATTGGCACCCAGGCCCTGCTGGTGATGCTGAGGGCTCGCTCCCCTCTGCCACCTTGCAGAGGTGGGCACATTGAACTGATGGCATTTCTTAGGAAAGTCATTTATTCAAGCCCAGGAGAGTGCCCTAGGCAAGCGATCTCCAGGATTCTCAGTCGGTTTACATACAGGTGTGTTCCCATGTGAGCTCTTCCAGGTCTTTGATTGAGAGGAGGAGAAGCCCACGGTTGACTTGGTGAAAGCAAGGGTGTTAGGGTTGCCTGAAGTGCGTGAGTCGGACACCAGCGCTGCTCCCTGCTAGCTGGGCCACCTTGATGAAAGGACTGGCCTCTGAGGAATCGTCGTACCTTCTCTGTGGCTTATTGGGAGGATTAGACAATAACGCAACGTCATGCCATTGGAAAGTGTCTGGCAGCTGTGATATTTAGCTTCACTGAAGGCCACCAAGTCATATAAAGGTGGATCCTAGGGAAGCCATGTCCCCATATGACCTCTCTCTGTGCTTTGCAGAAGACAGGGACAGCCAGCTGGCCTGAATTTTGGGGATGACCCTTCTGTCCTCCAAAATACTGCCTCCTGGAGCCCAGAGTTTATAGTTCCCGGGGCCCTGCTTCTTGCCAGCATCTTGTTTCATTTTCACACCCTGCCTTTGAGGTCACTGAC
The DNA here is from genome assembly GCF_000001405.40 of Homo sapiens. NCBI lineage: Eukaryota > Metazoa > Chordata > Mammalia > Primates > Hominidae > Homo > Homo sapiens. Next base: position 15,692,876 of record NC_000002.12, read on the forward strand.
ATCTCCACGGTGTTGACAGAGGGCAAAGAGAGCCCCGAGACACATCCCCGGTAGCCCAGGAGGTCGAGTTGGAGCTGGAACCCACATCTCCGGTTTCTGGGGTCTTCTTACTCTACAGTGGCACTCACTTAGGAAACAGCGCGTCACATTTTTCAGTTAAAATGGTGTTTTGATGGGCATGATCACTTAAGCCTGTAATTGTAGCTACTTGGGAAGCTGAGATAAGAGAATTTCTTGAGCCCAGGATTTTGAGATCAGCCTGGGCAACATAGCAAGATCCTGTCTCAAAAAAGGGGCGGGGGGCTTTTGAGTTCCTGTTGTCCCACTTATCCATTAATTGGTCCACGGCTTTCTGGCCTTTCACTGCGTGGAAACCATAGTTGGGCCCTGGCTTGGTGCTGAGGTAAATAAAACAAAATAGAAGAGAAAGACTGACAAGACCTCCAAGGGGAGGAGAAGGTAGTGTGCAGTGCTGGGACTGGAGGGAGTGAGTGAATGGTCCAAGCTCACAAATAACAAAGTTAGAACCTAAAGCCACATTGACCTCATCCCTAAACTAGTGCTCCTAAGTCTGCAGCTCCTATTCAAAGACTCAGGCTTAACCCGGGAGGCAGAGGTTGCCACTGCACTCCAGCCTGGAGACAGAGCGAGATTCTGTCTGAAAATAAGTAAATAAATAAATAAATAAATAAATAAATAAATAAAAGACTCAGGCTTACAAGAAGATATGGAGGAACCTTAAATTCCCAGCAGTAAGTGAAAGATGCCAATCTGAAAAGCCTACTTATTCTATGATTCTAACTATATGACCATCTGCAAAAGACAAAACGATAGCGATAGTAACAAGGTCAGTGGCTGCTAGGGGTTGAGGGAAGGAGGATAAATAGGCAGAGCACAGAGGATTCTTAGGGCAGCAAAACTATTCTGTGTGATCCTACAATGGTGGCTCCATGGCATTCTACATTTGTACAAATCTATAGAATGTACATTACCAACAGTGAACCCTAATGTAAACGATGGACGTCAGGTGATGATGTGTCAATATACGCTTCATTGATTTTACAGTCATACTCTGGTGCAGGATATTGATAGTGGGTGGTTGTGAGTATGAATATGTGGGAACGGGGTGTATATGGGAATTCTCTTTACTTTCTGCTCAGTTTTGCTGTGAACCTAAAACTACTGCAAAAAAATAAAAAATAGAAAAGACTCAGACTTTAATTACGGAAGAGAAGCTTTCCCTTACCCCAGCTTGGCAGATTCTGCTGAGGGGCCGGGGTCTCCTTGGAGAGGCAGCCTTGGACAGCTGTGGGTCCCCGCTCCCCACCCCAGTCTCAGGCCGCGCCCGGGCTGGCTGTGTGGAGAGACGTCTGTTGTGGATCCCCCACACTACTTTCGCTTGCTATAAAGCAACACTGGGAGTGAATTTAGTGGTTGTGAAATTTAAAAAGGCAAGTGCAGAGCTGGGAGGCATTTCCTTAAGCACAAAGTAATGAAGTGGCCCGCCGGCCGCCCAGCACGCGCACATGGTTAGGGTTAGCAGCAGCTGCAAAGCCACTCTGCAGCCCCCAGGGCTCCTCCCAGCGAGGGAGAGCCCCTCCCTTAAGGAAACCCTAACACAGGCCTGAGGACTCCTTTCACACACAGTGCTTAGGAAATTGAGTAGCACCAGACAGCGTCCCTTATTGAAAGTAAATGCCCCCTGCTCTCATTCTTTCAATGATTCAGTTACGTCTTCATGTATTAATCAGTAGAGTTGCTCTTCATTCATTTCTCGCCTATTTACTGAGGACCCATCATAGGGCAAGGACCGGGCATGGTGCTGAGCACACTCAAATGAATAAAACACTCCTGGTTGGAGGAACTCACACACTTGTGCAGAGACAGTCACGGAAACAAAAAATTGCAGGTCAGCAAAATACATGCCATTATGTAAGTATGCGCCCAATAGTGGGGCCCAGCTGAAGGACTGACCAGTACTGCCTGGGAGGGTCACGGCTGGTTTCAAAGAAGAAGTGAGCTTGAGGAACGGGCAGGCAAAGATGCAGGGCTGGACATGGACAGGTCAGTGTGGCTGAGAGATAGAGGTGGGGCAGGAAGGTGAGTAGGTGGCCCTTGAATCTTAGGAAAGCTGAATTTTAAAAGTGTTATAAGGACGAGCGATCCTATCACAGATAGCCCCGTGTGCCACGGGTAGGAGTTGGGATTTTGCTCTGCAGGAGACAGGAGCCATTGGCAATTTTTACTTCTGCTCTCTCCGAGCCAGAAACGAGAACCTTTGCCGGCCCTTCAGATGTGTTTCAGCTTCCCTGTCCATTGCCCCTTGCATGAGAAAGCCCCTTGAGTCTCCAGAGGCTGCAGCCTTCAAGGGTCCTTCAACAAGATCTGGCACCTTCTTGAGGCTGAAGGTGGATTTTCTTTTCCCAGACCCTCACCTGAATTCTCTGGTGCCTTTAAACTGCTGCTCCTAAGCCGCTCCAAACTTTTAGAATTCCATCTGGGACCCGGCCCCCAGGCTCAGTGAGGAATTGTCAGAAACATCTGCTCAGGCCCAAGAGCAAGACCACTTGTAGCCACCTGTCAGTCCCTCTGCCTGTTGCTTTGCTTTAAGACAGTAATTGTTAATGCTTTTCAAGGAAAACACTAAGGCCCACGAAGCAATGGAAACCTTTGGTAGCCTGAGTCCTTAGGGCTGGGCTCTGGTGCCCTCATGTCCCAGGAGGCCCTGGCACACCAGCCACAGGGGATGGTAGCCTGACCTGGTCTTCCAACCTCTGGGTCTGCAGGGGTGTGTGTGTGTGTGTGTGTGTATGTGTGTGTGTATGTATGTGTGTCGCATCTCTAGGCCTTTGTTACTGGAGAGAGAGGCCCATAGGTGGCCTTCACCACATGCACCAGGGACCCTCACATAAGGACAAATCAAGCGTGTGGTGGGAGGAGGAAGAATCCATTCCTTCCCTCCTTGGACAGCCCCTAAAGCTGGAGATGCTTTGACCATTAGCCACTATTGTGTCCGGAATTGGTGGGTTCTTGATCTTACTGACTTCAAGAATGAAGCCACGGACCCTCGTGGTGTTGCAGTTCTTAAAGGCGGTGTGTCTGGAGTTTGTTCCTTCTGATGTTCTGATGTGTTTGGAGTTTCTTCCTTCTGGTGGGTTCGTGGTCTCACTGGCTCAGGATTGAAGCTGCAGACCTTCACAGTAAGTGTCACACCTCATAAATGCAGTGTGGACCCAAAGAGCGAGCAGCAGCACAATTTATTGCAAAGAGCAAAAGAACAAAGCTACCACAGTGTGGAAGAGGACCCCAGCATGTTGCCACTGCTGGCTGGGGCAGCCTGCTTTTATTTTCTTATCTGGCCCCACCTACATCCTGCTGATTGGTCCATTTTACAGCGAGCCAATTGGTCTGTTTTACAGAGAGCTGATTGGTCTGTTTTGACAGGGTGCTGATTGGTGCATTTACAATCCCTGAGCTATACACAAAAGTTCTCCACCTCCCCACTAGATTAGCTAGATACAGAGTGTCGATTGGTGCATTCACAAACCCTGAGCTAGACACAGGATGCTGATTGGTGTGTTTACAAACCTTGAGCTAGATACAGAGTGCTGATTGGTGTATTTACAATCCCTTAGCTAAACATAAAGGTTCTCCAAGTCCCCACCAGATTAACTAGATACAGAGTGTCTATTGGTGCATTCACAAACCCTGAGCTAGACACAGGGTACTGATTGGTGTGTTTACAAACCTTGAGCTAGATGCAGAGTGCTGACTGGTGTATTTACAATCCCTTAGCTAGACATAAAGATTCTCCAAGTCCCCACCAGACTCAGGAGCCCAGTGGATCCTGCACTGGGGTCGCAGGTGGAGCTGCCTGCCAGTCCCGCGCCCTGCGCCCGCACTCCTCAGCCCTTGGGAGGTCGATGGGACTGGGCGCCCTGGAGCAGGGAGCTGCACTCGTCAGGGAGGCTCCAGCCGCGCAGGAGCCCAAGGCAGTGGGGGGAGGCTCAGGCATGGCGGGCTGCAGGTCCCGAGCCCTGCCCCACGGGAAGGCAGCTGAGGCCTGGCGAGAAATCGAGCACAGCAGCTGCTGGCTCAGGTGCTAAGCCCCTCACTGCCTGGGGATTGCTGGCCGGCCGGCCTCTCCAAGTGCGGTCCCGCTGAGCCCACGCCCACCTGGAACTCGCGCTGGCCCGCAAGCGCTGTGCGCAGCCCCGGTTCCCGCCCGTGCCTCTCCCTCCTCACCTCCCCGCAAGCCGAGGGAGCCGGCTCCGGCCTCAGCCAGCCCAGAGAAGGTCTCCCATGGTGCAGCAGCGGGCTGAAGGGCTCCTGAAGCATGGCCAGAATGGGTGCCGAGGCCAATGAGGCACCAAGAGTGAGCGAGGGCTGCCAGCACGCTGTCACCTCTCACTATTAGGCACTGTAAGGGTCTATACACTTTTTGGGAGCCTACAAAAATGTTTCAGGGCTGAAAAATTTGCTGCAAAATACATAAACAGCAAATTAAAAACAAATTCAATAGCTTTAGGGGTATAAGTGGCTTTCGGTTACGTGGATGAATTGTATAGTGGCGAAACCTGGGCTTTTAGTGTACCTGTCACCTGAATAGTGTATATTGTGCCCAATAGTTGATGTTTTATCTCTCACCCCACTCCCCCCACCCAAGTCTGAGTCTCCAATATCCGTTATACCACTCTGTATGCCTTTGCGTACCCACAGCTTAGCTCTCACTTATAAGTGAGAACATGTAGTATTTGGTTTTCCAATATTCTATTTATTATTTATTTATTATTTATTATTATTTAATTGGAAGCCTACAACACATACCAATAGTCAGCCACAACTACACTCATTTAGAATTACATACATAATTTGGGAAGCCTGATAGTCTATAGAGCTACAGTTTCCTTACTGTGAAAAAAATCAAGGAATTTCTTTTGAAAGGGGTGGGGCTTCCACAAGTTAGAGCAGCCAGGCCTTCTAAAGGCTTAAAATAATGGCCAAGAGTGGCCAGGCGCGGTGGCTCATGCCTGTAATCCCAGCACTTTGGGAGGCTGAGGCGGGCGGATCACAAGGTCAGGAGATCACACCATCCTGGCTAACACGGTGAAACCCCCTCTCTACTAAAAATACAAAACAAAATTAGCCGGGCCTAGTGGCAGGTGCCTGTAGTCGCAGCTACTCAGGAGGGAGGGTGAGGCAGAGGCAGAGGCAGAATGGCATGAACCTGGGAGGCGGAGCTTGCAGTGAGCTGAGATTCCGCCACTGCACTCCAGCCTGGGCGACAGAGCGAGATTCTGTCTTAAAATAATAATAATAATAATAATAATAATAATAATAATAATAATAATAATAATTGCCAAGAGCTAAGGATAGAGAAACACGGACAGCTCTAAGCAAGACCCAGCATCACTGTGCTAGCTCTGCCCTCCCTGCCGAGAATGCAAACAGGCTTTCTGCAGCTGCTCCCATCACCATCATTACCGCTATTAACCTTACTGTGCAGATTTTAGCTTATTTTCAAATATGCCACCACCATCGCGGCTGTCAATATCACATTACTGTATCACTACCACAAACACCACCATTATCCTACCTCTGCCTGGCTACTCTCACCCCCACAACTGCAACTTCTAGAATTGCTACCCTGCAACAGTAACTTATCCCCCTGCCTCCATTACCAGCGCCATTGTTGCAACTAACAACATTATTACCCTTAATTCTGTTATTTGCTCACACGTAAGTAACACTTTCTAGTTTACAGAACTCTTTCATACCACTGAACGCATTTGGTCCTGCTCACACCCTGTTGAAGCATCACATCACAGGCTGATTTGGGTCATTTGGTACCTACGCTGGTTAGAACGTGTGGACTCCCAGGGAGCTGTCGAGAAAGGGCTGCTCAGGGTGTCTTTAAGGCTCAGCCACATCCCATTGGTCAGAACCCAGGCACGTTTCCCCAGCCTGACGGCAGGAAAATGGGAGAAAGCTTGGGAGCACTTGGCTCTTTGGTGAGCATCAGCTGCCTCTGCAAGAAGCAGGTGTCTCTGGAGTGTGGAGGTGGAGCTCTAGAAGGACCAGAGGCCCCATGCCCTCTGCAATGTGGGGCAGATGAAGAGCAATGAAATGATGACAAATTATGGACTTGAGGGATGAGGTTCCTGCTATGACTTCATTTTATTGTACTTCCCGTGCTTCTGCACCTCCTGGCTCACTTGAACAAGGCCCTCACGTAGTAGAGTTCCTGATTAAGGCAGAGAGAGCGCTTAGATGGGGATGTGACTGCCTAAAGTCACACAATGAGAGACTGTTAGAACCGGCGCTGGAGCCCATGTGACTACTCTCCAAAGTGAGGCCTTAGGTCAATAGCAGTTGCCCATCAGTCTCCCTTACACAGAACCCCAATTTGCTCAGGTGTTAGGAGGCCATGTACACAAGGGTAAGTTTGATTCTTCTGCACTCCCTAGAAGAGAACCTTGATTGGTCTAAGAACCAACAATGCTAGTTCTATCTCCCTGGCCAGTAATTTTTTTAAAATTTTACTTTAAGTTCTGGGATACAAGTGCAGAATGTGTAGGTTTGTTACATAGGTATACATGTGCCATGGTGGTTAGCTGCACCTATCAACCCGTCATCGAGGTTTTAAGCCCCACATGCATTAGCTATTTGTCCTAATGCTCTCCCTCCCCTCATTCTCCACCCCCTCATTGGTCCTGGTGTGTGATGTTCCCCTCCCTGTGTCCGTGCCTTCTCATTGTTCAACTCCCACTTATGAGTGATAACATGTTTGGTTTTCTGTTCCTGTGTTAGTTTGCTGAGGATGATGGCTTCCAGCTTCATCCATGTCCCTGCAAAGTACATAATCTCATTCCTTTACATGGCTGCATAGTATTCCATGGTGTATACGAACTACGTTTTCTTCATCCGGTCTATCATTGATGAACATTTGCGTTGGTTCCATGTCTTTGCTATTGTAAATAGTGCTGCAATAAACATATTGTGTGTATGTGTCTTTGTAGTAGAATGATTTCTATTCCTTTGGGTATATACCCAGTAATGGGATTCCTGGGTCAAATGGCATTTCTGGTTCTAGTTCCTTGGGAAATCACCACAGTGACTTCCACAATGGTTGAACTAATTTACACTCCCACCAACAGCGTAAAAGCGTTCCTATTTCTCCACAGCCTTGCCAGCATCTGTTGTTGCTTGACTTTTTAATAATCATCATTCTGACTGGTGTGAGTTGGTATCTCATTGTGGTTTTGATTTGCATTTATCTAATGATTAGTGATGTTGAGGTTTTTTTCATATGTTCAGTAATTTTTTGAAATCAAGGAATGGCCATGTGATGCAATTCTGGCAGATGAGAATTATAGGAGCTCTCCCAGAGGCTCCCAGGGAAGATTTTTCTGAAAGATATCTACACTGTTAAAAGGGCGCACAAGGAAGAGATGCACTTCCTTCTGGTCTTTTGACATTGTTGGGTGAGGCTGTGATGTTTGGATCTATTGCAGCCATACTGGGAACATCAGGAGAGCCTGAGAATAAAATTCACTGAAGGTGGCAGAACAGAAAGACAGAAGAAATCTGGGCCCATGCCGATGTCATTAAACTGCTTAATTAACCAGCCCTGGAACTGCCCCACTTCTGGACTTATTATGTGAGATACATTTAGTTTAATCTTTCATTTTTGTTTTTATATTTTTTAAATTGTTTAAGCCACCTTTGAGTCTTTTGCTTGCAGCTAAGAAAAATAAAAAATGCTTCAATGACAAATATTCCGATTTTATTCTGGGCCTTTGCCCATGTTATTCCCATCAACAGAAGTAGGAATATTTTCTTACTCATCTGGTGAACTTGTCTCTAAAAATCAGCCCAGATGTTACTTCCTGTAGGAGCCCTTCCCTGAATGTTATTGACCAAAGAGTTTATTATTTACCATTTCCTTCTTTGTGTCCTCAGTATCCTTGGTCCCTATTTGTACTTATTGTACTGTATATTGTAATGTGCTTGTCACCTATTTCTTGCCACCACTATATCTTGAGGGCAGATACAGGATTTTAGTTACTGTTTCTCCAGCTCTTAGGACAGAGGCTGGCACAGAGCAGACCTCACTAAGTAAGTGTTTGAATCAAATCCAGTGGCACAATGCATGAGAAGTTCGATTAGCTGTAAAGCAAGAAACATCACGAGATAGTATTAAGTTGATAAATGAAGTCACTAAAGTGTTTATTGCTTTTTAATGGGCTTCATTCAACTAAATAGATACTTATTTGACCATTGATGTGGCTATCTGTGTAGCCAATGGACAACAGATGTTTTCTGACAGTATTTTTCTCCTCTTCCAAAACAGTTTTAAGGACAGGATCCCGGTCCAGTCTCCTGACTGCGTAGAGATCCCTCTTCTTCCCGAAAGGCAGTGGATGTACTTGAAAGGAGACTTCACGGACATTCCCAAGGAGACCTGCATTTTAAGCCCAGCTCTGTCTGCACTTGCTGTGTGAGTCATATCATGCACTTCACTTTAATCGTCTGTAAAATGGGTGCTATGGTTCTGTTAGCAGTGGAACATATCAGAGACACAGCACCAAACTGTCTTAGCAGCGGTGAATCCTTACGGGTCTGCAGCAACCTCTATTCTTGCCTCCTCAGAAGAAATAATTCAACTGGGGGGCATAAGGCAGAAGGAGAGACGGAGGCAAGTTTTAGAGCAGGAGTGAAAGTTTATTAAAAAGCTTTACAGCAGGAACGAAAGGAAGTAAAGTACACTTGGAAGAGGGCCAAGCCGGCGACTTGAGAGATCAAGTGTGCAGTTTTGACCTTTGATTTGGGGTTTTACACATTGGCATACCTCCAGAGTCCCACATCCCTTCTCCCCTGAATCTTCCCTTGGGGTGCACTGTCTGCATGCGCTGTGGCCTGCTAGCGCTTGGGAGGGGAAGCATGAGCGGTGTGTTTACTGAGTTGTACACATGCTCACTTGAGGCCTTCTTCCTAGTGGAAGGTCATATACCAGTTAAACTCCGCCATTTTGCCTCTTAGTGCACATGCTTCAGCCCACTCGCCCAACTCCTGAGATCTTATCAGGAAAGTTGCTGATCACCAGTTTCAGGTGTTTCTGTCTAATGGAAGACTGCCTTTCCCTGGCCCTGGCTGTGACCAATTATTAGAGAGACAGTTTATTATTATAATAACTACCTGACCATCACCTGATGGTTGCCTGACATTCCTGGTGGGTGGGGGTCCTCTCCTGCCCTGCTCATCTCTATCTGATGACCTACTGTAACAATTCTGCTGCAACTACTTACCCAAATGGCCCTGAGACTTCTGGGAGGCCAAGAATAGGAAATCCTCTTTGTCCAATGTCAGATGTTGTGTGTGTATCCTTGGCTGGACAGTTGTTAGCACCCACTACTGAGGATGCACTCAAGTTTTTTTTCTCTTTTCTTAGAGACAGGGTCTTGTTCATTTGCCCAGGCTGGAGGGCAGTGGTATGATTACAGCTCAATGCAGCCTCAAATCCTAAGCTCAACTGATCCTCCTGCCTCAGCCTCCCATGTAGCTAGGTTGACAGATGCAATGCCACCAAGCCTGGCTAATTAAAGAAAGAAATTGTAGAGGTAGAGCCTCAACTCTGCTTTTTCATTTCGTTTTGTTTTATTTTTTAATTTGGATATTTTCACATCTAGAGCCTTTTACTGACCCTGGAGGGACTGCTTCCCAGACTTTGCCCTCAGGATTGACCAAGTCACAGAGATAGTAAATGATTCAATTGCAGAGTGTACCTTTCTTACGCAGGCCAACAGATGCGGTGCTCACATACCAGTACCTCATAATCTGGGCCATTCTCCACCTGCCCTAATCACCCCAAGACCAGTACCAGGCAACTAGGGACAGCCGCTATGTCCCAGAGTCCACTAAAACCATCCAAACTTGCCCATTCTAAGCCTGCTTACCCTGTCTTGCCCATTCCTTCCTGAGAAATCCAGAATAGAGGCTCCTGCTGGCATTCTCCCCTTGCTTCCTCTGCCTCCCAATGGACCTTGGTTCCCCGTGTGGCCCTGAATGTGCCCCCTTTTTTGGGAACTGTGAGTAACAAACTGTCATTTCAATGGCAATCATCTTCTGTTCCATAGTCTTCCCTTGTATTAGTCTTTTTCCACACTACTGACAAAGACATACCGAAGATTGGGAGGAAAAAGAGGCTTAATTGGACTTATAGTTCCACATGTCTGGGGAGGCCTCAGAATCATGGCGGGAGGCAAAAGGGACTTCCTACATGGTGGCAGCAAGAGAAAATGAGGGAGAAGCAAAAGCAGAAACCCCTGATAAACCCATCAGATCTTGTGAGACTTATTCACTATCACTAGAATAGCACAGGAAAGACTGGCCCCCCGTGATTCAGTTACCTCTCTCTGGGTCCCTCCCACACAACACATGGGAATTCTGGGAGATACAATTCAAGTTGAGATTTGGGTGAGGGCACAGCCAAACCATATCATCCCTGTACCTGAATAATATTAAAACCTGCATTAAAAGACAGCCGTGTAAAGCAGGAAGCTAGTTGGTGGGGATAGGAGTGGGAGAGGAGTCCCTCCCTTCTTTTTGAATTTGGGCATTGGGGCATCTCCCTGATTATACTGAAGAAACACTCAGCAAGGAGCATGCACTACTTTTAGCCCCTGCAGCAACCTAGTCCAGCTGAGTGGCAAAAACTAAGGCAACAATGTCCCTTGCTCAAAAGGCCTCCTACACCATTGAATCATTGTGGAATGTTGAGGAGGAAGGGACTTCTGGTTGTGAATTTGATTCTTTCAAATAGTTGATGCCTAAACCCAGATGCCCTATGGAGAGCTGATTAGAATCCCCTGCACAATTGACCAGAGGCTTTGGGAACCTGAAGGGAAGTAGGCACCCAAATTTCTAACCCTCATCTTCATGCTAAGTAAGAGCTGAAGTCTGTTCTCTGGACTTACTTTCCTGAAAGACTTGACTTGTAAAGGCCATTTAAAATCCATTTAAAGGGAAGGAGAGTGCTTAGGAGCCCTGTTCTAGCTCCAGGAGGCTGATGGCCACTGCTCTTCCAGACAGAATGATGAGTTCTCTGTGGAGGAGTGTCTGTACAAGATCACTGACTGTGGGCTCTGAGACCTCTGCTCCATGGATGGAGGGCAGTCGAAGAGGCCACAGGGGCTGCTGGTCTCTTAAGGGCTCACCAGCTTCCCCAGGGAGGCTGGGGAGGGGGAGGAGGAGTAGTAATGGTCCTGTTGAATTTGGTCTAGCAGTTGGAATATCCTCCTGACTGTTGGGCACAGCCTTCCTGGGACCTGGAAAGTGAGGTGGAACTAGTTTGGGAAGAGCTTAAGCCTGAGCCTCCCAAACAAAGGAATGAGGCTGATTCATCTTCTCCTGGATCTTTGTTGTAAATATCAACCTCAATGGCAATTTGGAGCAGTGGTTCAGGAACTGAGCTCATCTGAGCCTCAGGAATCTCAAGCCAAAATAAAAAGCATCTGGTGCTTCTTGAAGTGGCTTATCCTGGTTCCCAGAGTCCCCCTCCAGATGCCAGCCTTGGGGGGCTTTCAGGACCTTACCCTGGGACCCCCAGTGTCCCTCTGTTGTGCCTGAGCTCAGTTCCCCAGACTTGCTCAGCAGCACCCCGGCCAAGCCTCCTGCCCTCAGGGATGGCCAAGGCCCTCCTGGAGCCTGTTTCAAGGATAGACACCAGGCCCTGTGCTGGTTTCAAAGTGTATCCTTAGAGGGGAATAAACATGTTCTAATCAAAACAAAACACTTCCAAACGGGAGTTTCCTGTTGGAATTTCCTGGCAGCTCCCAAGGCAGTTGTGATTATGGAAACACTCACTGATTTTTTTCTTCTCAAGGGTGTGGAGGGCATATGACAATGATAGTCTTAGCTTCCCCTTTCTCAACAGGGATGACAACTACAGTTATCAGTGGGGCCAGCCTGAAATCGGATGGTCAAATCCTATTACAGTAACCCAGGGCTGCCACCCTACTCCTGGTAATGGGAGGAATTAAAAACTGCCTGCTGACTTGTCTTGGTTAATGGGCTGCAGGTTCCTCTTCTGGAAATTGGAGAGTCTTAGAGTAACCTGGAGGTGAGAATCTGGGAGTTCTCTTAAATGTCCCCCTTCCCTAGCACACAGTGTCAATGACCAAGTCCTGTGCTTCTATCTTTGTAAAATGTCTGGATTGGGTTCTTCTCTGTTGTTGACCCAGATCAGACCCTTGCCATCACTTAACTGGATAATCTCGACAGAGTCTCAATTGGTTTCACACACTTTCCCTCCAATGTACCCTCCACCCATATGCTGGGTTGATCTGACCACACTCCAACCATGCTCAGTATCCTGCCCAGAATCTCCATCATCTTCTGGGTGAATCCAGTCTTCTTTGCTCAGCAAGCAGGGCCCCCGCCTGCCTCTGTATCTTGGCTTCTGCTACCCCATCCCTTCCCCAGGCCCTAAACTTGCCAGCCTGCTTTCTCCCCTGGTGTTTCCCTGAATGGGCTTTCCCTGGGTCTACTTACTATGTGTGTTTACTAGGGATGCTGTAACAAAGCACTGTAAATGGAGTGGCTTCAACAACAGACATTTATTGTCTCACAGTTCTGGAGGCTGAAAGTTCGAGGTCAGCGTGTCAGCAGGGCCATGCTCCCTCGGAAGGCTGTAGGGAAGAATATGTTCAGGCCTCCGTCCTAATCTCTGTAGTTGCTGGCAATCTTCAGTATTCCTTGTCTGTAGAAGCATTCTCCCTCTGATTGCTGCCTTTATCTTCATGAGGCGTTATTCTTGTGTGTGTGTCTATGTCAACATTTACCCTTTGTATGAGGACACCAGTCATATTGGATTAGGGCCCACTATCATGATCCCATTTTAACTTGATTCCCCCTGTAGACATTCTACTGACAAATAAGGTCACATTCAGAGGTACTAGGGTTTAGGGCCTCAACATCTGAAAAGGAGGGGAGGACAATTCAACCTGTAACACTTTCCTTTTAAGAATTCTCTTTTCTGACCTCTTTTCTGTCCTTCTGCTCCCCTCTGGAAAAATTAGCCACTTCTTCTTCTATCCCTTACTGGAGCCTGTACAAAAGACCATCAGAGGACCTAGAACTTGGTTTTTGGCCTATGTGCCTGTTTCTCTTACTCATTAGATGGAGTTCCTTAAAGACAGGGAGACTGCTTTATTGCCCTATATCCCCAGGACCCAGAACAATGCCAAAAATACAGTAGGTGCTCAGTGTTTGCTGGATAAATGAATGACTGAGCACATGAGGTTCTTAGTAAAGATGCAAGTTGGCTGGCACTTCTCCCACTTCAAGTCCCTCTAGGTCCCCCACCTTTTCTCTGTTCCTGCCTAGTCTCCCTTCCATCAACGATTCCCAATTCTGACTGAGTAATCTGCATAAAACACAAAGCTGATTATGTCATTCCCCAGTGTCAATGGCTCACCACCGCTATCGAATCAAATCTACACTCCTTACATTGTAGTTATTTGTTAGCAGACTTATTAAATAGATTACGGAGCATCCATTTAATGGAATCTTATGCAGTTGTTCAATGTGTGAAAAGAATGTTTCATTAGTGAGGGTTCTCCAGAGAATTTACTTACATGATTATGGAGGCTGAGAAGTTCTACTACCTGCCATCTGCAAACTGGACAACTAGGAAGACAGATGGTATAATTCAGTGCAAATCTGAAGGCCTGAGAGCTGGTTGTGGGGCAGAGGGCCAGGGGCCACTGGTGTAAGTCCCAGAGTCCAAAGGCCTGAGAACCAAGAGTTCTAAAGACAAGAGAAGATGGAGGCCTACCTCAAGAAGAGTGAAAGAATGTACACTTTTTTTTCCTGCCTTTTTGTTCTATCTGGGCCCTCAGTGGATTGGATGATGCCCATCCACATTGGTGAAGGTAGATCTTTACTTATCTACCTATTCAAATGCAGATCTCTTCTGGAAACACCCTCACAGGCACACTCAGAAATAATGTCTTACCAACTTCTGGGCATCCCTTAGCCCAGTTAAGGTGACACTTAACATTAACCATCACAAATGTCATTGACAGAGAAAATGCATATAAGCGGGGGCTACTTTCAAAATAGTTAAAAATAACTAACCAGCCAAAGCACAGCATGGCCCAAACAACTTCTAGCAATAAACAACCAGCACGACAATGAGTACTCATCATCACCCTGGTGTTAGGACACAGCAATGAACCCACAGTGTGGGCCAGGCAGAACTTTAAAATGGCCCCAAGGGCCCTCATCCCTGACTTTATTCCTGAGGTTATGCTATGCTGCCTGGCAGGAGAGAGGTGAACCGGGTGTGCCTGATTTGATCACAGGAGCTCTCTAAAAGTCAAGCATTTTCTTTGGCTGGTAATAGGAGAAAAAGCCAAAGACATCTGAAGCACGAGAAGGATTTAACATGGCCTTACTGGCTTTGAAGGTGGAGGGATCTCAAGCAGGTACTGGAGAGAAGCTTCCAGAAGCTGAGAGAGGCCCCCACCTAACAGTCAGTAAGGAAACTGTGACGCCGGTCCTACAGCCGCAAAAAGCTGAATTCAGCCAACAACCTGAACAAGCCTAGAAGGGGATTCTTCCCCAGCCTCTAGATGAGAATCCAGCTACCAACACCTTGACTTTGGCCTGTAAGACTAAGCAGAGAATCTAGTTGATCTTACCTGGACTTCAAACCTAACAGAACTGCGAGATAAAAGGATGCTGTTTTAAGCCACTAAGTTTACGGAAAATTGTTATGCAGCAGTAGAAAACTAATACAAAGCGGGATAATCACTTTTATTTTTATTTTTATTTTTAATAGAGGGTCTCACTCCATCACCCAGGCTGGAGTGCAGTGGCATGATAATGGCTCACTGCAGCCTCAACCTCCTGGGCTCAGGTGATTCTCCCACCTCACCCTCCCAAGTAGCTGTGCCGCCATGCCTGGCTAATTTTTTTTTATTTCTTGTAGAGATGGGGTTTCGCCATGTTGCCCAGGCTGGTCTCAAACTCCTGGGCTTAAGCAATCTGCCCACTTCGGCCTCCCAAAATGCTGGGATTACAGGTGTAAGCCACTGTGTCTGACCAACCACTTAAAAAAAAAGAGAGAGAGAGAGAGAGAACTAAAAAAACACCAACACATTAACAGTGGTCTGCTTTGTGATTGGTTTTTCTGCTTATTCATTCTTCGGTGGACTTTCTAGTGCTTTATAAGATGTATGCTGTGCTTTTACAATGAGAGAAAAATATCTTTGTCTTGGCTATCTTTTTCTTTTTAAGATCTAGCCTTCTCAAGGACAGAGGCCGATTGATCTTTATGTTTGGGCAACAGATATTTTAAGAAACAAATTCAACCTTCCAAGCCAACATGGGTTTGCATTTCCAGACGTGATCTCTAATCATAGCAGTACCTCTAAAAGTTTGGTATTATTATGCCAAATTTATAGGTGTTGAAGTGGACTATAAATTGGAAGAGACCCCAAGCGGTTGAGTAACCTGATCTGAGATCCCACACCTAATACGCATGGAGCCTCACAACTGAACCCAGGTTTGTTTGGCCTCTGCCTTTTCCAGCACACTCCATGCTTCCCTCTCTCCAGATCACCCACACCTGCTTGTTTCCCAGTCTCCTGGGGTTTGGGTTCCATCGAGTTACCCTCCTGGAAATAAGCTGGGCAGAGAGTGCCTTGTGATACAAATTCTTCTCCCATGGTGATGGCTTCTGTTTCTGATTCACTTTGTAGACCAGAGGGGCCAACTAATGCTGCTCTTTAACCTCACATTCTGCTTAGCGGCATTGCTGGTGCTGCTCTGCATCCAGCCTGGAGCCAGGAGCTAAGGAGCCTGAGGCAAATGACCAGTCCTTATTCTTGAGAGGTCCCACCCCATGCAGACCAGCAAGCACAGCTCCATTTCCCAACTCCAGCCCTGCCTCTGCTCCCAAGACGGGACCACAGGCAGGCACATGGTCACATTTCATCTCTGGTGACCTCTACACCATACTTAGATATGTCCACCAGAAGCCCGAGTCTCCTTGGTGTCTTCACAACAGGGGAATGGCTAGTTGTGTGAGCAGGGCTCAGATAGCCCTGAGAGGCCCTATGCAGAGGTTGAGAGGGGGTGCACCACTCCCCAACTCACCATCACTCTATGCCTGTGTTTATAACAGATTTTAAACAATTCTTATGCTGTTGACAGCCCCCATAGAAAGGCAGCTGCACGGCCCCTCCTTCCTGAGCTGACATCCCTGTTTAAAGAGGGACATCCGGGTTTTTCTTTTTCCTCTCTCTCCTTTAAAGTGAGGTTTGAAAACAGCATAGAGCTCTCCCAGCCCAGGGCCAAAGCAGGCCTTTTATCATGAGGGGCCCTGCAAGAACCATTTGGAGCGCCCACTTCCTATCCAGGGAGGAAGTGGCGAGGGCTTGACCTCGGACGTACTCTCATTTCCAATCATTTTCCAGCCTGGAATGCGGTGATTCAGTTTCCATTTATAAAGTGAAATTAGCGCCTGTTGAATGCTCTGCATGAGGGAGGGGGTAGGAAGGAGGAAACGAGAACCCCTCCCAAACAATTCTCCCCTGTTTAGCTTGGAGCTGGCCCTGCATGGAAGGATTTCCTCATGCTCAAGGTGTTAGCATCCTCTGTCAGGAAGGCTCTGCTTCATTTTCTCCTGCAGGTTAAATTTTTTTTAAAAAAACATGCTGGAGCTGCCACGTGACTCAGCAGAGATTTGGCTATAATTGAATCTCATGTTTCTACTGCACTTTATGCTTTTCAAAGAACTGTCATACATATTATCTCAGTAGAGTCTCCAAACACCTCTGGGAGGGAGTGGGCAAGGCATCATTGTCCTCATTTAACTTTCTTTGAAGAAAAGCATGTTAATTCTGAGAGCTTCTGTGAAATGGTGCTTTTTTGTGGTCAGGGAGACAACGGCAGGTTCAAGAGACACAGCCTAAATGAGGAATCAGGAGACGGGGGCTTTGGTCCTCATTGGGCCTCCGTCCTCTGTGTGACTCTCTGGGCTTTGGTTGACTCACCTGTGGCCCCAGGTAGTGAGAGAGTCACTGGGAACATGCGCAGCACGTGTGTCAGGAGATAGGATGAACGGCTTATGGATAATTGGTTCTAGAGCAGCAGCTCCCTGGAGCCCTGGAGGAGTCCGTAGAGAGCTGAGGACCCACGCTTCCCCAAGGCTCAGTGACCGAGGGACTGAGAGCTAAATGTACCCCCAGATAAAGTCAGGGTCTTTGAGGGAAGGCCAAGAGGAAGCAGAGCTCTGAAATGGGCCGGGAGAAGTCCTTGCCCTGCCCTCAAGGCTGTGTCCCCTGAAGGGTGACACAGTGACATGTGGAAGGGCTCTGGGGAGCAGGTGAGGTGACCAGGTGCTGAGCAAGTGGCTCCCACAGTCAGAGAACAAAGAGACCACCAAGGAGGGCCATCAGCAAGCCCATCTGAGGGGATGGTCAATGAAAGAGAGAGAGGGTTTGGAAAGGGAGGTCTCCAGGTCCCACCAAGTCCCATGGTGTGAAGTAACGTTCCTGGGGCTGAGCAGCTGGCAGGTGGTGGATTCGGGATTCAGAGAGTTTTTGCCCATCCTCAAGGCCTCCTGTCTGGGCTCTTTCTTCAAATCCTCCAGGGTAAGAATGGCTGATGAGTGTTCTCACACACGTATTCATTCCTGGAGAAGAGGAGACTGGAGTGTCACTGTGGGTCTTCTCTTAGCCTCTTACATTGCACCACTAATCCCATCTTCAGAAGGGCCATCCCTGCAGGAGCTGGGGATGTAGGCACCAGGTGTGTTAGTCAGGGTCTTCCAGATAAATGGAAACAATAGGTACATAGGCATCTATTTAGATGAGAACCTGTACATATTTTCATCCAATTCCTAAAGGATTCTGGTTAACAGTCTGTTCCAGGCACTTCTTTTTTTTTTTTTTTTTTTTTTTTTGAGACGGAGTCTCGCTCTGTCGCCCAGGCTGGAGTGCAGTGGCGGGATCTCGGCTCACTGCAAGCTCCGCCTCCCGGGTTCACGCCATTCTCCTGCCTCAGCCTCCCAAGTAGCTGGGACTACAGGCGCCCGCCACTACGCCCGGCTAATTTTTTGTATTTTTAGTAGAGACGGGGTTTCACCGTTTTAGCCGGGATGGTCTCGATCTCCTGACCTCGTGATCCGCCCGCCTCGGCCTCCCAAAGTGCTGGGATTACAGGCGTGAGCCACCGCGCCCGGCCTCCAGGCACTTCTAAACCACCTTCTTTGGTCTCACTCCCATCTATTCCATTCTAGGTTCTTGAGTTTGAACTGATGGTTAGTTTGTTCCTCATGCAAGACCAATCCTGCTGAATTCAGAAAGAATTATTAACCAGTCACCACACACTATCAAATTTACTTCCTAAATTTCTAGAAAATACCTTCAACAAGTATTTCCTGAGGATGAGGGGATAGAGAGAAATCGGACACCAGACCATTCTGAAATGACATCAGTCCAGTTGGCAGGCAGTGTGTAAGTGACCATGGCGGAGGCTGATGGGTACTGGGGGACAAGGCTATGCCTCTGCAGGGCAGGGGTCAGAGAGGTGCCGTCAAGGACATGGTCTTGAGCTGTCTTGAAGCATACTCATACTCACAAGACCTCAGGTGGGTGACAGGAGAGAACAGGCATTCCAGTCAGATGTGTCAGCAAATGCAAAACCTCAGAGGTAATGAACAGCATGGAAAATTCTAGAAATTCTCAGTAGCTCAATGTACAGTATGGCATGGAAGGAAATGATGATCATCCCATGTTGATCTGTGTCATTTCAAACTCATTTAATGAGTTTTCTTCTATAGGCATATTGGTGAGTAGTCACCATGATGATGTATCATTTCAAACTGATTTAATGAGTTTTCTCCTATAGACATATGGGTGAGTAGAGTCCCTGCCTTCCAAAGCACTTGGAGGGTGCACAGGAGGAGAAGCATTAAGGCTGTGAGCCTCTGGGAGGCTAGTAGTTGTCTGAGTGGTAGGTGACACCTTTCAGTGGGGAGGAAGGGACTGGTGTGCAGGATGTTAAGAATGCATGGTTGGCCGGGCGCGGTGGCTCACGCCTGTAATCCCAGCACTTTGGGAGGCCGAGGCGGGCGGATCACAAGGTCAGGAGATCGAGACCGTCCTGGCTAACACGGTGAAACCCCGTCTCTACTAAAAATACAAAAAATTAGCAGGCGCCTGTAGTCCCAGATACTCGGGAGGCTGAGGCAGGAGAATGGCCTGAACCCAGGAGGCGGAGCTTGCAGTGAGCCAAGATCGTGCCACTGTACTCCAGCCTGGGCGACAGAGCGAGACTCCATCTCAAAAAAAAAAAAAAAAAAAAAAAAGAATGCACAGTTGGCTGCTGGCAGGTGCCTTAGCACCTGATTAGGTGTGGCGCATGAGGGAAAAGGAGGTGTTTAGAACACCTTGTAGGTTTTTGGCCTGGGTCATTAGATGATAGTTGGAACCATCCCTCAAAGACAGGAAACACAGGGGGAGCCACAGGTTTGGGCTGGAGAAGGGACACAGTTCTTGAATATCCATGGTCAGTGTTCAGCTTTGTCACACCTCCCACATTGCTTCTGAAACCAGAGTTCATCCTAATTGAATTCACTGGACTTTCTCCATTATATGTATGCTGTCATACCAATGTATGACACACACGCATATGACAGGACAATTTCATATCAAGAGTGTCCACCATACATGCGCAATTTACCTACCCACGGGTCAGCTCTACAGACATTTCACAGAATGACATCCTGTATCAGTATAAGGGACTGTCAGCTCATCTTTATCACAAAGTCACCATTGTCTCAGCATCTAATGTTCACACCCTGCACAGCCATCTGAGTGGAATTAGAGGGCAACCACAGAGTGAATTAGGTAAGACTTAAATATGTGGCCAGATTCTAAGGCTGATCAAATTTGGGGATGAGCCTTGAAGAGTGAGTTGGATTAATTAGGAAGAAAGGTTGAAAGATATGAAGATGAATTACCAGAAAGACTTTGAAATGCCTTCCTTCTCCCCTGCCCACTGTGCAGGAGCTAGGAGGTAGAGCTTAGGGGAACTGTGGCCATCAAGACTGACAGTTTGCTAGTATGTGCCATGACATTTCCAGCAGAATGAGGAAAGGATGTCAGCATTTCTGCCTCTCCCGTGCCCTTGCCTTAGGATTCACTTAAAATTGCAAGAACTGATCATATTTACCAATTGCTTTTGTCTCTAAACTGTAAACAGAATAGAAAACTTATCAGTTCATTAGAGAAGGCCAGAAGCGTTTTCTGAATTCATGGAAAGTTTGAAAGACAAATGTACTCCACGTTCTTCCTAAGAAACTAGAACATATTTGGTTTATATGTGATCATTTCTGCCTCGTGCAGAAAGATCCTGCAATCATATAGCTCCAAGCTGTTTGTGAGATTCATCCATGTGCATGTGTGGACTTCAGTATTTTCATGTTTAAAGTGTTATATTTTACAATTTATTCATCTATATTCATATTGTTTTATATTGAACCCTCACCACCCCTAGTTTCTCCTCTGAAGGCCAGATTGCTTCAGATCTCTTACACGTATCTTGAGGTATCCATTTGTGAATTTTTTCTTTGGCTATATATAACTAAAAATGGGACTTCTGGCTCACAGAGTATACCTGTCTTCAACCATTGCCAAATTTATTCTCTAAAATAGTTGCATGCATTTGCAGCAATATAAATGAGTCTCCTTTCTTCGTATTTTCACTAACACTTGATGTTGTCAGACTTTTTAATTCTTGCTTGATGGATGAATGTGAAATGGGCACTCTCCTGTTTTTACTTAATAAACATCGTTTGATTGAGTTTCTTTTCTGTGCACCTGCCCTGTGCACACTGTACACAGACCACATCGAAGGGGTCCTACACTGATGTGCTGAAATGAATGTTAATTACCAGCCTTTGCTGAACATTTGCTTATGCTGGACTCTCTCCTATGTCCTTTTCACAGATTATCTCACTTAATGCAACAACTTTAAAAGGGGCGAAACTATTATCATCTCCATTTTACAGATTGTTTTGGTCTTTATGTATTCATACATTCAGCAAATATTAAGTGACCATTCTGAGCCAGCCACAATTGGGTTAGAACCTCAAGCTTCCTAAGAGGGGCAGCTTGCAAGGGCGATTTGATGTTTTTGCCTGCCCGGATCCATCTCCCCTTCCTAATAACAACCCAGTTTCCCACTGGGGAGTTCCATTTCCCTAAATGCATGGTCTTGGTGGAAATCCAGATAAAAACCTTCCACTTTGGACACTTGTGAGCTGGCTCTTCCCTGTCCCACCCCAGTACTGTGGGGAACATGGAATTAGGTGCTGTCTCCCAGGACTTTGAGTACGGCCCCTGAGCGAGTGGGTGAGGGTGAGTGGGAAGGGCTGCAGATTCTGGTGGGCACTGCTGGGGCGGGCAACCCAGACCAGGCTGCCTCTGCTGAGGGAGCCATTGTGTGTCCTGCCGCCTATGTCCTGAGACTTGGAGCTCCCATGGCTCATTCCCTAGTCACTCTCCTTTATGTGAGGCTCCTGACGTCCTTCTAATAAAGTCCCTATGGTTTAAGTTACCCAGAGTTGGTTTCTGTGGTCCATGACAATAACCCTAACTGATATAGAAAGTTTGGATGTGGTTCTGGACCACGTGGGATCAGCAGGAATGAGGACCCAAAATGATTTTGGTGACCCTTGTTCCTGGACTTTCTTTCCTCTTGGATCTTTAAACCATCCTGGCAGGAAGTTCCTCTCTTGCCACATTTTTCTATGGATTAGTGTCTGGGCAGGTCCAACAATTTATTAGCTTTTCATCCTCCATACATGGAACCACAGAGCTGCTTCCCTAGTCTATTAGTCTGTTCTCACACTGCTAATAAAGACATACCTGAGACTGAGTAATTTATAAAGGAAAAAGGTTTAAATGACTCATAGTTCCACATGGCTGAGGAGGCCTTGTCATTATGGTGGAAGGTAAATTAGAAGCAAAGTCATGTCTTATATGGTGGCAGGCAAGAGAGCTTGTGCAGAGGAACTTCCATTCACCACCAGGAAAACAGTATGGGGAAAACCGCCCCCATGATTCAGTTATCTCCACCTGGCCCGCCTTTGACATGTGGGGATTATTACAATTCAAGGTGAGATTTTGGTGGGGACACAGCCAAACCATTATCTCCTGGGTACCTGGGCCTGTGAGGGAAATCAGTCATCATAGAGAAGGAATCAAGCCCTGGTCATCATGGCTGCAGGCTTTGTTCTGACTCAAGGTTCGCTTTTTTTTCTTTTCTTTTTTTCTTTTTTATTGTTATTTTTTGGAGATAGGGTCTTGCTCTTTCACCCAGGCTGGAGTACAGTAGTGTGACCTTGGCTCACTGCAGCTTCAACCCCTGGGCTCAAGCTATCCTCCCACATTAGCCTCCTGAGTAGCTGATACTACAGGTGCACACCACCACAACCAGCTAATTTTTGTATTTTTTGTAGAAATGAGATCTCGCTTTGCTGCCCAGGCTGGTCTTGAGCTCTTGGCTCAGAAGATCCTCCCTCCTCAATCTCCTGAAGTGCTGGGATTGCAGGCATCAGCCACCACGCCCGGCCAAGGTCAGCTTTTCTGGGTATAAACTTCCAGTGGGAGAAAGTTTCACCCTTCCATGGACTATTGCCTATGACCTATTAAACCCAGGGACCTTTTTCAAGTGCAAATAATTTTTTTCTGGAATTCCCACGGGTGAAATAGTTTTTCCTGAGGGACTAAGATCACCCCGTAGGCCTGTATCCCGGAGGTAGTGCCTTCTTTCTAGTCTGTGTTTACTGCGCAGCCTTGTCCTCTGCCCATAACTGTCTCTCTTTACCAGCCTGATTGCGAACTCCCTGAGGGCAGGAGACAAGTTGCTTTCGTCTCTCTCCCCAGCGCCAAGCTCAGGGCCTGGCACAGAGCTTTTCAGTCAAATAAGTGAGTGCAGGTCTCTATTTGCATGACACGAAGGATAAGATTGTACCCAGAGGTGCTTTGTCCCCAGAGGGGCTTTGTCCCCATAGGAGATGGTCATTGGCAAATCTGGGCCCCTAGAATGTTTGGTGGATAGATGTTTGCTGAGTACCCCTAGATGCCAGCATTGAACTGGGTATTGGTGATACTGAATTGAAACTCATAGTCTTTCACCTTGAGGAGCTACGGACCAAAGGGAGAGACAAATGGATACACAAACAATTTTGGTGGCGTAAGAGCTGCCATGGAGCTGTCAGGAATAGATTTTCAGAGATCAACACTTTGTTTTACTGGTGAGGAAAATGAGGCTTAGAGGGGGCCAGGGCTTTGACTATGCAGTGAATAGCAAGCCACAGCTCAAGTCCAGACATCTTTCCTCACAAGGCAGCAGGCTGTCCACCACTCTGTCCTCCCTGGAGCCATTCATGAGTTGATGAAGTTGTTAATTCAAATTCTTACTGAGTGCTAACATTAGCCCCACACTGTGCCCTGTGCTGGGGATGTGGGGGAGCAGGTCCACGTGGACACTGGCCTTGTCTGCAGGAGTTTACAGCCTGGTGGGCAGACAGACATGCAAGGGAATTTTTTTTTTTTTTTTTTTTTGAGACAGGGTTTCCCTCTGTTGCCAAGGCTGGAGTGCAGTGATGCGGTCATGGTTCACTGCAGCCTTGATCTTCTGGGCTCCAGCGATCCTCCCACCTCAGCCTCCTAGTAGTTGGGTCCACAGGTGCATTCCACCACGCCTGCTAGTTTTTAAATGTTTTTAGAAACAAGGTCTTGCTTTGTTGCCAGGGCTGGTCTTGCACTCCTAGGCTCAAGCGATCTGCCTGCCTTGGCCTCCCAAAGTGTTGGGATTACAGGCGTGAGCCACCATGCATGGCCTAGGGAATTTCTTGAATGGTGAATGCTGTTAGGATATCACGATGTTGGGGGAGGGGGACTGCTAACAAAGCCAGAGGGCCTCTACATTCATTCACTCATTCATTTAATTACTTCAACAAATATTTAGTGAGTCAACCACATGCCAGACGTTTTCCACCGTCCTTCCCAGCATATCAATCTCCCGCTTTTGCACACATCTTGACTGAAAGCTAGAGAAATAAAAATTTCTAGTGGCAGAGGAAATTAGCATGAACAAGAGGAATCGATTGTGACATGGAGAAATTACCAGGACTCTGTAACGGGACTCTAATTGCTTGTCTTCAAGCCTTCTGTCGCCAGCTGAGCATCCCATCCGGGTTCCACATGATCACCCTCTTGCATTCCTGTGGTACAGGGAACACAGGGTGGCTGCTGACAAATTTAGTGTGTTTGGGAACAACATTGAGACAACAGGGTTACAAGGGAAGTGAGCTTGGTGCCATCTGCCTGAACCCCCACCCCCGGCTGGGCATAGGGTAGGAAGACCACCCCTTCTGTTCCCCTGAGCAACTGCTTCCTGACCAGGGACCCTGGGGACCAAAGCTCTCTGCAAAGGGCCCCTGGGAATCTTTGATGAGAGCAATGCCCAGTGCAACCATAGATCTACCCAGCTCACGACCACCCGAGGCCATGCCCTGCTGAGACAGGTGCCCCCGCAGAGGAAGCTTAGATCTGAGGGTGATCACTGTAACCCTGGAGTCAGGGCAGGTTTCCTGGAGGAAAAGGGAAATTTGCAAGATGGGCAAATGACAGGTACAAAGAGGGGCAAGTGTCTCCCATGGGGAGGAGACCGTGTGCTGAAGCCATGGGGGTGTTCATTAAGGGAGGGGCCATCGTGGGAGCTGAGGCTGCTGGAGAGTTGTGTCCAGAGCTCCTGACCTCAGATCCTTTGCCTCCACACAGCTTCTGTTCCATGTGCCGTCCTGGATCCCGCCTCCCACAACCCAGACCTGCTGCTGTCTTCCTTTTCTCTCTCTCTGCTGCTTTCTTCCCATTCTCCCAGTCTCTGCCATAAGCTCCAGATTTATTGAAGAGTAAAACATCCTTCCCTGCCCTCCAGGTACCCACAGCTTGGCAAGGGAGACAAACAAGAGAATGGCCCAGGGCAACGCGTGATAAACTATAAAATGGGTGGGAAAATCCAGAGAAAGCAACTTGCTCTACCCTGGAGGTTCAGACTGGCTTCACAGAGAACAGGACATCTGGGCAGGAATTTGTTAGAATGAGGAGAGATGTTTCCAAGCAGAGAGAACAAACTGCCTGGGCCAGGACAGAACCGGGAGACATTTAGAGAATGCAGGCAGTTGCTCAGTGGTTTCTTTTGAAAGGGTGAGGCCATGGCTATTCAACCAGTGATGGGAGCAACACATGGAGATAGAGGAGAGAGACAAGAAAAGGAAATCAAAGAAGAAGAAGCCAGAAAGGCATTGATCATGCACCCTGCTGGGGCCAGCCTCGGGGTTGGTATTCCCACCTGAGTTCAGCAGGTGGAGAAACCAGGGTCTCCCCCAAGCTGGGAGCAGAGCTGTGCTCTCAGGGATCTTTCCAGCCATGCTCCTTGGCTTATAGCTGGTGGGTTTGGGTTTCTTCTGAAATTGCAGAAGCTCTCTGGAGGTTTCTAGGCAGGGCCCTTTGGCCTCCTCTGTTTACCTGGTCTCAGGCCCTGACCTGCACCGCCAACCCTAGGACTCCGGGCTCTCCCTTTCACCCCACCTGCTGGCCTCCCTTCATCCTGCCAGATTCACTGCCACTGGGTGCCCACCCTGTCTGGACAAAGCCAAGGCCCCTCCTGCTAGGCCCATCCTGTGGCCACCTGGGGCTGCGAGAGATAGTTGCCCTTTTCCGCTTGACACTGTGTGTTTGGTCCCCTGCCCCGGGCAGCCCCATGCTCCTCCCTGGCCCTGCCGGCTTCCAGAGCATTTATCAGGGCCTGTGTATGTTTTTCTTGTGTGGGATTTGAAATGATTTCTTTAAACAAGGCCTAAACTGGGATTGATTTCCTCTCTTTATTTAGAGTGGTTTGTTTTGTAATATGGTTCTTCTAACAGTCTAAATTGTGGGAACTTGGGAGAAAAAAAAGAGAATTTTCTGACTTCATATAAATATAAATTACTTTATCTCTCTTTGAAGACTTCCGTGTCTTTTCCTTGAAAAGGCTGGAGCCAAATTCCTTGGGGGTCCTTTTCTTGTCAGAATTGTTATGATGAGAATGATACACTCACCATGAGACTTCCATTCCAGGCTGAGAATTAAAACAACCCTGGCCTTTATTCAGTGCCTTGTACTTTTCTTTCAAAGCACATTCATAGCCATTAATGTGATCTTCACAACATAAAATTCCCCTTTAATTTGATCTTCGGAACAGCCCCAAGAAGTGAGGAGGGAAGACGGACTCACCGCCAGTTGAAGGAGGAGGAAATGGCTTGCCTGTTAGGTCGTGGGCCTGGCCTGGGAGTGACTGGGTTGCTGGTCGAGTAGCTCAATCCCTTGAGTGCTGATTTGATAAATATTTTTGCGTACCAACGATGAGCCAGGCTCCGAGCTGGAAGTGACCATGCAAATGAGCCATTTGACTTTTTGCATTTGCTGCTTGGACTCTCCGGCCTCTAACAACCTGCAGGTTCCCCAGACTATGCTTGCATGCCTCCAGTGACAGGGAGGTCACCACCTATCAGAGTAGACCATTCCAACTGTGGATGGCTCACGTGGTTAGAATCCTTTCTTCCCCTGCGTGGAAACCATCTCCCTGTGTGTTTCATCCTGCCTCCTGGGTGTTCCTTCTTCCCTGAAGCAGGTAGGATCATGTCCCCGCTCCATCCTCTCTTCACTGGAGGAAACAGTCTTTGCTGTTTCCACATGTGAGCTGGGTCATGGTTTCTGAACAAGCTCCAACTTGGCACTGACCTTCCTTCAGGTTCCTTCTCACATGTGTGACCTGACTAGCTTAGCTGGCGTGGGACTGTGTCATCCTTTCTTCTGGGTATTATGACTTGATCAATGTGACACTTACTTGTCTCAGGTTACTTAGAGTCACCACGTTCCTGCTGACCCACATTGAACTGGTGCTGACAAAAGCCCCTCATTCTTTCCTCCTGTACCTTCAACTTGGGTTCTTAGGCTGAGCTGACGGGCAAATCTCCCAGTTAGAGCTGCTTGACTGGACCCTCCAATAGGAGGCCTCCACCCAGCCTTTACAGACCCTGCGGATCCCAACTTCATTGTCATTGAAATTAACATTTTCTCCCAGCTGTGCTCCACCCACGTTTGACCAGCCCACCACCCAATTCCTTGTCCAAGCACTGAAATGGCTGCTGAGGCCTGAGCGCTGGAGAAGCCCTCTGGTTGGCTGACTTTGTTTCATTAGCAAATGATCCTTGCAGCCATGCAGTTTTTCCACCTTGTCCACAAGGAAAACATGACCTACTTTGTCAAATGTCTAGCTTTTTATTTATTTTTATTATTATTATTATTATTTGAGACATGGTCTCACTCTGTTGCCCAGGCTGGAGTATAGTGGCACGATCTTGGCTCACTGCAACCTCTGCCTCCTGGGATCAAGCGATTCCCCCACCTCAGCCTCTGGAATAGCTGGGATTACAGGCATGCACCACCACGCCTGGCTAATTTTTGTATTTTTTGGTAGAGACGAGGTTTTACCACATTGGCCAGGCTGGTCTCAAACTCCTGGCCTCAAGCGATCCACCTGCCTCGGCCTCTCAAGTTGCTGGGACTACAGATGTGAGCCACTGTGCCGGGCCAAATGTCTAGCTTTTGAATGGGTTCATTTCACCTACTGAATCTTACTGATATCCCAGACCAGGGAGCTTGTTAAGAAGGAAATGAAATGAGAAATAACGCATTCTTAAGATGCACATGACCATTCTCAGCAGGGTGCTCCCCTTGTTTCCCCACCCGGGTGTTCACCCATCATCCGTTTACTTGTCTATATGTTCTAAATAGGGTGAGGGTAATACTTTTTTGTCTATGTTGCATGAGGTTAAGGGAAAGAAAGTGATATGGTTTGGCTCCGTGTCCCCACCCAAATCTTATCTCGAATTGTGATTCCCATGTGTCAAGGGAGGGACCTGGTGGGAGGTGATTGGATCACAAAGTGGTTTCCCCCATGCTGTTCTCTTCATAGTGAGTGAGTTCTCACAAGGCCTGATGGTTTAAAAGTGTGTAGCAGTTCCCCCACTCTCTCCTGCCGCCTTGTGAAGAAGGTACCTGCTTTCCCCTTGCCGCTGCCATGATTGTAAGTATCCTGAGGCCTCCCCAGCCATGAGGAACTGTGAGCCAATTAAACCTCTCTTCATCATAAATTATCCAGTTTCAGGTAGTTCTTAGAGCAGTGTAAAAATCGAGCAATACAGGAAGATAACAGAAGAAATTAGAGAAGTAGGTTATAGCCAGAAATGTAGGTCTTGAAGGCTGTGCTAAGGAGTTATTAGGCAGCTCTGTCCTATTTGGAGCAGACAAAGAGACAAGTTGAATGCTTTGCTGATTTTGAATGCACACCTTCTCTGTGCGCACACTTTCTCTTGTCCATAGATGGTTTCCAAATAGCAATTGTGTGAGGCCTGACAAGCTGTGACATTGACAGTCTTGGTTTCCAGATAGCATCTGCAGCGTTCAACCCTCCTGGATAGGGTGACCATATAATTTATTCTCCAAACTGTGACTCTGGGGAGCAAGAAGGGTGTATTAGTAATTATTCTGGGACACCAAGGGTAACCTAGGGCTTCCCTGGACAAAACCTACCCTGGAAAAATCCTGCCCAGCATCCCTTTCAGACACTCGGGAATATTAGGGAGCCTCTGACTTGGAACAGGCAGGAATCGTGTTTCACTTTGACTCCATATGGGGGCTGCAAGGGTAGAGATCGGGGTCTGAGGATTTGGCTAACGGGCCAAATGTTTTGGGTTTGCTAAAGCTTCAGCCACATCATGCCTCGAGCATTTTCCTATCACTCTCAAATTTGTGTACTTTAGGGCAAAGTCATTTCATATGGCCCTAGCACCTTCACACACGGCTCAGTGAAGCCATTCCTGGACAGGCTTCTTGCTGTCGAATGAGCCCTCCCTGTGGAAGGCGCCTCTCTTTGAACTCAGACGCCTGTTTATTTTTGAACTGGAAACCAGAAACTTAGAATTCCCCAGAGCCACAGGCTCAGATCCTTTTTTTCAATGATAACCTGTGGAACTTATAGAGTGGTAGACTTGAGAAATACCCGGGAGGGGAGAACCCGATTGATCATTTTATCCAACCATCTCACATTACTGATGGACAAACCTGGCTTGAAAGACCTGGGTTGAAAGAGAAGAGAGGGATTTGCTGAAGGTCACCTCGTGTTTTCATTCCTTTGCCATTCTCAAGAACATTACCATGCCCGGCTCCTATAGGAAATGAAGCAATGCGTGAGAATAAAAGCCATTTGATCACACACAGCCTCAAGTCACTCACAATTCCGAAAAGCCTTGAGGCTGTGTGCAGACCCGCGCGGCAACTTTTAGAGGTCTCACCTCCATTGCCAAGTGCAGAGCCGAGTTAAAGACTGTTATTATGGAGTCCAAGTGAGGACAAGAAGAGTCACACTCACCATCCAGCAAAGCCAGAGAAGGTTCTCGTAGCACCCAAGGATGCACATTGTGGTCCCCTGGGACGCTCTCTGTGACGATGCCCCCACTGCTCTCCCTACCTTGCTCAGCTCCCTTCTCCCAGGAACATGGTTGCCTGAGTGTCTCTCCCCACCAAGGACCCCTTAAGCAAGGCCTCAGGGAGGTGGCGTGGTGTTTTGGGCTTGAAACCTGATTCTTTCATCTTGGGCAACTTACTTCATGTCCCTGAGACTTAGACTTCTCAATTTTAAAACTGGGGCCATCATAACTCTCTTCTATGTGAGTCGTGGATGCTACGGGACATGATGTATGTAAGAGTGTCTGCTCGCTGTACCCAGTTCCCTGTCAGTGCCTAGTGAGGTTATTATTGCTCTCACTTTCATATGTGGTTTCTGAACGTTGGCACTATTGGCATTCTCTGTTGCGGGTGTTATTCCATGCCTTTTAGGAGGTTCTGCAGCATCCCTGGCCTCCACCAACTACATGCCCTTAGTTTACACCCCCCAAATCGTGACAAGCAAAAGGTGTCTCCAGATACTGCCAGATGTCCTCTGGGGAGAGAAAAATCTCCAACCCCAAGTTGAAACCTCTCTTTTAGTATTACCTGGAGTGCCTAAGATTCCCGATATCATAATGCAGTGAGAAGAATGTGGATTTTGAAGTAGACTGATTCAAGCGAAAACCCAGGTTCTACCAGTCACTACCATGTGGCCTCAGGCAAGACAATTTTTTGCCTTTTTATCTGTAGAATGGGCACAAGAATGGCTCTACCTGCTTGATGTTGGTCAAATGTGACCATGCCAGGCCTGGGGAAGCTGTTAGACCTATGTTCATTTCACTTGTTTTCCTCCTGGAGGTGCTCACCAGGCATTAAATCTCACCAGGCATTAAATCTCACGTGTCCCTGTGTCATTGCAAGGCAGTGCGGATTTCAGAATCCTGAAGCTGAAGCATGTCAAATTGAAACTAGGAGCAAAATGTTTCGAATCTTAATTTTTTGTTTCAATTCTTGAAATATTGCTGTTGTTCAAAAGCATGCATTTCTACATTGCTCATGTGTGGTTTTTTTTTTTTTTTTGAGATGGAGTCTCGCTTTGTGCTCCAGGCTGGAGTGCAGTGGTGCAATCTCTGCTCACTGCAAGCTCCGCCTCCAGGGCTCACGCCATTCTCCTGCCTCAGCCTCCCGAGTAGCTGGGACTACAGGCGCCCGCCACCACGCCCGGCTTATTTTTTTGTATTTTTAATTGAGACTGGGTTTCACTGTGTTAGCCAGGATGGTCTCGATCTCCTGACCTCGTGATCTGCTCGCCTCGGCCTCCCAAAGTGCTGGGATTACAGGCGTGAGCCACTGAGCCCGGTGCTCATGTGTTTGAATGCATTTGGTTACTTCGTTTATTCTCTTCCCTGTAGCTTCACAAGTAATATCTCTCTGTCGCAATTCTTGTGCTCTTTAATAAACTGTTGTGGTATCTGAGTCAAATTTAATCCTTACAACAAGTCAGGTCATACTTGTCCATTTTTAAGGGGAAATGAAGCCCAGAGCGGGGAGTAGGTTCCTTAAGGCTGCACAGCAAGCCAGTGGCTTGCTTGGCTCAGAACCAAGGCTGCTGGCTCTTCGGACATCCTCTTGTGCCTGGTGCCTCGGGACTTGGTGGTGGCTGTGGTGAGGCGTGTGGGATGGCCACGGTGTGGTGAGGGGAGGGAGAAAGAAGGAAGGCAGGACATGTATTAGTTTGCTAGGGCTGCTGACACAGAGTACCAAACACTGAGAGCTTAAACAACAGAAATGAATATTCTCACAGTTCTGGAGGTAGAAGTCCAAGATCAAACCGCCAGCAGAGCTGGTTTCTGCAGAGGCCTCTCTCCTGGGCTCATAGATGGCCGCCTTCCCCCTGTGTCTTCACGGGGCCTTCCCTCTGTAGTCTGTCCAAATTTCCTCTTCTTATAAGGACACCAGTCAGATTGGATTCAAACCCACCCCTAGGGCTTCATTTCCCCCTAATTACCTTCTTTAATGGCCCTATTTCCAAATATGGTCACTTTCTGGGGGACGGGGGCTTAGGACTTCGACATAGAAATTTTGGGGGGCACAGTTTCGTCCATTACAGGAAGGGAGGAGGGAATGTAAGGGAAGACATTGGAGGGAACTCTGGGGAAGGAGAGAGGAGAGGAGGAAGAGACTGGGTGGAGAAGGTCTGGGACACAAGGGTGACCCTGGTGAGCTGGGGGCGAGTGGGGGGTGAGAGGGCCCGGCAGGGGCTGGCAGTTTCTTTCTCTGTCATCAATTTCTCTTCCCAGGAGTCTCCTTCCCAGCCGCTTGCTCCTTAGGTTTGAATCTCTCCTCTTTCTTTGCCTTTCCCAGCTCTCTCCTTCTGCTGTCTTTGATTCGGTCTCTCTAGAACTCTCAGCCTCTCTCTCTACAAGACAGCAGAAATCTCGGGGGAGTTGGAGAGGGAGGCAGTGAGGATTTTCTGTGTGTGATTATTTTAGTAAGCTAGCCCAGGTTTTCACCCAAACCCACTGTAAATAAATGCTGTCCTAGAAGCTGGATCCGCTGAGAGCGCCTATCTATCCCAGCTCTGCCTGATCCTCTTTCCTCGGCTTGGCTTCTCCGTCTCCAGGCCTCATATCTCCCAGTGCAGAGCCAAGCAACATCGTCCTTCCCACCTCCACCATCCTGCCCCAAGGTCAGTACGTTGTGGCTGTAAAGGAAGGAGGGTGTAAAGGAAGCAAGGCGACTCTGTCCATGTCTGTCCTCCCTGATAGCAGACGCTGTGGGCCTTCCATGCCACCAGGACACAGCTCCCTCATGCACACATGGGGACACTGAGGCCTGGAGAGGAGGCGTGGCTGGTCAAGCTGGCACAGCAGACACCCACACCCGTCAGCTGACCCATCCCCTCTCTCCTCTCTCTCCCTGAGACCACCACCCTGCACGTTCCCTCCCTCTGCTCCCTTCCTCCGTCTCCTGGCTCATGCAGCAGGTCAAGCAGCCGTGGACGGGCGGCTGTGGGCTGCTGTGTTCTGCAATGTGCACCCAGCATTCAGGGCCCAGAGCCTGCTGCCCAGACCCCAGGGCCAGACTTCCAGGAACATCCCTGGAAAGGGAGGCAGCCTTGAAAAGTCCTTGATTTACTGAAGTTGGTGCCCAGAAGGCAGTGCTTTCTGCAGGAAGAGAGCTTGTCCAGGCTGTGAGCAGGTGAGCAGAGACGTCTGCAGGAGAAAAGGCATAGGCCAGGCCTCAAGGACTGTGTCCCACAGGCTGCTGGGAGAGGAGCAGGGAGCAGAGAGAGAGGGGGGCCTGGAGCTTGGAAACCGGCAGAAGAAGTCAGGAAGGATTGTGAAGAGGGGGTCTGTATTCTTTTCCCACAGCTTCCCTAACAAAGTACCATGAAGTGGGGGGCTTAAAATCACAGAAACTTCCTCCCTCACAGTTCTGGAGCCCAGAAGTCCAAGTTCGAGGTGGGAGTGGGGCCAGGCTCCCTCTGAAAGTTCCAGGGGAGAATCTGTCCCATGCCTTCCTCTCCACTGCTGGTGCTGCTGCAACCCTTGCTGCTCCTTGGCTCGCGGATACATCGCTCCAATCCCTGCCTTCGTTGTCACCTGGTCCCCCCAGCCCCACACTGTCTGTCTCTGTTGTCTTCTCCCCTTTTTACAAGAATACTAATCATATTGGATTTAGGGTCCACCCTATTCCAGTTTCCAAATAAGGTTGCATTCTGCATTCCTGGGAAGAACATGAATTTGGGGGTGCTCTTCAACTCAATCCAGAGTCTAAGGGAAGCCAGGTGGGTGCAGTCTTGCTCAGGCTTCTCTGGACGTGCAAAAATAAGGTCCCAGAAGACAAAGCTCACATTGGGGCCAGGCTGACATAGGTGTCTGGGCTTTCCCTGCAGCAGGTAGATACCTGCAGAGTCTGTGGGTCTCCACACAGGGACGCACACTCCAAGAAAGGCCCCAGGGCAGCCATGCCTCCTTGTGATTCTTTGCGAGGGGAGGGAGCTGGTCAGTACTCTGTCTTGTCTGTGATCTGTTGCTTGGGATAAAGGGATCAAAACACCATCTGTGCCCCGAGCTTGTGTTTGGTACCAACCTGCAGGCCCCGGAGGATCTGTGTGGTTTGGTTGGATGTGCTCAGCGTGTGCCCACCTGGAATAAGACTTACCACTCCTGGGGATAAGAACCCATTTCCTGAAATGAGAACAGTCTGGCCAAGGTCCATGTGCTGCCTCACTTTCCTGAGTAGCCTGGGAACTCACCAATGCCTGCAGAGCTCAGCACCTCATGAGCACAGATGAAGGGTGGCCATGGTGAGCCACGTGACTCTGGGTGAGGCAGAGCCCCTCTCTGGGCCTCCATAGTTTGGGGGTTCTGGAGGTGGCTTCTAAGCCTCCCACCAACTTGAGTAGTAGAACCTTGGATCATTGCAACAGTACCATTTTTTTTTTCTCTGCAGTGGGCTATAAGTTTGCAAAGCCTTTTTAAACATTTTGTCTTATTGAATCATCTTATTATTCTCGGGCCACAGTGGACAGGTGCAATTTTCATGTTTCTCAAGATAGACAGCCTGAGGCCCCGGGTCTCACTGTCAGGTAGGTCAAAGCTTTGAGATTAAGTCCTGTAATGCCTTATTTCAGTGTCCCAGGTCCCCAGATATTTCCCTATTAAGTCACTCATGGGACACCTGTGTGTTGAGTGCCTGTTCTTAGTCAGGCACTGATCTCAGCATGGGACACCATGGAAGTGAACACTGACAAAAATCTGCTGTCACCGGGTGTGGTGGCTCATGCCTGTAATCCCAGCACTCTGGGAGGCCGAGGTGGGCGGATCATGAGGTCAGGAGATCGAGACCATCCTGGCCAACACAGTGAAACCCCGTCTCTACTAAAAATACAAAAATTAGCCGGCTGTGGTGGCACGTGCCTGTAATCCCAGCTACTTGGGAGGCTGAGGCAGGAGAATTGTTTGAACCTGGGAGTCGGAGGCTGCAGTGAGCCGAGATCACCACTGCACTCCAGCCTGGTGACAGAACGAGACTATGTCTCAAAAAAAAAAAAAATCTCTGCTGTCTTGGAGTTCACATTCAAGAGAAGAAAACCAACAATAAACACACAGATGGTATGTCACACAGGGAAAAGAAGGAGAGGGACAGTGACCCTCTCAGAGCCAGAGGGGGACTGTTGTCGCATAGAGTGTGATGTGGACAACCTCTCTACTAAGGTGACTTTTGAGTGGAAACCTTCAACCCTTGTGAGGGTAGAAGCCAGGTGGCTGCATGAAGGAAAAGCATCCCAGGTGCTGAAGGCCCTGGGAAGGGAACAAACAACACACAGGGAGGCCAGCGGGCTCACACTGAGAGTCTACACTTGAGACCTGTAAAGCAGGGCTCTCTTTTGGTTTCCCTGGGCCACGTTGGAAGAAGAATTGTCTTGGGCCACACATAAAATACACTAACACTAACGATAGCTGAGGAGCTAAAAAAATTGCAAAAAATCTCATAATGTTTTAAGAAAGTTTATGAATTTGTGTTGGGCTGCATTCAAAGCTGTCCTGGGCCGCTGGGCCTTGGGTTGGACAAACTTGTGCAAAAGAAAACAGGTGTATCTTTTATTACATATTCCAAACACCACAGATATTTTGAAAATATAAGTATGTCAACCATTGCTTTAAAACTGTGCCATCTATTGCTCTCTGGGAACTTCCCCTTCTTGAGACTCAGCTCTGGTCCATCATATTGGAGGATGCCGAATCCTGATAAAGGATTTCTGGGCAGCTCTGAACAGAGGACAAAAGAGATGGAGATGAGCCTCCTGTGGTTGGAGTCACTAACACAGTCACATGGTGTCATTGAATGCCTGCTGAAAACACTTGTCCGAGCAGCGCTCTGGAGCATAGACTGAGCCTTTGTGATGGTCATAGCTGGTGGCCTGTGCAGGAATGAGTTAGCGTCCCTCCAGGTGGGTGCGGAGGAGGAAATCCAGCCCCACCCTGGGAGACCTCCTGGGTTCATCCTGGTCTAGCATGAATGACTCTGTCTTGGATACACCAGGCTTCCTTCCCCTTTCTGCAGTAGAATTCATCGAATTCTGCCAGTGCATTAGAGATGTGGGCTTAAGAAAATCCAAATGACATCAATCAACTAGTGATGAACAAATATTTGCAGAGCCCTTCCTCAATGTCACACCCTCAGTTTGGAGCTATAGTTTAGAAGAATATGGGGATTAATGAAACCTGGCTGCTTCTGTTACATTCAAGAGGAGAAAACCAACAATAAACACACAGATGGTACGTCAGATGGGGAAAAGAAGGCAGGGGGAGAGGGGTAGGGAGGAAGACTCCCCACTCCTGGGGGATTCGCTGCGGAGACAAGATTTATGTTCAGGAAAAGTTAACATGCAGGAAAAGTAGTTACAATATAGCTCCTTAGTCTGAACCATGACTAGATAATCATATGGTGAGCCTTTAAATGTACCTGTGGGATACGGAAAGAAAGGACCTCCTTGTGTCCTAACCCATGGAGCAGGGGGGTGCAATAAAGTACTGTGGGTGACAGAGTTATTTGAAGGGGTGATGAACTTTGCGGGTGAGATGGCCTGAATTATCAAGTTCAATAGATAAGGAGGGTGAGGCCTAGAGGGGATGTTTCTCACCCAAGGTCACACCCAGAGCCAGTGTCCAAGTGGGACTAGGGCCCAGGTGGCGTCCTCGGGTTCTTCCAGGCCTGCCTCTTGCCTCCTAAACATTTTCATCTGTTTCTGGATATTGGTGGCTCCATGAACTTTGGGCGATCTCAGCGTTTGGTTTTCAGGTCTGTGACTGGAAGGCAGAAGGGATCTGCTGACTCCACCTGCAGATGGACTGAGTCCTTCTCGTGCCCATCACCTTACCGCTAAGGTGTAAAGGACTCAGGAAAGGGACACAGGAGCTGGGTCAGGGTAGCTGCAATCGATTGCTTGGACAAGAATGGACCAATGACACTCACAGCTGACATCATGGTGGTGACTTTTTATGAAAGTCAGGCCAGAGCAGACACAATGAAAGTTAAAGCATTGAGTGTGAAGTCTTGTCTTGGAGTCAAAAAAGCTGAACCAACTAGCTCAGATTGGCAGGGGGTGATGGGGATATATGGCAAGCACAAGGGTATGAGAGAAGGACCCTAGAAGGTTCTAACTAAAATTAACCTCAATTTTGTTTTATTTTTTTTAAGGAGAAATGTGGTTTCACTATGTTGGCCAGGCTGGTCTCAAACTCCTGACTCAGGTGATCCACCTGCCTCAGCCTCCCAAAATGCTGGGATTATAGGCGTGAGCCACCATGCCCAGCCAAATTAACCGAGATTTTATGGGCCAGCTGTGTATGGGGGCAGTCAGTTAGCTAATGTGACTTCAGGCTGGATTGCTAGAGATTCAGTGCCTAGAACAAGAAAGATGATGCTCTTATTCTATTTGTGCTGGTCTGCCCACTCCTGGAACATTGTTTTCAGTTGTTCAGAGGAAGAGTGGACAAATTAGCATATCACGAGAAGAAGGGGCCAAGGGGGGCAAAGAGACAACAAGTATTCCCTTTGAAAAACTTCGGAAGGAAGTGAGGGTCTCATCCTAGAGTGGAGGTGGGCATACCAGGAAGAGGAGATCTACTGTGAATATCCGTCAGGATGAGAGGTAACAGTTGTGTTTTGTACAGGCCAAGAGAAAGACAGCTTAGAGTTTGCCTCTCGTGGTAATGACCTTCATGTCTCTGGAAGCACTTGTATGAGGGCTTAATCATAAGAGATGCCAGAGAAGGGATCGCTTCACATAACGATAACAATAGTAATAGCTAACACTTGTTAGTTGTTACTATATGCTGTGTACACTTTACGCCAATTAACTCAATTTTCATAACGACCCTATTAGGTAAATACTATTATTATCCTCATTTGACAGAGGAACAGAGGGTTATTAACTTGCTCAGGGTCCCACAGGGCTTTGACACCAGGCAGTGTGGCTCCATAGGCTGAGCTCCTGTAGTGCATGAAGAGCATTTGTGCAAAAGACCTCTAAGATTTGTCCCATTCCTGAGACCCTGAGGTTTCAGGGAGTTCCCTGCTGGGACCATTCCCCAGTTATTTACTTCCTTGTAATAGGTCATGCTTAGCGTAAGGCCAAGGAGACAAGACACTGCTGACTCATTCTTTCCCAGCTGTGCAGGCTGGGCACAGAGCCAGGCTGCTTGTCCAGCCCTGGGGCAGATGCCGGCTGCTGCGGTTTGGCAGTGGGTCAGCAGCTGGGATGAAGCCACAGAGTCTGACCTGTGAGGAGGGTGGTGGGTCCACAGGAACCCAGGCTCTGCAGCCCTTCTGAGATGGGCGGATCTGGGCATAGGAAAGAAATGCAATCAGGAATGCAGCAAGGCAGAGTTGAAAAGTCCTGTGAAGACTGTGCTGAGCATCAGGGTCGGGTAAGCCTCCTCTGGGGGTTGCATAGGAGCTGCTCACAATCATCCCAGTATTATTCACATCATCTGTATTTAGTGGCACCTCCTTGGTGCCAAGGTGTGAGCCATGGCCCCGGGTAGCACAGCCTCCTGCTTCCCAGCTGCTGGAGGGATTGCCCTGATCCCATGCTTCTCCAAGGTGGTCTGGGGGAAGCAACCCAGCAGCAACTGTAGGAGCTGCCCAACTCTCCCACTGCCTCAAGGGCTGAAGGGATTAATTTCATGGCATACGTGTGTCCCCCTAGATAAGCTCTGCTGCAAAACACAAAAGTGGCCATGTTCTCTCCCAGCACTTGAGCTTGCCTTGAGACTGAAATCCAAGTGATGCCCCTCAGGCTATCACCTCTGGTGGATGCCCCTCCAGCCTGTCTTACCCATGTCCTTCTTGGGCCATCAGCCTTCTGTTACCTGCTGGGATTGTTCCCAGTCTGGGACACCATACCCCAGTTCCTCACCTGCCTGACTCCTGTGGGCCCTTGGAGTTAGCACAGGTTTCACCTCTTCCAAGAACCTTTCATCTTGTCAGAGCATTGGCCAGGCAGCCCCGGGATCCCTGGTTGACTCTTCTGGGTTCCCTGAGGACAGGGCTGTTCCTCATCTCTGGAGTGCCAGCCCCTGCAAAGCAGTTGGATAGAAACGCAATCGTTATTGGTGACAATTTCTCACAGTTCTACAGCTCCTTACGGTTTATAATGCATTTCACACTTATTCTTGCATTTGAGTTTTGCAGAATTTTATGTGTGTTCCTTTCTCTGTCGTCACTGAGTGCTCACTCTAGGCAGCCCTCTGCTAGGCGCAAGTGGCAGGATGGAGGAGCGTGCCAAGGACTAGGAGATTACATGGAGAAGCTAACATTAGCCTTAGTGCTTCTTTGCCATTTGGGGAAGCAGATTTTGGAAGCTGTCACTTCCAAGGTGGAGTTCTGGGAAGTGTTTGGGCTTCCCCTTAGCAGGTGCTCCCTAAATTCTAGGCACTCCCCTCCAGCACTAGAGCTTTGTATTCTGACCCCTGACCCTCACAGCCCTTTGCCTTTGATCAATGTATTTTCTCAGACTGGAACCTCCTTCCTCTGCTTTTCCCTGTTTATCAACCTAGTTTAGTTGCCCCTTGCTTCAGACAACCTTCCCTGTCTCTTTCCCTGCAGCCCCCGGAGTACTGTAAGGCCCTCCACCAACAGACACCTTTCACTTTATTGTCCTGAATCACAGGTTTAAGCTTAAGCTGGGTTCCCTCCATTAGATCTCTGGAGATCCAGAATTAGGGTCAGATTTATTTCTGTTTCCCTGCACAATATCTGTTACATAGCAGGTATTGTGTTGGAGAGGGAATGAATGGATGGATGAATGAATGAAGAAACTGAATTGAGTCCATCTCAGCTTCTCCAACAAGGACAGAAAAGAAACAGCTCAGGAGACGTAATCTTATAACATGGGGTTTCTCTGTAATTTGCATAAATAACCCACTCTACTAGGTTTCACGCCTCTTGGGAGACCTACCAGCTGCCTGCCTCTCACTTCCAGTTTCCAAAGAGGAAGGAAGGTTTCTACCAGCCCAGCTCAGCTGGTCCAGGGACTAAATTACCTTCCCATCACTGAGCCCCTTTCTCATTATGCCAGAGGAAGATCACTACTGCCTGTCCATTTGGGCGGCTTATCCACGTGGCCTGGTTCCAGGAGCCATCTGTGTGATGTCATTCCCAATACGATTTGAAACTTCCAGCATCTGCAGCCCCCACTGGTGTTGAATCATAGTGAGACTGGCATTATCATCACCTCCACTTTACAGATGGGAACTTATCATGGTGAGGGTTCTAGAGATGGGGTGGGGCCGGGCCCTGTGTCTCCAAACGAGCCCAGTGTATCTCTTGAGGCTGGCCTCTCCCTCTCCCTGGTACAAGCCAGGGCTTCAAAATCCAAAAGATCTTTCTTCATCTTTTCCAACCCACTATGACCCAAATATGCATCTTCCTTTAAGGAATGTCTTAGATTTAAAAAAATTAAAAACTCAAAAGCTTCTGAGGCATCTTACCTGAGCTTATCAACATCTTTCCCCCATTCCTTCTGATATAACTACTTGGGCTGACTTGAAGCCTCACTTAGGTGCAGCTGCAATGGTGTGAGGTTTTTGTTGTTGTTATTGTTTTTGAGATGGCGTCTGGCTCAGTCATCCAGGCTGGAGTGCGATCTTGGCTCACCGCAACCTCCGCCTCCTGGGTTCAAGCAATTCTCCTGCCTCAGCCTCCCGAGTAGCTGGGACTACAGGCATGTGCCACCACGCCCGGCTAATTTTTTTGTGTTTTTAGTAGAGATGGGGTTTCACCATATTAGCCAGGGTGGTCTCAAGCTCCTGACCTTGTGATCTGCCCGCCTTGGCCTCCCAAAATGCTGGGATTACAGGCATGAGCCACCGCGCCCGGCCGGTGTGCGGTTTTATTTGAATGGAGCTCCCGTTTGAAATAAAAGCTCTATGATCTAACCTCTCCTGGGCCTCCTGCCTTGCATCCCTAGGGGAAGTTTTGGGGCATAAAAGTCCAATTTCTTTTCGTATTGGACGCTTGGATGAGAGAAAGAGAAACGAAATCCTGGCACTGAAAAAAGCAGAGACAACCAAACCCAATTATTCCTACTAACTGGGAAGGAATTCCATTTGAGTTAGTGGTTCCCAAACTTGTCTGATGATAAAACTTGCTCGATTGGAACCTTTATGTCTGGACTCTGAAAAACCTACATTTTAAAAATTAGAGATTCCCTCCCCAAATTTTATCAACAGGGAAGACAGGGAGGAAAAAAGTTTGAGCTATAGACTTAATTCATAACACCTTCTTCTTAGACTTGAGAGATTCTTTAGGCATCTATCGTAATGATTTGATAAGACCGAAATGGAAGGAGTCCAGTTAAAGCAAGAAAAAACATCAAACATGCTGAAGATTCTCCACCCTTCATTTTAACATAATTTATTATTTTACAAACACTTTCATAGCACTTACTATGAGTCAGACTTCATGCTCTGCAAATATTTGCTTATTTAATCTTCAGAGAGGCTTGCAGAGGTCCGATGGGGTTAAGTCACTTGTCCAAGGTCACATAGTTATGAGTGGGGGAGCCGGGGCCCAGACTCAGGCCGTCTGGCACCAGATTGGTTGATATAAACCACGCAGCTATATGTGTTTTAAAAAACCTCTTTTCACTTGGCCACAGAACAAACCCTGTCTTCATAATCATTGTGAAGTAAATGATTGAAGAGCCTTGTCTGAGTGATTTCAAATATTTTGCTGGCGGGGTCCAAATTAGCGATCCTGTTATTGTACATGGAGCGTGGTCTGACTTTCTCTTTTGAGGGCAAAACATGCCTATTGTTATGGCAATCCCAAATGCTGCATAGAAGCTTTAAAGAACAGATTCTAATCCCTTTGTTTCTCACTCCAAATGTTGAAACAAACCTCAGAGCTCTGCTGATTCCTGACAGATTTGAGTCTCTCTGCGTTTCAAATATTTCAAACCAGCTTGGGAAGCAAACACATGATATTCTTCTTTCTCTTGCATGGTTTATTTTTAAAGCATGCATCTGGCTGCTTTTTCATTTCCCAGAAGGTGGAGGGAAATTACTCTACAGCAATGGCTGGGTGTTGGATCGCAGCTTCTCCCCACAAGCAGGAGGCGACAACTCCGTCCAGGTCCCAAGCATGACCTTAGCCTGTTTCCAGTCTGAGCCCTTGGTGAAGAAACCTCTGACCAGCAAGAAGCTGGGCTTCTTGCACATGGCTGGGAAAGAAGTTGCTGGTGGCTTTTACATGTTTATCATCCCTGAGGAGCAGTCTAGTTACTCTCTGATCATTCCCCATCAGCTCAGAGAGCCCCTTTCTGGCTCAGAAAGCTCATTGTCACAGTGCCACAAGCATTACTGAGCATTTGCCATGTGTCAGACCCTGGGCTAGACATGACTACACAACTCTACAGACCAGGCATTATTAGCCCCCGTTTTTCAAAATTGAAGACTGGGGATCAGGGGATGTAAGTATTCTACATGCCTGAGGCTCTGCAGTGCGTGAGAGCAGAAAGGAAGGCGACTGGAGACCAGGCTTGACACCTCTGCTCCCTCCACCACTCCAAGTAGTGAGCAGGCATTCTTATCTAGCATTCTTAATATAGCACCCTGGGTAGTCTCTGCAGGAGCAAATGAGCAGCAAATGTGTTCAGGGCAGCTGGGAAAGACTATTTGTAGTCTGAGAACTTGTGGCTTGATTATATGTGTTGCTTCACAATTTTCTTGGAGGAGCCTAAATCCTGCAAGGAAGTGCAAGGTGTGAAATTCAAATAGCCTTTTGGGATTCCAAATACACTTTCACTAATAGCCTTCATCAAAGAAGAGCATGTGACTCCAAACAGGTGGTTGATGTTAACCCAGTAGCATCCTGCGGTTGCTAGTTATTTTCCCCAAGGAGCTGTAGCTGAAACTTTCGTGTACAGCAAATGGCAAGAGAGCTGTGGCTTGAGATATGGCTTTCATCAGGCCCCTTTTCTCCATCCCAGATGCCACTACATTCCCTTGGTTCTAATCATTGAAATATCCTCCTTCAGCCTCCTTCTATCCCTGAGTGCGTCCCCTTGGCTCCAGTGTCCATGCTGGCTGCCAGGTGACCTTTCTGAAAACAAATCTGACCATGTCACACTCCTGCCTCACACCTTTTGATGGTGCCTCACTACCCTCAGGGTCAAGTTCAAAGTCCTTAGTGTGGAGTACATGGCCCCTGATCATTTGTTCCCCAAAAGCCCTGGAATACCTCGTGTCCTTCTTCATTCTCCATGCTCTCTGTCTCAGCCAGAATGAATTGAGCTATTTAGTTATTCTTGTATCTCCTTGTTATTTGAATAACAGTATCTCCCTGTTATTCAAACATGCTGTGCTCTTTTAATGCTTCTGCATCTTTGCACATGCTATCCTTTCATCCAGGAATGCCCTGTTGCCTAGCTAGCATGCTTGTCCCTGCTTACTGACAACTCAAGCGACCCAGCTTCTCCTGCCTCCCCCAGGCAGAGGTCTCATTCTTCTCTCCTGTGTGTCCCAAACACCCATACAAGACTCTGTCATAACACACACCACATCATGTTGTAGCAATCGCTTAGGTGTGTGTCCCCTGGGTGGCTGGAAGTGAATCTTCACCATCCCAGCACACAGTCTAGGCCCAACACAAGTGGTTAGGAATTGCTTGGTGAGAAATGTATAAATGGAAGAATGAGTACATGAAGGAAGGAATGCAGACATAAGCAAGGCATTTGCTGGAGAAAGGCAACAATAATAGCAGCACTAAGGCATTGGGGCTCAACAATTTTATTTATTTATTTATTTATTTTTGAGATGGAGTCTCGCTCTGTCACCCAGGCTAGAGTGCAGTGTCGTGATCTCAGCGCATTGCAACCTCCACCTCCCGAGTTCAAGAGATTCTCATGCCTCAGCCTCCCCAGTGCCTGGGATTACAGGCACCACCATGCCCAGCTAATTTTTTGTGTTTTAGTAAAGGTGGGGTTTCACCAGGTTGCCCAGGCTGGTCTTGAACTCCTGAGCTCAGGCAATCTGCCCGTCTTGGCCTCCCAAAGTGCTAGGATTACAGATCTGAGCCACTGTACCTGGCCTTCATAGGGT
Organism: Homo sapiens; assembly: GCF_000001405.40. Taxonomy (NCBI): domain Eukaryota; kingdom Metazoa; phylum Chordata; class Mammalia; order Primates; family Hominidae; genus Homo; species Homo sapiens. The sequence continues at coordinate 15,736,569 of NC_000002.12, forward strand.
TTTATTGTTCAAAGTTTCCTGCCTACTAAGTGACAGAGCTGGGGAGCCAATCCGGATTTAGTTGGTTTGAAAGCCCGGTCTTATAACTACTTTATGCTCAGTTGCCTGCCTGGCTGAACTCAATCCCACACCCCCTGTCTGTAGCTGAATTGGGCCACACTGCAAAAGACAGCAGAAGAGGGCAGAGGCTTCCTGTCTCCCACAGTGGGCCCAGCAGTGCCCCTTCCCAGATCTGGATCAGTTGGATCCATGTGGGACAAAGATGTGTGGGTAAAGGTGGATGGAAGAGACAGGCCAGAGTGGAGGGTTTGTAGGAGGCCATCTGCTCCTGGCAGCTCACTGGTGTCTGGTTCTGAGCTCCACTGGCAACTGCGCAGCATGGGGTGCTGAGGAAGCCTCACCTCAGAGAAGCACCCAGTTGATCACAGAATACTTTTCTGGCTGCAGGAGATTTTAATGCAAATTTGATTCTCTTTTTGCAGCATCATTGGGCTTGATTTTTACCATACCAATTCCCTTAAGAACAAAAGAAATGAGTGCCAGGATATTTGAAAAGTGTATAACAGTGAGTATGTGTATGAAGGGATCCCTGGATAGAGCTCAGATAATATTAGTGGGAAGTGGTTGAACAGCACTTAATTAATTAACAGGATTTAATGATGTTATAGCAGAGACTAGCTTTCATCATTTTTCTCTGTGGGCACACAGCTATACATTGCCCCGTCTCCCTTGCAACTAGATGGGACCAAGGATAGAAGTCTTACCCAATGGAAATGTGAATGTTCTCAGCCACTGAAACCAAACCAAACCAAAACAAAAGCCCTGCACAACCTTCCATGCTCTTTCCCAAAGTTGACAACCCTAGAGGTTCAGTGCTGAAGGTGAAAGTCGCAAGATGAAAGGAGCCTGGATTCCTGAATCACTCTATGGAGGAGAGATGTCTACTCCTTGAGACCTTGCTTATTTCTGTACCCTAGTAGTTTGCACAATGTCTGGCACAGAGCAGATGCTCAATAAATGTTTGATAGATGATTGAATTGTGTAAAATCTCATGAAGCATCTTCATGACACTTGATCCTTGCAACTATGTGAGAGTATTAGTACTATGCTTTTTGACATATCTGGTAACCAAGACTTAGAGAATTAATTTATTGCATAGCTAATAAATGTTGGGCTTGTTTCCCTGAGCAGTACTGTGGCCTCTAGGGCAAAGCTGGTGTGACATTTAATCCATTAACAGCAACAAGGCAGGATGGACTTTTGGCCTGAAGTTTAGATATGACTTGGTTAAGAGGGAGAATGGACCCAAGGGTAGTGCCACCCAATCGTTGGTCCCTATTAAACTGCAGACATATCAGAATCACCTGGGAATTTTTAAAGTATAGTTTTCTAGGCTCCACTCTGGAGACTGTCTTTTAGTAGGCCTAGAATGAGGCTTTGGAATCAACGTCTCTAAAAGGGACTCCGAGGGATTCTATAGGTAGCCAAGCCTAGCAACCAATTTGTAGAGAAAAGAGCATGCCCTTAGGGACCAGATGAAGCTTCAGATCCCAGCTCTGCCACTTACTGGTGGTAGGACCTTCAGCATGTGACTTGACCATGCCGAGCCACAATTTCCACATCTGTAAATTGAGGATCACAACTTCATCCTCACTGAGATTGTGCGGATTAAATGATACGGTGCAGATAAAGCCACAGGCAGCAGGAGGTGTCTCCCCTCTGGGGGTCTGGGGCCTGCAGGACATTCCTCCCCGTGGGTATTCTCCACTTGCTGCTCCCCATGAGGCTTTCTGCTTTCCTAGCTCTCAAATCACAGAGCTCTTCTTTTTTAGTAAACACTGTTGGGGAAGACCTGCAATGGCATTCCACACTATGCGTGCTTGGCTGGGATAAAGAGGACCAAGTGGCTCTAGCGTGTTCGCTTACTAACGGGAAAGAATGACTTCATTTGCTTGCTGTCTTTTAAATATAGTTCAATTTTTAATTATTTTCTTTCATTGTAAATTAGTATACAAAGTTGATCTTGTGTTTGTGTGTGTATGCAGTTCTATAGATCTTAGCACATGTATGGATGTGTGTGACCATGACCACAGTCAGAAAACGGAATGGTTCCTTCATCCCCAAATTTTCTCATTCTGTCCATTGCTAGTTACCACCACTCCCCCTACTCCCACCACTGCTGATTTGTTCTCAATCACTGTAGTTTTGTCTTTTTGAGAATCTCATATAGGTAGAAACATACAGTTTGTAACCTTTTGGGACTAGCTTCTTTCAATCCGCATAACGTGTTTGTGATTCCTCCATGTTGTGGTGGGTTTTTAATAGTTCCTTCATTCCTTCATTTCTTTTTTTTTTTTTTTTTTTTTTTTTAGACTGAGTCTCACTCTGTCACCCAGGCTGGAGTGCAATGGCGTGATCTTGGCTCACTGCACCTCTGCCTCTCGGGTTCAAATGATTCTCCTGCCTCAGCCTCCTGAGTAGGATAGTTCCTTCATTTCTATTGCTGAGTGGTATCCATCACACGCACCCTGCTTTGTTCATCCAGTCCCATTAGAGAACATTTGGGTGGTTTCCAGTTTTCGGTGATTCGAATAGCACTGCTATAAGCACTCATGTATGGGTTTTTGTGTTGAACATAAGCTTTCATTTCTCTTGAATAAATACCCAGCAGAGGTATTGCTGAATCCTATGGGAAGTGTTTTTTTAACTCTATGAGAAACTGCCCAACCATTCTCCAGAGTGGTTGTACCATTTTAGCCTCTTTACCAGGAACAGGTGAAAGTTCCAGTTGCTGTGCATCCTTGTCAGTATTTTTTATTTTAGCCATTCTAACGTATGCAGTAGTATCACACTGTGCTTTTGATTTGCATTTCCTTAGTGGTTAGTAATGTTGAGCAACTTTTCATGTGTTTTATGAAGTATCTGTTCAAACTGCTTTCTCTAATTTTTAAAATATTTAATTAAACAAAACCTTTATTAAGGTCTCTTTGATATACAATATCAGTACATATTTAGAGTACAGTTTGATGTTTTTGACATATTTATATATCTGCTAAATCACAACCACAATCAAGATACAAACATACCTATCACCCCCAAAATGTTTCTTATGCCCTGTGTAATTTCCTGTATACCTTGCCTCCATTTCTTTGCCCCTAAGCCACTATAGATTGGCTTTTTATTCTTGTAAATTAATTTGTATTTTCTAGAATTTTATGTAAATGAAATCATAGAGTAAGCATTTTGGGGGACATCGGGGGTGTCTTTCATTCGTCGTAATTATTTTGAGATTCACTCACATTGTTGTGTGTTTAATTCATTAATTTTCATTTCAGAGTATATTTCATTGTATGTATATACCAGAATTTATTCATTCTCTTGTTGATGGGCATTTGAATTGTTTCTATTTTTGATGATTATGCATAGAGCTACTACAGTCATTGGTGTACAAGTCTTTGTGTGGGCAAACACTTTTATTTCTCCCAAGTATACCCTAGAGTGGAATGCCTGGGTCTAACATCAGATATATGTTTCACTATTCTACAAAGTAGTTGCACCATTTTTCATTCCTACCAGAAGTATTGGAGAGTTCTAGTTGCTTTGCATCCTCACCCACACTTGGTATGGTCAGGATTTTTTAGTATTTGCCATTATAATACACGAATATTGGTATCTCATTGTGGTTTTAACTCACATTTTCCTATAGCTAATGATACTAAGCATTTTTTCATAAAAATCTGGGTATTCGTGATTTGCTGCCTACTTTGGTGAAGTATGTGTTCAAATCTTTTGCCCATTTTTTATTGGGTTGTCTGTATTTTTACTATTGCCTCTTGAGAGTTTTTAAATACTCTGGATAAAAGTCCTTTTTCAGATATGTGTTTTACAATTTTTTTCCCCACTTTGTAGCTTCTCTTTTCACATTCCTAGCTGGGTCCTTTTGTTTTTAGCTTTTTATTTTGAAATAATTATAGATTCATAGGAAGTGGCAAAGAAAGTAGGAAAAGGTCCCGTGTAGCCTTTTTATCCAGTTTCCCTCAGTGGTTACATCTAATGAACTATAGTGTAACACCAAGTCCGGAGACTGATATTTTTGCAATGCTGTGCATAATTTTATGCCATTTTATCATATGCATAGATTTCTGTGAACACCACTGGCATCAAGATACAGAACTATTTCACTACTACATGATTTCCCTCATGCAGCCCTCTCTAGTCACACCCACCATGTTTTTCTCCACTATGATCCCTGGCATCTACTAATTTCATCTCCATCCCTATAATTTTGTCATTTTGAGAATATTATATAAATGGAATCATACAGTATGTGACCATTTGAAATCAGCTTTATTTACACTCATAATTAGTGGAATAATAAGGTTATATCTTTTTAATCCTCTCTGACAATCTCTTTTAATTGGTGTATTTAGACTACATACATTTAATGTAATTATTGCTATGTTAGGACTTAAATCTGCCCTATGTTATACTTTTTGCTTCAATTGTCAAACAATTTAGAGAACTCAAGAAGAGAAGGAAAGTTTATTGTATTTACTCATATTTTAATTTTTCCTATTGTTCATTCTTCCTTCCTGATATCCCAAATTTCTTTTTTTTTACCATCTCTTTGTGTTTCAAGAAAAAGAACTTATTTTAGTTATTTTTTAAAGTATCTGGTGATGTCAAATTCTTTTTATTTTCCTCTATCTGAGAATGTATTGATTTCCCCTTTATTTTTGAAGGTTGTTTCTGTGGGATATAGTATTCTGAGTTGACAAGTTTTTCTTTCAGCAGAATTCTCTGCCTAATCCAAGGTCATGGGTATTTTATCCTGTTTTCTCCTTTAAATATTCTAGTTCTGCATTTCACGTTACATGTATGATACATTTTGAGTATTTTTAAAAAATAAGGTGTGACGTTTTTAATAAAAATGCATTTATTTCACATATGGGTTTGCAAATGTTTCAACCCCACTTGTTAAAATGATAGTAAGTCTTAAAGTTGGATGGAGTGATTCTTCTGACTTTATTCTTCTTTTTCAAGATTGTTTTATTATAGTTCCTTTGCCTTCCCCTATAAATTTTTGAATCAGATTGCCTGTATCTATAAAAAATCCTGTTGGTATTTTGACTAGAATTGTGTTAAAAAATATAGATCAATTTTGGGATGATGGACAAATTTACTATATTAAGTCTTCCAATCTATGAACATGGTATGGCTCTCCACTTATTTGGGCCTTTTTAAATTTATTTCATCAGCATCTTATAGTTTTTAGCATACAGATTCCACAGTTGTCCCTCAGTGTCAGTGGGGGATTTGTTCCAGAACCCTCCCTGGATACCAAAATTCGAGAATCCTCAAGTCCCTCATATAAGAGGGTGTAGTATGTACATATAATGTAAGCATATCTTTCCATGTACTTTAAATCATCTCTAGATTACTTATAATACTGAATACAATACCTATATGTAACTTCTTTTATAGGCATTCAACATAGTTATTGGCTCATGGCAAATTCAAGTTTTGCTTTTGGAACTTTCTGGAATTTTTTTTTTAAAATACTTTCAATCTGTAGTTCTGCACGGGATGCAGAACCCATGGTTATAGAGGGTTGGCTGTACAAATTTCATTAGTTTTACACCTAAGTATTTACTTTGTTTTGGAGCTAATATCAATGGTTTTGTTTTTAAATTGCAATTTCCAAGTTTACATGGCTGGTATTTAGAAGTACAATTAATTTTTGTATGTTGACATTGTATCCTGTGGCCCTGCATAATCACATTTTCTGAAATAGTGACAGTTTTGCTTTTTTTTTCTGTTCAATTAGTTTGCCTTTTATTTCTCTTTCTTGCCTTATTGCACTGCCCATGATTTCCAGTACAATGTTGAATAGGATTGACGAGAGTGGGCATCCTTGCCTTATTTCCAATTTAGGAGGAAAGCAGTCTTTCACTGTATTAGTTTGCTCCTGCTGTATAACAAAATACTCCAAATTTAGCAGCTGAAAATGACACAAGTTTATTACCTCGCATTTCCTATGGGTCAGAAATCTGAGCTTGGCTTAGCTAGGCCCTCTGTTCAGGGTCTCACCAGGCTGCAATCAAGGTATCAGCTAGGAGTCAGGTGTGGTGACACATGCCTGAAGTCCCAGCTACTCAGTTTGGAAGAGGATCCCCTTCCCCACCCCACCTACCACCCACAGGTGAGAGCAAAACCCTAACTAACATCCTTTTTTTTTTTTTTTTTTTTTTTTTTTTTTTTTTTTTTTTTAGATGGGGTCTCTCTGTTGCCCAGGCTGGAGTGCAGTGGCACAATAATGGCTCGTTGAAGCCTTGATCTCCTGGCCTCAAATGATCCTCCCATCTCAACCCCCGAAGTAGCTGGGACTACAGGTGCATATGACAGCACCCAGCTGATTTTTAATTTTATGTAGAGATGGGGTCTCCTTCTGCTGCACAGGCTGGTCTTGAACTCTCAGGCTCAAGCGAATCCCCCAGCCTCCTGAAGTGCTGGGATTACAGGCATAAGCCACTGTGTCTGGCCCCTTGATTTTTGAATATCAAACCAGCCTTGTGTTTCTGGAGTAAAAACCTCTTGGTTTCTGTGCTTTATTCTTTTAAAATATTGCTGGATTCAATTTGCAAATATTTTTTGAAGACTTTTGTATCTATGTTTATGAAGGATATTGATCTCTGGTTTTGCTTTTTAATGTTTCTAAAATCTGGTTTTAACATCAGGGTGATGCTAACCTAATAAAATGACTGGGATGTAGTCTCTTCTCATCTATTTTCTGAAAGAGATGGTGGTTGTAAAATTGATGTTATTTCTTTAATTGTTTGGTAGAATTCTAACGTGAAGTTATCTAAGCCTGGGGATTTATTTGATAAAGTTTTTAACTACAAAGTCTATTTCTTTGGTAGGTATTGGACTAGTCAAGTCACCCACTTCATCACGGGTAAGTGTCATAGTTTGTGGTTTTTGAGGAATTGGTCCATTTCATTTAAGTTGGCAAACTGATATGCACAGAGATATTCATGGTATTCCTTTATTATATTTTTTAATATCTGTGGGGTTTATGGTGCTGTCCCCTCTTTCAGTCCTGATATTGGTAATTTGTGTCTTCTCTCTCTTTTTTTTTTTTCTTTGTCAGTCTTGGTAGAGGTTTATAAATTTCATTGATTTTTTTTTTCAAAGGCCCAGCTTGGTTTAACTGATTTGCTTTTACTGCTTTCTGGTTTCAATTCTAGTGATTTCTGTTCTTATTCTTATTATTTTCTTTCTTCTGCTTGTATTGGGTTAATTTTTCTCCTACTTTCTTAGACTTCTAAGGTAAAATTATAGATTATTGATGTGTGATTTCTCTTTTTTTCTTATATTAATATTTAATGCTGTAAGCTTTCCTCTAAGCACTACTTCAGCTGCATAGCACAAATTTTGGCATGTTGTATTTTCATTTATGTTCAGTTAAAAATATTTTCTGATCTCCCTGATACTTCTTCATTGACTATGGATTATTTATAAGTGCATTGTTTAATTTCCAAATTGGAGTTTTTCCTTTTATCTTTCTGTTATTGATTTCTATTTTAATTTCTTTATGATCAAAGAATGTACCTTGTATGATTTCCATGCTCTTACATTTGTTATGGTTCTTTTTTAGTGAGCCAGTATATGGTATTTCTCGGTGGATGTTCCATGTGTACTTGAAAAGAATGTGTTTCCTCCTGTTGTTGGGTGAAGTACTCTATAACTCTATAAATGTCATTTAGCTCCAGTTGGTTGATGTTTGTGTAGCTCTTCAAATATGCTTGCTGATTTCGTCTACTGGTTCTATCTCTACTGAGAGAGATGTTCTGAAGTCTTCTGCTGTAATTGCTCCCTGCATTCTGTCTAGGTTTTATAATTGCTTTCAGTGGGAGGGACAAGGTGGAGTTTGCTTGCTCCATATTATTCAGAACCAGAACCCTATTTGTTGCTTTCCCTAAATCACATTTGTGCCCACCTGTGTTGGGTTGAACACAAGTCCTTTAAAGCATGGCTGGATCCCAGCAGTAAAACACGTGACTCCCTTCATTTTCTGACTGCCTACTCATAAGACAGGGTTTGAGGAAGAGGGAGTGGGATACCCAGGCTTCTCCCACCCATAAGAAGGGTGTCCCTAAAAAGTCTCTGCTATCCCTTTGCCTTCAAGAGAGGCATTCTACAGCAAGGGTTGGGGGTCAGATTGGGGGTCAGAAGCATCCTCTGGGAGGGGACATCTGAGTGAGCTTCAAGGATATTCCAAGGTCTGAAAGGTGATAAAGACTAGGGTGGTGAGGGGGACGGTAAGGGAGCAGTCTCTGCAAAGCTGGGAGAATGCAGGTGAGCCTGAACACATGGACACTTTTCTCGGCCACTCTGCTGCTCACTTCTTGGGACCACAGGTTACAGGCACTGGAATCTGGCCTCTTGCTTGTGCAGCACCTGCAGGGCACAAAGCATTCTCCCTAGGAGCATCTCGCTGCGAGCAGGTGGTGCTTTATTCCTTGCTTAGAGATAAGAACACAGGCTATGTGAATGGACCCATTCACAGCTACCTACAAAGATGTCACAAAACTGTTCCAGAACTTGGGTCTCCTCACTCCCATCCAATCTTTTTTTCTCAGAGAGCGCCTGCCCAGAGGGCCCATCCAGATCACATGGTAGATTTTCAAGCTTTTTCATGTGTCTGTTTCCAAACCATTTCCCTGCACAATGACTCCCATCAGGACCGTCTCTGGTCAGACACAGTGAATCTTAACCTGGAGGTTCCCATCGCTCGAGGGGCATATCAGGATCTCCAAGGGATGACTGGGTGGCCTAGAACATTATAGTCTGAAAAGTCACCTCTACCCCAGATGGACATGCCTCCTGTCTCTGTGCCTGGAGAAGAACCGCTGGTTTATTTCAAAACATTTCCTTTTACAGACAGTAAAATACAGGCCTAGAGAGGAAGAGAGACCAGCCAAAGGGATTAAAACTGAAACCAGAATCTGAGAGTTGGGATCCTGACTTGTGGCTCCTTAATAATAAATAAATCATGGTTAATGTTTATGAAACACTTAGTCTTTGCCAGACATTCTGCTGATTCCTATATATGTATGATCTTCTTTAGTCTTCATAGTCACCCTGTGAGTTAGATATTACTGTTATTGATCTCAGGTCACAGATGGAGAAACTGAGGCACAGAGGGGTTTAGCGACTTGTCCAAACTCATGCAACTAGTGCAGGGGCAGCGAGGAAGCTGGCTCTGGTGCTCTGCAAGCAGGGCTTCTGAGGTCATCTGAGCCACCTGCCCTCCTAGGTGACTCTGCCTCTCCCCTGTCACTCCTCCCCAGAATCCTGCCTTAGATCTGCTTCACTTTCCTTTAAGGACACCGAATCAGTAGGTGGGGCCTTGTTGGAATTAGTGACATTGGCAAGGTGCTTTCACAGAGCAAGGCTTAGGTGCCAAGCCCCCACCTCGAGTGTCCTGCCCCTGCTGAGGGCTTTGCCTCGGCCTGGCCTCCCATCCTGCTGTCCTGGCCTCCTTCCAAAGGCCACATCCTCTCAAGGTCTGGAGACCAGAAGCTCTTCCCAGCTCAGATGGGACCCCGCTGAGGGGAGGCCCAGGCAGGCATGACAACGCAGTCTAAAATTACCTCTATTGAAGGCTGTGCACCCTCCACCCTTCCTGCATTCCTCCCCTAGCCTGGAACAGCCCAGAGAGAGAGCTTTGAGGATTTTGGTGATTTACATTGAAGGTTGTGCTCCTGGCCACTGGGCTGCCTTGAGGGCTGAAGTGTAAGGAGGGCTCCCAGAAGATGCAGCCCTGCCTGAGGCAGGCTTAAGGGAGAGGCTGGGGTGCTCTGCCCCGGAGTCTTCCTTTGAGCAATGGAGGGTTCTCTGGGCTTCTGTGTTCCTTCTTTCTGGATCACCTTTTGCCTGGCAAACTTCTGTTTATATACAGCCTTTAGCCTAAATGCTGCTTCCTCCAGGAAGCCTTCCTTGCATGCTTTCCTCCTACACCAGTCTTGATTGCAGGCCTTTCCCAATTGAATGCTCTCCCCATCAAAGAACTTTTCTCACTGTTCAGCACCTGCCTGTCTGTGAATCTGTCTCCTAGAGAAAAAGGACCATATTGTGTTCACTGCAGAATTCCAAATCCCTAGCAGAGTGCCCGACATGTAAGATATACTCAGTACATGTTTCTTGAATTAATTAATTCAAGCAAAGACGTCAAGGGTGAAGACTGAATAATATATTTTTCTTTGTGATCTAGCTTTATGGTACTCATAGACAAAAGGAATTTAAATAGCCCAATGTTCAGGTATTAAATGAGGAAACATACCTTTTAAAAGATGTTATTTTATGGTGTGCAAACCTTCAATTATTTCTGCTGATGTCTAAACTTCATTCAGAATGAGATATTTGAGACACAATTTTAGGGTGTCATTACTGGCAGTTCTTGAAGAGGTCTTTATCTCTATTTTACAAATAAGGAAATGGAGGTTCAGAGAGTTTAGTAACTGGCTAAGGGGACACAGTCAGGAAATGTTAGCTTTGGGGCTGTCTTATGGTTTATAAGGGATTTGTGGCTCTTTCCTGGGGCTTTTGTACAGCACAGAAGACATACAGGTGCTCACACAATGACAAATCACTGGGATAAGTACAGAGACAGAGGGAAGGGACAGTACCACGAGAGCCTGAGGGAAGAGGGAACTGACTGTGGACAGTTTGCCCCATGGGCCAGGGCGGGAAAGGCATGGGGAACAGCATGTGCCAGGTAAGGAGGCCTGACACTGCAAGGCTTTCCAAGGGAACCACAGCTGTCTACCTACCGCACAGGCAGCTGCTGTTGCAATGAAATGAGACAAAGGCTTGTTGGATGAGACAACGCTAACATTGCTTTTGCCATCTTATAGAGGGAGGGTCTAGCTGTTGAGCCATCAGCTCTTCCACTGTTATGAATATATTCCCCTCCCTCAACAACAGTCAAACCCATCAACTCTTTTTACCCTCTTTACCCTCAAATAAGCCGCATTTCCTGAAAGCCCGGATTTCTGGAAGTATGAAAGCTTTGCCAAGATGTGGAGAACAGCCCTCCTGCTCTGTCTTTGGCTTGTCCTGCCTGGCCACCTTCCCGCCCTCCAGGCTGTGTCTTTCCTTCCAGCCATCCATCTTGGCCCCTGGGCAGGTCAGGGCAGACCCTTCTCTGGCCTGCCTTGGGGTCTCTCTCTGGAGACGAGTGATGAATGTGTGGAGGGATTAGCCCTACTTTTCCGGGCCCTGGTGGTGCCAGGAGCAAGCACATTCCAGAAAGGCCTGAGCTGATGGATGCCTTGGGGCGGGGGGAGGGGGAGGTTTTCGGGAGAGGAGAGGCCCTAGAGTTTGGGAGGGGGATTCCTAACATTCCTAGGGCTGGGAGGCCCTGCAGTGCCTGCAGCAGTGATGGACAGACAGCTGAGAGAGCCGGCCCCGACCAGGGTGCGGGCTGGGGGGCGCCTTGATCTGCACCTCCTGCCCCCTCCCCACCTCAGCCCCCTGGAATGTTATCTTTCCTCTAATCACTTGCAGGCAGGGAAGAATGAGGTGGGGGCACCTGCCTACTGTGCCCCCTCAGAGGTAGCTTTGCCTCTTTCTGTCTCAGGGGGTGGGGTGGGGGCTGAGTGGTCCGGGGAGGAGGCTTGCGGCCTGTCAGGGCTGGAAGGGAGGGCGCTGGCCCCCTGCACCCACCCACATGCATTGCAGATGAGACCTGGCACGGGGAAGGGGTGTCCAGCCTCACCGCTTCCCAGCTGGGAAGGCTCTGAGGACTTTGCCTCACCCACGCCCTTTATTTTGTGGCTGAAGGGTCTTCAGCTCCAGGGCACATAACAGAGAGTTAGAGGCAAAGTCATGACTGGAACCCAGGACTTCTGATTGTTTATCTCATGATCAAACATCCTAACAGATACCGCTCTCCCTGGGCCTCAGTTTCCCCAAATGTAGAAGTGAGTGGGTTGGACACAAGGGTCTTTGAAGGCTGCTGTTTCTGATGTCCTTGGCCCTCTAAGAACCCCATCAGCCACTTGCACTGGTGGTGGCGTATGGTGGCTGCGTGCGGAAAGAAGGGAGAGTGACAGTTTAGCCATCTCATCCTCTTTCTCCAAAGAGGTCTTCAAAAAGTCTTGGAGGGAGGGGAGCCCTTGAAGTCTACTTCATCGGAACCCGAGCTGCTGAAGCAGCCAGCAAAGTGGGAAAGCATCAATTCCTACTTCCACGGCTCTGCAACTGTGGGACCTTGTGCAAGCCTCAATCTCTTATGAGCCTGGGATTCCTAAACCGCAAACGGGTTAATAACAGCGCCCCCTCCTGGCTGCTGTAAGGCTGGAGCAGTTTCTCCCCATGCTCCTCCTCTTGGCTGCCCCCTGGCTCGACCTCCCCTGCCCACTCTTGCTCTTGTCCGCTGCCTGCTGAGCCTTCACAAGGGTCTCTGAAGTGCTGTCCAGACAAGGCCGCCAGGAGCCTTGGAGTTCCCAAGACAGCATGGAGTTCTGCGGTGGTTCTTTTCCACAAGACACCTTGTTTATTATTATATGCAACTTCATTTTCATGTCTTTTAATACTTTTCACAAAGAAAGCTTTTGCAAATTGGAGGAGAAAACTATAGTCTGTGGTATTTCACCTGCCCTGGGCTAGGCCCCCGGAGTGCCTTCCTTTAAGCCAAGACAGCTACTCGCATTTCTCACTGAATCCTCTTGGCAGTCCCCCAAAAGCAGGTATTTCTCCCCATCTGAGGGATGAAGAAACTGAGGCCGAGGGAGACTTGGACTCACACAAAGTCACACAACTAGTCTGAGGCTGAGCTGGGGTTTCTTATGAAGTAGCTGGGTGAGGCTGTGTGTTTGTTGTTTTAATGCAGAGGAGAATGTCCCCAGCTGCACTTCAAATCCCATCCTGAACTTGGACAAGCAAGAACTGTCATCTTGTGGGCACCACATGATTTCCTTAAAGACAATTGGCCTGGACCTATAAGTTGCTTTTAAATTTTTAATATTCTAGGTAATGCTGGCATGATCATTTTCATACATCCATTCACAGTATGTGCAAAATGCCTGCTGCTTGCTAAGCACTGTGTTGGCTGAATACCCCAGGCTAAGGCCCTGCAGGGCTGGAAGGGGGAAAACAACTCGATTTCACTTCTGAAAATGGCTGGGCAGGAAGGAACTGAAAGAGGAGGCCATGCCTGTGCCAGGGTGTTATGTTTGTGCCCATGCCTGACTTGCCCGCCCCTCCAATGTGCCTGCCACTGTGCTGTGTACACTTTGCTGTTCTGGAAGTATTTATTATGCTTCAGAGACACCAGAGAGCCCAGGGCAGGCTGGTTCTACTTTTCTGCAACCAGGGAGGTAAAGACTGCATCTAGTTAGGGGTAGCGAGCCTGGAATATCAGCTGGAAAAAGCAGTGGAGATTCTTGCCGTTGTCCCTATCACAGCTTTCTGAAGCCCTTCAAAGGAGCAGCGTGCTGGCTGGACGGTACTATACCCATGACCTCATCTCCTTTGCTGTCCTCCTTTTTCTGGTCAAATCAAACAAAAACAAAACATTCGCCAACATTATATTTAGAGGCTGTTGTATATTAAGAGGAGCAATTGTGAGGAAATCTAAAATTAGCCCAACATTAATCAGGACCTGTCACCAAAGTAGATGACTCAGTTTCCAATTCCACATGTCACGCTCTTAGAGACAGACCTTAGTGACACTGAGGAAGCCCAGCGCTAGGACATTGTATGACTGCTGGCAGTGGTATAAAGTGCACTTGCTGCAGAGTCGGGCGGGCCTGGGTTTGACTCCTGGCTCTGACCCTTGCTAGCTTCAGATCCAAGGAGTGCCTTCTTAACCTCTTTAACCTCAGTTTCTCCATGTGACAGGAGAGGCTGAAAGCACCCACAGCATTGTTGTGACAGTTAGATAAGATAACATATGTAAAGGATGACCACGTATAGTTCCTGGTGCAATGGTCCTTTTAAAATGCTGTTTTCCCTCCCCCAGCAAGGCTGTAGTTCCTGAAACCAACTCAGAGTAGCAGCCAGGGCAGTCCTGAAAAGAACCATCTCCACTTGGGAACCATCAATCACCTCTCCCTTTTCAAAGTGCCGCAGACTCTCGGAGAGAGAAAAGACCTTCCATATTGTTTACTCCAACCTCAATGCCTGGATGCCTTCCACTATGTTCTTCTGCTTACATACCCCTTGATGATGGGAGGCTCACTATTTCTTGCTCATTCTGTTTTTTAATGGTTATTAAACTCTTCTCTGTTTTGAACCAAAATATACCTCTTTATAGCTTTTCCTCTTGGATGAGCTCACAAGTATAGGCCCTGCCTGCCTCCAGCCTACTGCCCTGCATATTCCAGGGCTGGGGCCCCATAACCTTTGCCAGTGAGCCCCAGCCAGACCCAGTATCCAGGACGAGGCCTAACTGAAGGGAGGAGGGATTGACAGGATTCCAGCCTGGGATCCTAGGCCGGGACCTAGCCATGGCCTTGTGCCCCAGTCCTGCCTTTTCTCAGCCATGAGACTCAGGCCTCACCTTACCTGACTCATTCAATCCAGCAAACGTTACTGGGGCTACCTCCTTTACACTGGGCACTGCAGATGCAAATTACTAACAGCTCTCCCATGCCTCCCTATGTCCCAAGGCATGCCAGTGACACTATGGGACAGTGGCAGCTCACAACATGGGCAGACTTGGGCTCAAATTCTAGCTCTACAATTTCCTGTGTGTGATTTTGAACAAATGTCTTGTCCTATTGGAGATTATGTGCCTTCTGCTCTTTAACCAGAGATTGGATTAAATAATTTTAAGGAGCTCATTCTTTTAAAACACTGGGGAATATATTCTAGCTAGAGATGTGAGTGTGTGGGGGGTGGGGGGGAGAAATGAGTTGTCACCTTTGAAAGGCCACTAGACTATTGCATTTGGCTGCCACAAGAGCTGACTGAGGGTGGGACAGCTCGACAGCTGTCTAGGGCACCAATCTAGAAGGGGCTCAAAAACATGGGAAATGCAATCAAATGGAGACACTTGTGTTTACCAGGACACCTCTCAGAGGGAATGTAGAGTAAAGGGATACCTGAGAAGCCATTTAGGATAAAGGTGAGGAGGTGAGATCTCTAAGAGATATACTCAAACAAATTGTCATTTTGAGGGAGTGGGTCTGGTGAACTGCAGGACTTTTATTTTGCTGAATGGTAATGCAAGTTAAGGCCTGAGCAGAACTGTTAGGCTCAATGGACGAGAGCCATGGAAACCCCTGGAGCACTTTCTCTGCCCTTCCTGCATGCATTGTTCAGTAACTTCCTCTTTAAGTAAATTTTGGACATATATTTAAAGACTGTTGGTTTGAAAGGCACCATATTGCTGAGCCATTTGATATTAGCCTTCCCAGGCACCTATGTAGCTAGATACGGCCTTTCTGCTCCAAAAGGAGGGTGATCTGATAACATTCCCTGGCGAGACACATCCCAGCAGAGAGAATGCTAGATGATTTCTCTTGTTTCTATCTCCTCATCTCAGGTGGCCTTTGCTGATTCCTAGTTCTTGATTTCCTCCTTGATGCGCCTGCCTTGAAGTGTTCAGTCTCTGTTTAAGTTCTCCTGTTCACAGTCCAGCCTCTCACACCAGCCCTGCCTCTCTGATCCAATCCTGCATTCATTTCCCTCTTGTGCATGCCTAGGGCCAACACGCCAATAATTCCCACTTCTACCTAGCCAGTTTGGCAATTTGCACAATTGAAACTTTTATCAGCACTCTGCTTATGGGACGGTCAGGTATAGGAACTTCCTAACTCTCAGGCACAGCCATCACCCCAGAAGCAGGCAGAAAATGCACCCGGGTAACACACAAAGTAGCCTTCCGAAAGCACATGCATGTTTCATGAGCAGATATGCACCAACGTCGGGCTTTCTTGTTAAGAGTTTGGTGGCATAGAATTCTGCGTGAAGGGAAAATTACTGACTTAATCAGGTTGAGTAACTGGTTTCTTCTGGGAAACATAATTTCTTCCCCTTGTTAGTGTAAATAATGGTTTAGTAGCAATTGGAGATGCGTTGAGCAATGGAACTGATAAGCAGTAGCTTGGGGAGAGAGGAGATGGGAAAAATAAAAACAGAATTGTTACCTGGAAAAGAAAATTGGGGCCATTTGGTGCAGGGGCAACTGGCCTGTACAATGTGATACTTCCAGACAACATCAATTTATTAAAGTCTGTTTAAAGTCATGGGTATTCCACGTAGTTTGTTAAAGAAGTCAGGAGAGTTTACAATCCATTTTATATTACCTGGTTCTTGATTTCCTCCTTGATGCACCTGCCCTGAAGTGTTCAGTCTCTGTTTAGGTTCTTTTCTTTCATTTTATATTACCAAGACAAGTGGCTAAAAATATAAAAGCCTAGTACTTCATATGGAAAAATATCAGTAATCTGGAGGATTGACTTTGTGGAAAGATTTGCTCACCTCACTCACCAGAGGAAGTGGCTGTAGAAATGTTTTCTCTGGACTCAAAAATGGACAGTAGCTGGGGGAAGTCCCTGTACCTTCTACTAAATTTTGCAGTGAACCTAAGAAAATCAAATCTATTAAAATCAAAAGGTAATATGAGATTAGCACATTTTGTTTAATGTTTCTACTTCTAACATTGAATAAAGGAGTATAACTTTCGACTTCTGGTGGGTGCAAAATGTGCTTCTTTCTAAACATCCATTTCCTTAACTGTAAAATGAGGACAAAACTCTCCTCTGCCTCATAGGCCCAAAGTGGGGATTAAACGAGCTGTGGCTTCTAAAGCACTGGGCACAGTGGCTGCACATAAAGAGTGCTGAGTATTGGGAGACTCTCATTTTTACAATCGTTCTTTTGACTTAAAGTAAAAAAAAAAAAAAATCAATTTCTAGTAACCCTGACGCTTTTTGGATAGCACCAAGGAAATAGGCCTTGATTTAGGATAGAAAAAAAGGTCATTTTGAGTGATCAAATCTCCATCCTCAGAAGAAGTGAACTGGTTACCTCTTGTCCTAAATCTCAACAGTGGTGAAGGTCTCTTCTCCATCCCCTTCCCCACCAAGCCGCCTTCCTCTGTCCCCTACACCCCGAGGCACCAGGAGGATCTGATCTTTAGTGAGTGAGAGAATGGGCTGTCCACTGAGTCAGGAAGTCCTTACGCTGGGCAGGAGTTGGTTGGACCCTCTGTCTAAGTGCCTGTAACATTCTGTAACATTGTAGGGTGTTGAGCAGTCGCCCTTCTTGGCTTCTCCGTATTCATCACCCGAAAGTCTCCTACCCCCATTCAGGCAGCACAGCAAGATGTGAACTTCAGGAGGCAGCGCTCATGTCTCCTTCTTTGCATACCCAGAAGTTGTGCAAGAGAGGCCATGGAGGGATACCAGGAGGACAGGGCAGGCAGGCCTGGCTTCCTTGATCCTCAGTTTGCTGACGGGAAAAATTGAGTCGATAAAATCTCTGCCCGGAGAGTCCTCCAGAGTGCCTGAGAGCCTCAGATGGGATACTTAGTTTGAAAACACTTTGGAAATTTCCAACTGCAAGGAAACTACTGACTGCAGGAGTTCAATCTGAGAAGGAGAAAGGCCATGATGGGTGCTGAGTGCCTCACCATTGCAGGGTGCTGGGTCCCTCATGTCACAGGGTGCTGGGTGCCTCACCATCGCCATTGTAGGATGCTGGGTGCTTCGTCATCGTAAGGTGCTGTGTGCCTCACCATCGTAGGGTTCTGGGTGCCTCCTAGGTGCCTCCTAGGCATCCTAGGATGCTGGATGCCTCATCATCATGGGGTGTTGCCATCTGCTGCTCCTTCGTCTTTTTGGGTGTGGGTCTTTCAGTCCAAGCTCTTGTCCACATGCTCCCTGAGTCCCCACTGGGCCAGCCTGCCCAGCTCGCTGCCATGGAGGCCGTGCTGGGAGAACTCCCGGCTTCTCCTTGTGAGTTAGTGCTGAGGGACTTACAACCAGGGGAAGGGAGGTGATTTGGGCTGGGTCCCATGGCCTGAGAGTGGGTGGTGTTGCTGGGGCTTGACCAGGGCCTCTGGGCTCCCAGACTGGCCTCCACCACTCAGATTCAGCCCTCACAGCCCAGTGGTCTTTCCATGCCTCCAGCTCGCAACGCCATGAGCACGTTAACCGAAACATTTTATTTCCTGATATGCGGTGGAGGGAGTGTCTACAGGACACCTTCCAAAAAAAATGTTTTTACTCTCCAGCCACAAAATACACAATATCCATTCTTGTCATCTCTGAATCTCTGGCAACAACTCAACACATTCTTATTTAGAACAATATAACAATCTGACTTCTGTTTTTGGCCCCTAAGTTCTTTTGTCCCTTCCAGCAAAGTGTGAAATATGTGTTTCCTGGCCATAGGACAACAGCTCCTGACAATGTAGGAATAATAACAAACATGAGCCAGAGGCAGGTGGGGCATAGGCATCATAACCCCAGCTCCTTGCAAATCCTGCATCCAGGTTCCAAGGAGGATGAAAAATCAGGAGCTGTCAACAACCGCCTGGTAACCCTGGGTCGGCACCATTTTCTAGTTGCTTGCAATCAAGGATTGTGTGATTCCAGAGGTTATTCCTGGCCAGCTCCCATCTTCCTTGCTCCTCTGATTTGTTATTTGGCTTAAGTCACCTGCCCTCTCTAGACCTCAGTTTTCTTATATATATAAAATGAAGGAATAAAAATAAAGAAGTAGCACAAAGAAGGGAGTACTAACCTATGTCTGGGTCAGGTTGACCGCCACTTGGAAAATGCTGGCACGCTGTAGATTTCAGCAAACTTTCACTGAATGAAGGAATCAATGAGGGAAGTCTTTGGAGAGGATACCACACTGAAGCTGTGTCTGAGGTTCAAAGGGGGTGGTGAGTGCTCAGGCAGAGGGGTTGCCTTGTGCAAAGCCTGGTGACCTGCAGCAGCGAGGAAACCCTCAGCAATGACTGGAGTGTAGGGTATGAGGTAGGGATCATGACAGATGAAGCTGGAGATGCCAGCAGGAGCTGGATCATGGGAGGACTTAGATGTTTTGCTGAGAAGCTTGGACTTGGCCCTGAAGGAGACAGAAGTCACCAGAAGCTCTCCAAGGACCTCAATCCACCCAATAATAATAATGATAACAACAACAACAACAGTAATACTAGTTATATTTGTTAAACATTTGGGTGCTCTGCCCTCATGAATGAAGTGAGTGCCCTTATAATAGAGGCCTGAAAGAGCTTCCTAGCCCTTTCGTCTTTCAGCTATGTGAGGACACATAGGGGATGCCTTCTATGAAGAACATGTTTTTACCAGATATTGAATCTGTTGGCACTGTAATCTTGGACTTCCCAGCTTTCAGAACTGTGAGCAATAAACTTCTACTGTTTAGAAATTATCCAGTCTAAGGCATTTCTGTTATAGCAGCCAGAAGGAACCAACACAGTTGCAAAGACATCTCTTGAGTTTTACTGCTTGACAAAGCTGCTTCTAGGGCTGTACTCCTGCTGAGAGTTCAAGAAGTCTTCCCTTTTCCCATTTTCTCTTTCCCCTTAGCACCTAGTTCTGCCTGGTTTCTAGTTTTTGGCAATGGAGGTGAGGAGTGAAATTTGTCCTTGGGATGGACTCCCTGCCCTGCTGCAGCCCCAACTGATAGTCTAATAGAGAAGATGGCACAGTGACTGTCCCAGTGAGGTGGAGCAGTCACTCCAAACTCATCAACTCTACTTTCTAAATAGCTCCAGACTCTACCTACGTCATACCCTCTCTAGTAC
The DNA here is from genome assembly GCF_000001405.40 of Homo sapiens. NCBI lineage: Eukaryota > Metazoa > Chordata > Mammalia > Primates > Hominidae > Homo > Homo sapiens. The sequence goes on from NC_000002.12 coordinate 15,756,361, forward strand.
TCCCCTAGGCCAAAGCCCGCACACACTCTCTGAAGGCCTCCTAACTTCTTCCCTGCTTACACCCCCACCCCATCCCACCCACCCATCAGCCCCACCTGCTTGCCACACAATAGCCTTTAGTGATGCTTTTAGAAAATAACTCATTTCTCCAAAGAAGATACATGAATGGCCAAAAAGCACATGAAAATACGTTCAACATCATTAGTCATCAGGAAAATGCAAACCAAAAACAATAATAAGCTGCCACTTCACACCCACTAAGATGGCTATAATGATAATAATAATTGTCTAAAAGACGAAAAATGAAAAATAACAAGTGTTGTTGAGGATATGAAGCAACTGGAATCCTAGTACACTGCTGGTGGGAACATAAAATGGTGAAGCTGCTGTGAAAAATAGTTTGTTAGTTCCTCAAAATTTACACATAGAACTGCCTCATGACCCAGCAATCCCACTACTAGGCATATATCCAGAAAAAATTGAAAACAGGAGAACAAGTATTTTACATGAATGTTCAGAGCGGCTCTATTCACAACAGCCAAGAGGTGGAAACAAGCTAAATGTCCATCAATGGATAAATGGATAAACAAACTGTGGTAAATTTACACAAACACACAATGAATGTGCAATGAAATATGATTCAGCCATGAAAAGGAATGAAGGAATGAAGTGCTGACACATGCCACCATGTAGGTGAATGAGGCACACATGTCTAAAGGATAGGAGCCAGATACAAAGGTCACAGATTGTATGATTCCATTGATATGAAATATGCAGAATAGGTAAATCCACAAAAGCAGGTTGGTGGTTGCCAGGGACTGGTGGAGGTGTGGGAGAATGGGGAATGGCTGCTTAGCATATTAGTGTATAGTATGGGGTTTTATTTTGGGGTGATGAAAATGTTCTGGAAGATAGAGGTGATTGCACACCACTGAGAATGAATAAGGTGCCACGGACTGTTTACTTTATAGTGGTTCATTTTATCCTATGTGAATTTCACTCCAATTTTTAAAAATGGGCAAAAAGTATTGAGATGGTATGCAGAGAAAAGAAGGAGGATACTAATGGCTGTAAATGTAAATCAGATGATCATAACATTTGGTCAAAACGGGGCTCATGTCCCATTGACTTAGAACATAAGCCAAACCTCACGATGGCCTGTAAAGCCCTTCCTTGTCAGGCCCCCACACCCCTCTGAGCTCACGTTCTACCGCCCTTCCCTCTCAGCCGCCGCACTCCAGCCACCTGCCTGCTTCCTGTCCCAGGATACAAGTGCATTCCAGCCCCAGGGCATTTGCACTGGTTGCCCGTTCTGCCTGAAACACCATTTTCCCATCTAGCTCCTGAGCCTGCTCCCTCGTTTCATGTAGGTCTCTGCTCAAACGTACCCTTTGTCTGGGAAGCTTTCTCTGAACACCTTATGTGAAATAGCATCTCCCCTGTCATTTTCTAGCCTTTCCCTGCCTTGTCTTCTTAATACCTATCATAGTGTATACCTATGTGTAGTGCCTCTTTCTCTCCCTAAAATGTGTTACAGAGTAAGAATGTGGTCTGCCTTGCTCACTGCTGTATCCTCAGCCCGTAGAACAGTTCCCGTACTTGGGAGACATTCATAAATATGTGTTGAATTGAAAAATTATATTATTCTGCTGACCCGGGGCTGAACCTCTCATTCAGGTAAGTGCCCTGTTTTGTTCTAAGTGAGGAACAAGATATGTGCTTTGGGACAGTCTTTTTCTGAAGCTGTTCAGAGGAGGCAGCCTGTTGTGGTGTCATGAGGATGAAGTGAGGTAGTTCATGCCAAACACCCAGGAATGTGGCTGGCACCTAAGTCAGCCTGGGAAGGAGTGATGATGTGGGAGGCTGGAGCTTGGTGGCTTTTTGGAGAAGATTCCCAGGATGGAAGGAGCACTGAAGGATGCCTTGGAAGCCTGGATTCCCACCCCAGCTTTTCTTAGCTTCAGGGCCCCACTCACCTTCATGGTGAAGATACGCGTGTATTGCGCTGAATTGTGCACACCTCCAAATTCATACATTGAAGCCCTAACCCCAGTACCTCAGAGCAGGACTATATTTGGAGATAGAGCATTTAAGGAGGTGATTAAGTGAAAATAAGGTTATTAGGGTGGCCCTAAGGCAATCGGACTGGTATTCTTATAAGAAAAGGAAATGTGGACACCAGAGACAGCAGGGATGAGAACGCAGAGAGGAAAGAGCATGTGAGGACACAGCGGGAAGGTGGCCACCCATAAGCACAGGAGAGAGGCTTCAGGAGAAATCGCCCCCACTGACACCTTGACCTTGCACTTCCAGCCTCCAGACTGGCAAAAATTAATTTCTGCTCCTTAAGCCACCCAGTCTGCGGTATGTTGTAGTGGCAACCTGAGCTGATGAGGACACAGGGTTGGATAGCAGGGTCTCAAGGCCTCCACTCATTTAACCTTCAAAGACTTCATCACCACCCCGTGTGGGATGAGCCCCCAGCTCTGCTCTTGCTGGCTGTGGGATTTGGGTCCATTTCTCAACACCCCAGATCTTGACAGTCCCCATCTGACAACCAGATGGGAGCTCAGTGTGGCCAAGTGGTGACCAAGGTCAAGTGTGGCCATGGAGGTCAGGTGCCCAGCACAGCACAGGCACGGTGGGGCCGCACCAGCCCATGGCATCGCCTCACACAGATGACTCAGTCTCCCTGTGTGCAGCGTCCTCATCTGTGCGGCAGTTATTTTAAGAATTAAGTGAGAGACTCTCTGGCTGGCAGGAGATAAGTGCCCAATACATTTTAGCTATTATCAGTAGCAACATTCTGCTCCTTCTGCAGAAATTCAGCAAGAATGTCTATTGATTCTCGGTATGACTTTTAATAACACGATAGCTCAATCTTTTTTGAGTGCTTATTTTGTCCTAACACTTTACATGAAGTACCATTCATGGTAAAATAAATAAATAAATAAATAAATAATAAATAAAATACAAACAACAGGGAACACTTCTTTTTGTTGAGATATAAATATCTGTGTGTGTATATATATATAAATAACTTTTAAATTAATTATCTTTTAGTAAACACTGTATTCCTTGCAGAAGTTAATTTGGAGACTTCTCATGTATAATTGGCCCCTCAACACATGTGGGCTAAACTGACTGTGCTGCTTTTGAAAATAAGTTTAGGATGATTCAAAGTCTTTTGAGCTTGCTTGGTGCAGATCATGTCTCCAACCCTGTGGAACTACATACTACTGAATTTAAACACTGCATTTAAAATAAACAACAGCACACGGATTGTAAACACAAAGAAACATAATTTGGGTTCTTCATTCTACCCCTCATGTGAACAGAGTTTTCATTTGTGTTTAAAATTTAAAACAGTGAAACTGTGTGAGCTGAGAGGTATACTGTTTTTGTATGGTAACTGCAATTTTTTTTTTATTTTTTGAGACAGGGTCTCACTCTGTTGCCCAGGCTGGAATGCAGTGGTGCAATCTCGGCTCACTACAACCTCTGCCTCCCAGGCCCTAGTCTCTAGAGTAGCTGGGAGTACAGGTGCATGCCACCATGCCCAGCTAGACTTTTTTGTAAAGATGGGGTTTTGCCATGTTGCCCAGGCTGGTCTCAAACTCCTGAGCTCAAGGAGACTGAGCGATCCACCTTGGCCTCCCAAAGTGCTGGGATTGCAGGCGTGGGCCACTGTGCTGGCCCATTTTTTTATTGTTAATTGCCTACCTTAAGACTAAAGTACTGATTAAGAAAACATTGCTTGGATACCCTATTTACCTTGATGTGATTGTCATCTATTGCATGCAGGTATCGACATATCTTATGTAACCTATAAATATATACACCTACTATGTACCCGCAAAATTTTTTAAAAATTAAAAAAAAAAAGAAAACATTGCTTATGCTGAAAATAATTTTGTTGTGCAGAGGAGGGGGTGTTAAAAAATAATAAATTCCAGGTGTCAAATACACGAGTTAGGCCACCAAGCAAGAAGAGTGCTTTTCAAATGCAAACCAGACCCTGCAACCCCCTGAAGCTTCAGGCTCAGACCCCGACACCTCACATGGATGTTCCCTGCCCAAATGCTGCCTCACCCAGGGCCATGGGCAGTTTTCAGGGCAGGCACAAGTGGAGAACCATGATCTGGTGGTGGGCTGGCGATGCAGGGGGTTCTTACAGCTTTGAAACCCTGGACACAAGGTTCTAACATTAGATCCACCCCTGCCTTGCTGGGCAGCCTCAGACAAGCCCTTGCCCGTGGGGCCCTCGGTTTCCTTTCCTTTACAATAAGGGCTTAGCCTGGACAGTATCCAAGGACCCTTTTATGCCCCGTGACTTGGCCTTTTTCGAGGCCTGATGTTAGTTCAGTCTAGGCTGGTAGAGTTCATTTCTGGAAAGGAAGAAATAAAAATGCAAATTGTTTGTGATTCAAGAGAAAGTTAGACCAATCTCTTCCTTGTTTATGGACTTGCCTTTGTCAGCTTCCTCAGTCTGTTCACTGCTTTGGCACCAAAATAGAGCCCTAATTATCTATAGGCAGCAATTGTTTCCTCCCCAGGAAAACGCCTTTCTTTCTTTTTTAAACAGAAATTTGTATGGAGTGGAGAAAATGTGCACTTTTCTAAGTAAGTAACATGGTTGTAATCTCTGGAATATAAGAAAAACAATTCCCCAACGCACTCCCCCTGAAATCCCCTGGCCCGCATGGGTAGAGCTTACAAGAGCAGGGCCAGTCAGGTATGCCGGAAAGAGCTTGATGCTGGGGTCAGACCTGGGAACAAATGCTGGCTTTGGGCCGGTCTCTCCCCATTCTGAATTTTATCATCTTTCAAACGGAGATTATGGTTCCTGCTTATCCTAACTTACAGAATGCACTGAGAAGCACTGTTCCAAACGCACAGGGCACACCGTTTCAGCTCAGTCAGAGCTTGGAGATTTGGAGATAAATGGGAGGGAGCCCCTGAACCCCAGGAGTATCCCCTCCTTCTTCTTGCTGGGCTATTCTGGGAGAATTGAGAAGAAAAAGCCTTCACTGCAGGAGGAAGGAAGATTTGGGGAGGGGCAAAGTTTGGTGGGGTCTTGGTAAATAAAGAGGGCATGGCAGGTGGACGGACTGCTGTGAGTGAAGGTTTTGGGGAAAGAGGATGCATGGTCTGCTGAGCAGAGGTTGGGCTAGAGAGGAGGCGAGAAGCAGGAGATGAGGTTGGAAGGTGTGCTGAGTGGACTGGTTTGGGTGATGAAGTGGAGTGGGCGGTGGGTGGGGGTGGTCCAAGCAGGAGGAACTGCTTGAGCAAAGGTAAGAGGCAGGGTGTTGGTATAGGACTCTGCAACCGGCACAGCCACGGTCCACACTTTAAATCCTCAAAATGGATTGTCTTGTGCTGTTTCTTTCTGAATTTGTCCAAGGAAGCAGAGAGAGGAGGAAAAAAGAATTCTTTTTCACGTTCCTGTGACATCCTCAGTGCCAGAAGTTGTCACTGAGCTGATGCATTATCTCACCTACTCTTTCAAGTAATATAATATGTAGTTACAACCATTTGCATTTTACAGAAAACAGAAACTTAATGAGTTAAAGATCAGCCCAAGGTCACAGAGATAGAAACAAGGTGAAGAGCAGAACTCAAGCCCTTAGACAACTTGGGAAATGGCCAGTCCGTTGGCATCTTTAGCAATCAGAGTTTTTGACTCCTAGCAACTAAAGCAATGCTGCCAATATGAATAGAAAGGGGTGATATGGTTTGGCTGTGTCCCCATCAAATCTCATCTTGAATCATAGTTCCCATAATCCCCATGTGTTGTGTGAGGGACCTGGTGGGAGGTAATTGAATCATGGGGGCAGGTATCTTCCCCCGTCTCATTTTCATGATAGTAAATAAGTCTCATGAGATCTGATGGTTTTATAAAGGGCAGTTTCCCTGCACACGCTTTCTTGCCTGCCACCATGTAAGACATGCCTTTGCACCTCCTTTGCCTTACTCCATGATTGTAACTTTCCTGAGGCTTCCCCAACCATGCTGAATTGTCAGTCAATTAAACCTCTTTCCTTTATAAATTACCCATTCTCAAGTATGTCTTTATTAGCAGTGTGAGAGCAGACTAATACAGGAGGTGAATTAAAAGGGTAGCTCAAGGAGTCCAGGAGGGCTAAGAACTAGGCCTGGGACAAATATCAAATGGCAAGACTGGACAGGGAGAATATGAATGCCTCTGCCATTGAACACTAGATGCTTTTACTGGCTCCACTGGTGTGCCCAGCCTTGGATACTGGACTCTGGACTTGGCCATTGTCACCTGTTAAGTGGCCACTCCTGGCCCAGGAGCTCAAACTGCTGAAGCTACTGCTTCTCCTCACCCCCTGCCTAGCATGAGAGAATGTCCTCCCGCTCCAGATCACCAGCCCTGGATCAAATTTAGGCAGTTGAAGCTGACGGGTAGAGCCCAGGATACGAGCTCCTGCTCTGTCTGGAGGCAGGTGGCAATATCATGACTGGTCATTTTCAGCTTGTATTGTAGGAGACAGGCAGACACTGCCTCCCACCAAGACTCAAGGGTGGCCAATATCCCATACACAGAGAAGAAGTTCAGGTTTCTTTTCTTATCAATGAGAATGACAAATACCCACTCAACATCGTTACTGGGTACACGCTTTGTGTGAGGCTTGACTATTGGGGTCCCAAGGAAGAAGGGGATGGCCTTTCCATCATGGAGTAAGGGCTAATTTCAGAGGCCAGCATGTAGGTTCCAAACCCGGCTTTCCCTCATTTGATCCTCAAACACCCCATCGGGGGGCCTGGACAGGACTTATCAGGCTTGTGTTACAGACGAAGAAACAGAGGTCCAGCGAATGGAAGTGCCTTGCCCATGGTCATGGAGGTCATGAGTGCAAACTGGTCTTGCACCCAGGGGAATCTGGATTCTAACTCAAATCTTTCTCTGCTGCATGGAGACCAGGGCACTGAGGGAAATAGGCTTTTCTCAGAACCAGCTCTGCCTGTTTGACACTCGATCTGGGCTGGGGAGGAGGGGGCAGGAATGAGCACTGCATCCCAGGGGAAGGGCTGGTGAACGTTCTGTGCGATGACTGTGCCTGCACTGAATCCCCTCTTGTCTGTGCTTCTCCCAGGAGGGGATGTGTGGGAGGGCAGTGGGCTGGTGGCAGAATTCAAGAATGCCCATTCTTTCAGCAGGGAGGCCAGCTGATCGTGGCTTGTGCGTCGTTGGTCTCTGTGGAGAGTTTGGAGTGCAGCTCTCAGAGGCCATGGCCGGCAGCATCTTCGGCATTTCGGGGCCTCTGCTGACTCTTGGTTCAAACCACAAAGCCTCTGCCCGAAAGCATAGGGGCGGGGCCACAGGCTGGCCTCATTGGTAGCCTGGGTGGTGGTCGGTTTACCAAGGTTGTCCAAATACAGTGGGAGGGTTCCGAGCGCTGGGAAGAAAGCGTCCTGGTCAAAGGGTGGCTGACCCATGTCCTGGTGAGCCTCCTGCAGCTTGCCTTGTCTGCTCACCTGCCTGAACCATAAAGAAACTCCCGTGATACTTTGGGCCGTGAGCCTGGAGAAGCGTTCTGGTCTTAGGGGAAGCGCATTGAACCTGGAGTCACCAGACACAGGCACAGTCCCAGATCTACTGGAGCACAGATATGTAGCCTCAGGCAAGTCACTTAACAAATCTAAGCCTCAATTTTCTCTCCCCTCAACTGGGGTAATAATATTGTGAGAAATAACAGAGCTTGCAGACGTGAAAGTGCCGCAGTGCATGGTACATCATCGATCCTCAATAAGTATATGTGGAATGAGTGAATAGTGGAATGGATCAACATAAACTGCCCCAGCGTCCTAGGAAGGAGTGTGTACCTTTGGCAAGGAGCGGCTGGGTGGATGGAATCAGAGGCATTATGTTTCGTGTTCTGAGGGCCCTTAAGTATCTGGTCCAATGTCATCACTGTAAAGGTGGAGAAAGGAAGAGTTGGAGATGGGAAGGGACTTCCCCAAGGTCACATGGTGGCTGACAGAGCTAGGGACACTTCATTGAGTCCCATCCCCTGCCCTGAGTCACTTCTTAATCTCTCTGCAGCCACTCCAGCTTTCAAACACACAGTGGAGGCCAGAGATAAAAAGAGAGGCATGGAATCGTCATTGCCATCATTTCATGTCATTTCAAACTGATCAGACTTGGGTTTCAATTCCTAGCTGGGTGGCTTTGTTGAAGCCGCCCAGCTTTCTGGGCCTCAGTTTCCCATATCGAGAGGATTGTGTAACCCTCTGTGAAGATTAAATGCCTGGTAAGAAATGTGGGGATGGAAGCCCTAATTGTGGACTAATCGGACAGGATCAGAACCCACTTCTCCCCTGCTGGGGGCTGTCGTCAGTGGAGACTTGCTGGGCAGAGTCCCTGGGAGGGCAGAGAGGAGGACAGGGTGGCAGGCTCTCATTCCCCTGGGCCAGGAGGAGGAAAGTAAGACTTGGAATGGCGGCCTGCCTGGCCTATAGCCCATCTGCTTCTGACCCGTGACATGAGCCTGGGCAAGTAGCTGCCCTTCTCTGGCCTTGGCACTCCCGTCTATAAAATGAGAGTGTTTGCTTAGATGATTTTTAAGAGCATCTCCATCTCTGATGTTTAAACCTTCTTTAAATGCATTCATTCCAAAACTCCTGGCAGTGTTTCCAGGGGCCACATTTCCTACTCAGTCCGTTTTGAAATAATGACTAGGGAGCTCATTAGCACTCTCTGCCCTTACAGGCAGTTCCGGGGAGGGGACACATTTTCTGCACTTGTGCCCATGCCAATTTTCCAACATTTCATGTTCTCAAATAATAATAACTGTTATTTCTACTAGACGGTTCCCTCACAAAGACCTCTCTGTGCCAAGGTGCCTGGGGCTGGGGTCTGGGCACACAGTTTTGGCAATCTCCTCCCTCTGAGAATGTGTCTACACCTGCAAGACAATTAACCAAGTCATTTAGGTGAAAACCCACCACTTTACACCTGAAATATGCCAATAGTGGAGAAGAACAACCTGTGAGAGTGCTTCTGACATTCATTATCCGAATAGTCGCCTCAGATCTTCACTTAGCATCTCCAGAAGTAGCCTCACTGAAGTAAGCGTTTTCCCAAAAGCAATATACAGGGCTTCTAAACCTTCCCTCGCTGGTTAGAGAGGGAGGGACCGGTGCTGTGGGTTCCCAGGCTGTCTCCTGGGCTACATCTCAGGCAATGTGGTTTCATACCACTTTGCACCAGTGTCTGAGGCCCCTTTCTTCCTCTGGGCCCGTGTGATATGCCTCTGTGAATGAAGGGACTGAAATTCCTTACAGTTCACAGGGCACTCCCGTGCATGGCTCCCCTGGACCCTCTCCCCATCCCTGGGAAGTGGGTGCCATCCTACTGCCAGAAGAGACCAAAGCTCTGCACATGAGGCTTTCTAAGGTTCCATGGCCAAGGGGGCTCCGACCATTTGCGGGGCTCCAGATGGGGCCTCTCACACTGCCTCACGACCTCGGCCAGCTCTGCAGAGCAGCCCTGGGGCTGGGTGCCACGGGCTGGGCAGGGGTCCAACCTGCCTGCAAATGCATGATGGGAAGCTCCCTGTGCAGTGGCTCGCTTTTGTCCCCCTTTGACTTGACACAGCCCAGAGACCCAGTAACAGAGCAGCCCTGTGGTCCACAGAGAGCAGTGGGAGGAGGAGAGGCCTGTGGTCCCCCCTCAACAGAGGTGAGGATGAAAGGGAGCTAGTGAGCTAGGTTGGCCTCTCTGACCCAGCCAGAAGAAGCGTCCCCTCCATCAGCCCTGGTAGTGGAGCGCTCCTGGTGTGCATACCTTGGGAAAGACAGACAGCAGGACCTGGGGTGAGCCCCGCTTTGTCTCTTCTGCCTGTGCCGTACTGGCTTCGTCACCCCATCCCTCCAAACCTCAGTCTCCACCTCTGCAAAACGGAGGCTCTAACACCTCCCTTGCAGGCCTACTGTTGGATGTGGGGAAGGACCTGCTCAGAACCCGGCACATGTGTGTGATCATTTCTCCCACTCTGGGTCTGAGCCATGAGTCCCCACAAAGAGATGCTTAGCCCCAGCAAAACTGGTATCTGCTGGTCTGTTTCCAGGTGACCTCCTGTAACCCCTTCCGCCCTGGGCAGGTCGGCTGACCTGTGACCCTGAGGTGTTGACAGAATCTCTGACCTCTGGGAAGGAGCAGGTCACTTTACCAAGTTTGTGCAAATAGATAAAGAACAAAGTGGCCCATAAATCAGAGCAACAGGAAAAACAAATAATTCTCTCCCCCCTTGGGAAAGAAGCCGCTGCGGTGTGGGTGGAGGTGGAGGGTGAGGGGAACGCTGTCCAGGTTACCTTCGTGGTTTCTCCTGATGCCGCTGAGTGGCTGCCCACCTGGATGGAGGTGGAGATGGGCAACCTTGGGAAGAGGACTGTGCCAGGCCGGGGCAGGACAGTGGGTCCTGTCCTGCAAGGTCCTGGTGAATTCTTCCTCAACTGCAGAGGAGGGGAGGCATTTGGGGACCTCGAGGTCTCTTCCTGGAACCTGGCCCCTGAGAGAAGGCTGCCCATCTGGGATTTGGGGAGTGGAAGTCTCTTCTCTCGGTGGGCATTTCTAGTTATTCTACCTCATGGTGGTGCAGAGCAAGCCAGGACGGGGCCTCACCAGGCTGGATCCTGAACAAACCACTGCTGTATGGTCGCAGGCTCACAGCGCCCCGAGTCTCAGTTTCCCCAAGTGTAAATGGGAGTTGCCCCTGTCCTGCCCGTTCTCTGGCATGTGGTGAGAGTGACAGTGCATGTGGAGTGGCCCAGTGTCCTCATAGGGCCGGGTTCCCACCCTGGCTCCATCGCAGGGGGAGTGTGCAAGTGATTGCACCAGTCAAGGCTCAGTTTCCTTTTTGTAAGCCAGCGATGGTGACAGTACCTGCCCTTTGGAATTAAAGGGAGGATTAAAGGACACACTATCTAAGACACCAGGCATATGCACCAGGTGTTCACTAAAAAATATTTCTCCCTACCCTCGTCTCATTGCAAACACACCCTCTGGCCGGGCGCAGTGGCTAACACCTGTAATCCTAGCCCTTTGCGAGGCTGAGGCAGGCGGATCACTTGAGGATCACTTGAGATCAGGAGTTAGAAATCATCCTGGCCAACATGGTGAAACCCCATCTCTGCAAAAAATATTTTAAAAAATTAGCCGGGCATGGTGGCGGGCGCCTGTAATCCCAGCTATGCAGGAGGCTGAGGCAGGATAATCACTTGAACCCGGGAGGCGGAGATTGCAGTGAGCTGAGATCACGCCATTGCATTCCAGCCTGGGCAACAAGAGTGAAACTCCATCTCAAAAAAAAAAAAAAAAGAAAGAAAGAAAAGAAAACCCACCCTCCTTCCCCTAACATGGGTATATTTCAGGGTTGGATCCAGGGATTCATTGAAAGGTAAAGTCTAAGTGTGGACAAGCCCACATGGCCCACGCCACCCTGCCCAGGCCTGACCCTCGGACCCCCACTCAACCTTGCATGTTCTGCTCCTTCCACACCCCGCTCCCTGCTGCTCCTTGAAAGCCACACCCACGTCCCACTCAGGGTGCTGTGCTTGCTCTTCCTAGGGTGACCAAGGAACAGTAGCACCCCCAGGACTGAGGCATGTCCAAGATGTGGGATTTCTAGGGTTGACATCGGGATAGTCCTGGGCAAACCTGTGTTTGTCTGAGAAGGAAAGGCCCTTCCTCCAGCATCCACACAGCCACTTCCTCGTCTCTGCTCAGACCTTGCTGATACCGTATGCGAAGCAGCGCGCCTCTTATTCGCCTTCCTTTTTCTCCAAAGCTCTTATGGGCATCTGGTAGGTTGCATTTGTAGTTGTTTGTTTGACTGTCTCTCTCCTCTAGAATGTAATCTCCACATCAGCAGGGAATTTGGTTTGTTTTCATTTGAGATAATGTCACCTCGAAGCCTCCAAATAACCCCAAAAGGTAGGCACTGTCGCCAACCTCACTTTACAGAAACTGAGGCTTGCTGGGGGGCTCAAACACTCGCCCACACTCTCACAGTGATGGAACCAGGGTCTGAGCTGTGTGGCCCCATCCCATTTCTGGTTTTGTTTTTGTTTTTACTTTTGTTTCTTCTTCGGCTATCTCCCCTGGAGCCTGGAATAGAACTTGGCAGGTAGGAGGCCCAGATCTGTTTTTTTCGAGTGAATGAATAAATGAATGAGTCTATGGTTTTTGGACTTAGATAAAAGCAGAGAAAAGACCAAATGTATTGCTTTTTAAAATGAGGATTAAAAATAAAAGTTTATGGCTGTTCTGTGTTGACTGATGAGGTGTGCAAAGCAGGAAGCAGGGTTAGAAACTTAGACTGGAACAAGAGAGACGGAGAAAGTGTAGCAAGACTTCAAAGCACCAACAGCCTCTCTTAGGCTGTGTCTAAACAAGCGAGGCCCAGAAGTGAGGCAATTAATCAGGTAATTCCAGCCCCCTTCCACCCAATGGCCTCAATTATCTGGCTACTTGAAACCTACCCGGTTTATGGGTAATGAGTGTTAATAGGCTATTGTCCGGAAACAGTCTCCCCCCGCAGTTTGCTCCTTGGCATTCGAAAGGCCCCAGGCAGCAAGAAACGTTCGGCTGACCGCTTTGCCGCCCACTCTCTGCATCTGTAATAAGGGACAGAAATGCCTTCTTCAGCAGGCTGCTGTCAGGAGCCGGAAAAGTACCTGTCCAGGGTCTGGAATCCTGACTATGGCACTCCGCACACCTTCATTTCATTCTAGTTTCTTCCCACCAGTCTAAACCCTCACCACCACACTGCCTGCCCTCCAGGCCTCTGGGCTGGCCTCATCTCTTCAGTTTTGCAAACTCTTGGAGGACAAGCAGAAGAGGAATTACTTTCAAACGCTCCCCAGTTCTGCCCCAGAACAGAGCTTGCCCTTCTGAGGAAAAATGACAGGGTCAAGAAAAAAAAAAAAGGACAGGGAACTCTCATCATCGACCTCCTATTGCTGAGCCCTTTAAGAGCTCAGTCTCATCTAATCTTCACAAAATCCTGCCGGGAGGGTCCTGTGATGACCCCATCTCACAGACAGGGAGACTGAGGTTCAGAGGCTTAACTAGCAAGTCTAAAGCTTGACAGGAAGTAAGTGTTGGAGCTGGGGTCCAGACTCCAGGGGCTATGAAGTCATCATAATTTTGTACTTCAGAAGTAAAAAATAATAGAACCAAAGTTATGGAAACAGCTTTTTCAGAGCTGGAAAGTCTTGAGAGATCTTGGAATCCAAACCTATTTTAGAGACGGGAAGACTGAAGGCTAGGGAGTGGAAATGGTGGAGGAAGCAGAAGGGAGATGATGATAAGATCACAACAGTGACAGGTGGCACATGAGGCCCATGTGCTGGGCCGGGGCGTCGCACTGGGGCAGAGATGGCAGGATGGGCCTCCGTCTCCCCACCCCAGCCCAGTGCTCTGCCAGCCCCCACTCCACCCTTGCTGGAGGCTCCAGCCTCACTTACGGACAGCTGCCACGCTGGAGCACCGAGGCGAGGTGGCCCAGGCTCCCCCTGCAGCCAGGCTGTCCCCATAGGAGGCAGGCCCAGCCTTCTGTCCACCTCCAGCACAACTCTCCTCTGGCTTTGAAATCCGGATGCTAAATGAGGAGTCAGATGGGAGGATTCCCAAGCGGGCCCAGGTCTGATCACGTACCCAAAGCCCTCCTGTCCTTTCTTGGGTGTGTGGCCTCCATGGCGCCTGGATACACAGGGCCCAGGGCTACTCCCTTAAGCAGCAAAATCTTTGCTTTGCAAATATGCCTAGTGACGTCCTCCTGGAGTCCTCCCAAACACCCCTGCTGCCGCCCCTTCCATTTCTCTTTCAGAGGTAATGGAGGGAAATCAGGGCCCAGTGCGTGGGAAGTGCTGTTGTTTCTAGGAATAGTTGAGCAAGGTGCTCCCAGGGAGCTATGAGGAGCTTCCTCCTGGGGACCAATCCTGCCCAGCCTCAGGGCCCAGCCCCTACCTGGGAGGCCTTCCTTAAGGCCCCTCCCACCTCTGGACCCCAGCAGTCCTGCTACCCAGCCAGCTGAAGCCTTCGCATCTTGGTACCCAAGCCAGGGCAGGCTTAGGTGCCTGTCCTCAGCGCTCCATGGCCAGCTCCCTCCTCCCTGTTAGGAGCTTCTCTGGGGTGTGGTGACTGTGTTTTCTGGTCTTTCCTTACTGGACGAGGTCCCTGAAGGCAGAGTCTTGGCATTTTTATCTCAGGGAACTGAGCACCCCGTACAGGGCTTCTCCCAGACCACGCAGGTCTTAGTGTGGTGTGGACTGGGTGAGGCGAGGGGATGTGGCCACGTGTGCTTATTTTCCAGCTGTGTGCTTCTCCCCCAGCCAGACTCAGGCTTCTTGGACCAGTCACCCTGGGTCAGCGTGAGGGAAGGCACTGAGGGCACAGCCACCTCCGGAAGGCGACAGGTGGAAGGGCGTGGTGAGAGGGCCGTTCTGATCTTCGCTGGGTGCTTCCAATTCTGTGTCCCCCATCTCAAAGTCATGAGAAGGCCCTGCCTTCCTGGGAAGATGATGTGCAGACTGGTGTTTCATCTGGGGCAGCAGCAGCCTGAAGGCCCCCGAAATAGTGAGGCCATCAGCTCTGGCCGGCACCTGGCTCTGAAGGCCCAAAGCCCACACACGGGCCCTGGCTTCCCTCTCCTTGTTCCCTGGCCCAGAGACAGGTGGGCGCTTCCTGCTGGGCTGGGGTGGTCTCCAAGCTGCTGCCTGACATTGCACAGGGCCCATGAGGGGTGCAAGACCCTGAGTTGCAGGCAGTACCTGGGAGGAAGCGCACCTTCCCACTGAGGGACAAGCTTCACTCTCCAGACAGTCAGGACTTCGTCCCGTTCCAGTGTTCAGAGGGCCTAGCTCCACTGCTGAGGAAAGCTCCCCTGGGCCCAGGTCTGGGATACATGGAGCTGACAGGGTGCTGAGGAGACCCAGGGTGGGGACGGGGGCTGCTGTTGAAATGAGGGACCTCTCTGAGCCTCGGAAAGTGGAGCTGATAATGCCCAGGACATGCCCCATGCCTTCCTCAGGGAGAGGAGGTGAAGGGCAGGCAGAGTGAGGGGACTACCTTCCGGTACCCCCATGCCATGGGCCCAAGGTAGCTACTCCATAAAGGCCGGCCCCTTCCTCCTTCCCTTCTCTGCCTCGCACGGAGAGAGGATCTCTGAGCTAAAGGTGTGGGTGTGAGGCCATCCTTCAAGTCTGATTAGGGGGACCTTCCAGTTTTCCAAAGAGCACCCTGTGCATTAGTCCCTTCCTGCCTCACAGCAGCCTAGTGGGCCAGCCAGGGCCGCGGGAGGATTGAAGTCTAGGACAGCATGTGACTTTGCCCAGAGTCACCCAGCAGGGCACAGTGATGGGCAAGGACTCCCCCAATCCCCCGCACAAACCCCGAGACTCCCAGTCTCGGGAGCAGGCTCTCCAGCACCCCTCCCCGGGTCCTCACGCAGCCACCTCAGTTTCCCCTCAGGACTAGCCAACCCTTTCACCTTTCTGGGCCCTTGCCCTGGGCAATAGGGGCTGGGAGCCGGATCTCCTAACTGTGGATCACGCCTCATCCCACAGAGCCATGACTGACAGGCCCGGTGGACTCCAGCTGTGTTCCCAGTCGTTGGGAAGGAGAGTCGTGGGGTCTTGCAGCTCCTGGGCCTTTTTACCCGAGTTGCGTAAAACTCAGGGGCCACCTTAGATCTGTAGGACCTGGAAGACGTCAGTCCCCACTCTGGGTCTCAGGTCCCACTTTGAGAGCAGAGGTGGGGCTGGATGAGCCATGGGGTGCCTCCCTCCAACATCTTGACTGCATCCTCCCTGCGTCCGGAGGCAAACAGTAATTACATAAATCATATGCAGGTTCCAACATCCCTCCAGAGCCCACCGAGCCAGTGGCTGGTGGGCACACTGCCCAACTGTGAGGAGGGAAATGAGTCAGACTAGGCACAGAGAAACGCCCCTGGAGGAGCGGGCAAGGCAGCAGGGAGGGGAGAGCTTCCACTGAGATGGCCCTTCTCGAAACAAAGCCTTAGGGGCTGGGGCAGGGGGGCACTCTCCAGTTTGCTTTTGCCTATCGCCTGGGGTAAGGGCCTAGAAAGGTGAAAGCGTTGGCTAGTCCAGAGGGGAAACTGAGGTGGCTGTGTGAGAACCTGGGTGCTGGAGAGGCCTGCAAAGAGGGCAGGGCTGGGAGTCTCGGGGTTTGCATGGTGGGTCGGGGGGAGTCCTTGCCAGTCTTTGTGTCCTCAAGAGTAAGAAGGGAAATGGCCCTGCTCTGCCGATCTCAGGGCCTGCGGTGAGGATCAAATGAGGTCCAGGATGAGATGGCTCCGTGGAGGGCCCTCCAGCTCTCTCTGCCACACATTCCTCCTGCTCTGCTGACCCTCACAGTCAGTCTGCCTTTCTGGGATGCACCCTGGGAATCACTTGGCTCACTGCGAGCCTCTGCCTTCCTCCCAAAAAGCCCTTTCTCTCTTGGCCTCACCTGTTAAAATGCTGCTTATTCTTTAAAACCGGGTTGTGAGCAAATGACTGATACACACCCCATCCTAGATGCACCTCATAGATGTTACTCTGAGTTAAAGAAGCTAGATACAAAAGCAAGCATTCACCGTATAATTCTAGTTATGTGAAGTTTGAGAACAGCTACAGCCTACCCATGGGGAATGGCGATCAGAGCAGAGGTTGCCCCTGGGTGAGGTGGGGGTGGCTGGAAGGGGCTTGCGGGAACTTTCTAAGGTGGTGGAAATGTTCTTCATCTTCATGGGGGTGGTGGTTATGCAGGGAGACATTTTTCAAACTACGAAAACTCCACACTGAAATTCTGTACATTTTATAGTCTAGAAATTATACCTCAGTAAACACAAATTATGCATAACTTATAACAACAAAAAAGTAGAAACAACCCAAATATCCATCAATAGATGAATGGATACAGCAAATATGTCATATCCATACAATGGAATATTTTTCAGCAATAAGTGCTAACGCATGCCGCAGCGTGGATGGACCTTGAAAACATCATGCTAAGTGAAAGAAGCCAGTCACGAAAGACCACGTAGTGTATGATCTTATTTACACGAAATATCCAGAACAGGCGAAACCAAGAAGACAGAAAGTAGGTCGGGGGTTGCTTAGGCTGGGGGAGCCAGGTAGTGACTGCTAAGGAGAGATGAAAATGTTCTAAAATGGATTGTGGTAATGAATGGACAACTCTGAATAGACTAAAAACCAGTGAACCGTACATTCTAAATACGTGAACGTATGGAAGGTGCATGATAATGCAACAGAACTATTAAAAAATGCCAGATTTTTTTTTTAAAAAATCACTTAGTCATCAATGATTAATCTTTTGATTTTTTTCCAATAAAATTTAAAATAGAAACTTGCCAGCACCTCACAATTTACCTGTCACTTAGTTCCTATCCCATTTCATAGGATACTCACAAATAAATCCATGGGGGAGAAAGCCACACTACGTGGCCTATAGCCCAGATGGATTGACACCAGGTTCAGACCCCAGCTCTGGAAGTCACTCCAGTCTCTGAACTTCATGTTTCTTATCTATAATGATGATATTAATCTACCATGAAGGGGTGTTGGTTGAGAGGATTCGGAATAATGCATATGAACGATCTGCTATGTAATTAGCACTGAATAAAAAGTGTTATTTCTGCCTCCATTTTACAGAAGGAGAAGCAAGGGGCTGGAATAAAGGAAGCACGTGGCCTGAGAGACCAGAGCTGGTCAGTGGAGGTGCCTGGACTAGTACTCAGGCCACTGGACAGGGGTCCATCCATACTGGCTTACATATGGAGTGGTCCACATTCCAGCCACAACAACCAAGGTAGCTCTTGTCGCACAAGAGATGCACAAAATTCTCTTGCCTTGAATTTAATACAGCACAACAGAGAAGCTGCAGAATCAGAGGAGTTAAATACAACCCCTTAGAAAGCACCCAATTTCTAGTTCTGTGTCTGTGGAGTTGAAATGTTCAATCCCAGAGTCCCAGAGCTCCCATGTACTGTGAACCATCTTTGCTGGGTGCTATACTCTAAATGTTTGTGTCCCCTTCCAAAATTCTTTTTTTTTATTATTATTATACTTTAAGTTTTAGGTTACATGTGCACAACATGCAGGTTTGTTACATATGTATACATGTGCCATGTTGGTGTGCTGCACCCATTAACTCGTCATTTAACATTAGGTATATCTCCTAATGCTATCCCTCCCCCCTCCCCCCACCCCACGACAGGCCCCGGTGTGTGATGTTCCCCTTCCTGTGTCCAAGTGTTCTCATTGTTCAATTCTCACCTCTGAGTGAGAACATGAGGTATCTGGTTTTTTGTTCTTGTGATAGTTTGCTGAGAATGATGATTTCCAGCTTCATCCATGTCCCTACAAAGGACATGAACTCATCGTTTTTTATGGCTGCATAGTATTCCATGGTGTATATGTGCCACATTTTCTTAATCCAGTCTATCATTGTTGGACATTTGGCTTGGTTCCAAGTCTTTGCTATTGTGAATAGCGCTGCAATAAACTTACGTGTGCATGTGTCTTTATAGCAGCATGATTTATAATCCTTTGGGTATATACCCAGTAATGGGATGGCTGGGTCAAATGGTATTTCTAGTTCTAGATCCCTGAGGAATCGCCACACTGTCTTCCACAATGGTTGAACTAGTTTACAGTCCCACCAACAGTGTAAAAGTGTTCCTATTTCTCCACATCCTCTCCAGCACCTGTTGTTTCCTGACTTTTTAATGATCACCATTCTAACTGGTGTGAGATGGTATCTCATTGTGGTTTTGAGTTGCATGTCTGTGATGGCCACTGATGATGAGCATTTTTTCATGTGTCTGTTAGCTGCATACATGTCTTCTTTTGAGAAGTGTCTCTTCATATCCTTCGTCCACTTTTTGATGGGATTGTTTGGTTTTTTCTTGTCAATTTGTTTGAGTTCTTTGTAGATTCTGGATATTGGCCATTTGTCAATGAGTAGATTGCAAAAATTTTCTCACATTCTGTAGGTTGCCTGTTCACTCTGATGGTAGTTTCTTTTGCTGTGCAGAAGCTCTTTAGTTTAAATAGATCCCATTTGTCAATTTTGGCTTTTGTTGCCATTGCTTTTGGTGTTTTAGACATGAAGTCCTTGCCCATGCCTATGTCCTGAATGATATTGCCTAGATTTTCTTCTAGGGTTTTTATGGTTTTAGGTCTAACATTTAAGTCTTTAATCCATCTTGAATTAATTTTTGCATATGGTGTAAGGAAGGGATCCAGTTTCAGCTTTCTACATATGGCTAGCCAGTTTTCCCAGCACCATTTATTAAATAGGGAATCCTTTCCCCATTGCTTGTTTTTGTCAGGTTTGTCAAAGATCAGATGGTTGTAGATGTGTGGTATTATTTCTGAGGGCTCTGTTCTGTTCCATATGCTGAAATCTCACCTCCAAGGTGATGATATCAGGAGGTGGACCATTGGGAGGGGCTTAGGGCATGAGGGCTGAGTCCTCAGCATGTGATTAGTGTCTTTATAAAAGAGGCCCCAGAGAGCTTTCTTGTCCCTCCCATCATGTGAGGACACAGAGAAAAGATGGCCATCCATGAACCAAGCAACAGCCCTCAACAGACACTGAACCTGCCAGTGCCTAGATCTTGAACTTCTCAGCCTCCAGAACTGTGAGAAATAAATGCTCATTGTTAAAAACCACCAAGTCTATGGTATTTTTGTTATAGCACCCAAACTGACTAAGACACTGAACTCTAACTGAAGATATACACTACTATGGTGCTGTCTACAGGGCAAGTTGTCAAGGTGAATGGTCCTACATCAGACGTAATAAAGGGGGACATGTCTTACTACTAGCAAAAAATTAAAACAAAAAAAGGAATGGCAAAATACAAGCAGTGACAGAGAAACACCACACATTTGCCAGATAGTGTGAATATTTGGTTCATGGGTATGTAAGAGAAAGAGGTCAGTGCAGTCCTCTTCCAGTTCTACTCAAGCAGGGACCCAGGGGTGATAGGAGAGTAGGGGAATTGCATTCTATGTGCACAGTTTAATCCCTCCAAACACACAGCCAGATATTCTAGTAACTAAAACATGACACGAACTCAAAAAGGTGAGGAGCCTGCCCATAGTGTGACTGTGTGACTGCAGAGGGTGGTGGCTTGGAGCTTTTCTCCAGACGAAACAAGTGCAAACATTTCATCCCTGTCCGTTTCCTCTTGAGTCTTTGAACATAAAATCCATGCAGCTTCAGAGGGGAGCATCCATTTCAACATTCCCTTTTTGTGTGTTGACATTGCAGATAAAGACATTTCATCATACGCCTAATTCCTGTGGCTTCCTGAGCCCCTGCCCTCTCCCGCTGAATAGCTGGTGGGGCCATGGTGCTCACATTGGCCTATAATGTTGCCCAATCCTATTGGCCAATTATTTAATTTTCTGACCTGAGTAGGCAATACAGGGAAAAGGATAGCCCAGTCCCCTTTGGTCGTCTCTCCAGCCAGGTTTGTTGTATATTTTGTTGGGGAGGACAGAGTGGTAGAAGAAAGCTGTTTGTTTGCTTGATCCACGTAACTGAAACCTGTATGTCTACCAGTACTTTTCTGCATGTATGGTAAAATATACACAAATAAAACTCACCATCTTAACCATTTTTAAGTGTTCAATTCAGTGGCATGAAGTACATTCACATTGTTCTGCAACCATCACCACCATCCATTTGCAGAATCTTTCATTATCCCCAGTCAAAACTCTGTACGCGTGAAATAGTAACTCCTCATTCCCTACCCAGCCCCTGGAAGCCCCACTCTGCTTTCTGTCTCTACAAGTCTGACTAAGTACTTCCTGTAAGTGGAATTCTTCAATATTTGTCTTTTTGTCTCTGGCTTATTTTACTTAGCATAATGTCTTTAAGGTTCATCCATGTTGTAATATGTGTCAGAATTTTGCTCCTTTTAAAGGTGGGATCATACTCCATTATATGCAATACCAAATTTTGTTTTATCACTGGCATGTTTTTTCTACCCACTATTTGTCTGGCACTATTTTAGGCACTTTGGCGTAAGGGTGAAGAAACAGACGGGATTGACAGATGTAGCATTTTCATACAGGCAGCGAGCCTAGATACAGGTGAAATGGGGAGTCAGTCAGTGGCTGCCAAACCATGGGGGTCATTGGGTTAGTGGAAAAAGGCATTTCCAAGGACTGGTCTGATCAGAGGTTTGGGAGGTGACTTGAAACACACAGAGCTTGCTGTGTGTCTGTGGATTCTCCCTTGTAAATTGCTCTTTTCTAAATTTGTGTACTTAGCAGGTGGAGAAAACATGCCTTAACTGTGATATGTCTATTTCCTCTCTATTTCTAAGCAATTGTATTTGTGTACCTACTTTGTGTCATGCTGTTGATGCCTCAATTTCATTATGGACTCTTATTATTATTTGCTAATTTTTTATTTTTCTCATCACCACAAGTGTCTTTTAGAATGAAGCAACGTATAAAAGTATACCTGTCTGTCATTAATCTGTCAATTTACTTTCCTTCTGTTTGGAGTTATTGATACATCTCATCCAACTCTTCCTCCCTGATGCCGCCCTCCATCTCTCTCCTGCCCCTTCTCCTGCCTGCTAGGTTTCTCCAGAGCCTAGGGCTTCATGCCCTCTGTGGGTGACCCCTGTCCTCTGGTCAGCAAAGTGACTAATTAGAGTATGTCCTGAGTTCTTCAGGTTTTTCTTCCTCCTTAGCTGCTCATATTCTTTGGATTTGGTATTTATTTATTTATTTATTTATTTATTTATTTATTTATTTATTTATTTTTGAGACAGAGTCTCACTCCTTTGCCCAGGCTGGAGTGCAGTGGCGTGATCTCAGCTCACTGCAACCTCCACCTCCCAGGCTAAAGCGATTCTCCTGCCTCAGCCTCCTGCGTACCTGGAATTACAGGTGTGCACCACCACGCCCAGGTAATTTTTGTATTTTCAGTAGAGACAGGGTTTTGCCATGTCAGCCAGGCTGGTCTCGATCTCCTGTCCTCAAGTGATCCGCCTGCCTTGGCCTCCCAAAGTGCTGGGATTATAGGCATGAGCCACTGTGCCCGACCTGGATTTGGTATTATTTTAGGCATGAGCCACCGTGCCTGACCTGGATTTGGTATTATTTTGGATATCTTAGATTAGTAGACATCTAAACTCTGATAAGTGAGGGGTTGTGATACTTACTGAGATAGTTTATTAATTATGGTTTATAATGAAGAAGTCTTTCAAGGGTTTCTTCACTTACGGGACAATGACCTAATGAGAGCATGGCACACAAGGCTTGTCTTCTCCCGCAAGAGCATTCCAGCAGTACTCAACTAACTGCTGTGGTTCCTTGTCTATGCCAGCCATTTCTCCTCTTAGCTCTTTGGTCCACATGGATCCCATGGCCTAGAGTTTTAAACAAATGCACTATGGGGACGGGGCATGATGGCCCACACCTATAGTCCCAGCAGCCTGGGAAGCTGAGATGGGAGGATCGCTTGAGGCCAGGAGCTCAAGACCAACCTGGGCAACATGGTGAGACCCAGTCTCTACAGATAAGTAAAAAATTAGCTGGGGGTGGTGGCACGTGCCTGTAGTCCCAGCCACTCAGGAGGGTGAGGTACGAGGATCACTTGAGCCCAGGAATTCAAAGCTGCACTTAGCCATGATTGCACCACTGTACTCCAACCTGGACAACAGGGAGAGACCCCGTCTCAAAACAAAATTAAACAAAAACAAATGCACCATGGGTATTTCTGCTGTGGCACCTTTAAAGCTTTGCTACATGCATCTGTTTATTATTATTATTATTATTATTATTATTATTACTTTTGAGACAGAGTCTCACTCCGTTGCCCAGGCTGGAGTGCAGTGGTGCAGTCTTGGCTCACTGCAATCTCCACCTACCGGGTTCAAGTGATTCTCCTGCCTCAGCCTCCCAAGTAGCTGGGACTATTGGTACATGCCACCATGCCCAGCAAATTTTTGTATTTTTCGTAAAGATGGGGCTTCGCCATGTTGGCTAGGCTGTTCTCAAACTTCTGACTGCAAATGATCCGCCCGCCTTGGGCTCCCAAAATGCTGGGATTTGGGCTTGAGCCACCTCACCCGGCCGCATGCATCTCTTTAAATGTCTGCCTCACCCTCTTGATCTGAACTCTTCCATGGCAGGGATGGGCACAAAACAATGAAGTGGTTACAGTTCTTTTGCCCAAGCAGTTCATAATAGTACAGGAAGACAAACCTGCAAAAGCCAGCTACAAAATGAAGGTGCAAGGACTGTGCTCTGGAGAAAGAACTCATCCTGTATACAAAGGGGGTTAAGGGCCATGGTGAGTTTTCAGTTAGAATTTGAAAAATTATAATAATGAAGATGTATAGATGAGGAAGAACTAGGGGGTAGGCATTTCAGACAACAGCAGTAGGATGCCTGGTGGCAAGAAAGTAGAGGGTGATGCCCACTTTGTCCCAAGAAGCAGAGCCTAAGGTGAAGGGAGAGAGTTGGGAGTTGAGGAGTTGAGGAAGGCATTGCATTCCCAGTCTCAGTGGTCAGTGTTTACCCTGGGGCAATGTGGAGCCATAGAGGGCTATGGAGAAGGGGTGGTATAGCCTCCACATGCCTTACAATCGTTGTGGGGTGCAGATGGACTTAGGGTTAGCCCAGCTGAAGGCAGAAGCAAGGCTAGCTCTTGCAGTGAGAGTTGGTGAGGGTGGAGGGAACTTGTGAGGCAAATATATCTGCAGGGGCTTCCCTAAGTGGGCATTTTGTCCCATGTGGCTATGTCAGTGGGAGGAAGAAAGTGGGAGAAGAAGCATCTCTCCACCAACCAGGCAGTTGCCAAAAACAGTCTCTCTCCCAGGCCCAGTGTTTATTGTTCTCTGTCACAGCCTATTTTCTGTTACATAATGCATCAGACTGACCCCCGCCCCACAGACTCTGCCCCGGGGTCCTTTGTTGGCTTTGCCCCTTGGGCCTCTGATTGGGCAGCTGAGGGGCAGGCCCTCCGACCAGCCCCTGTCAGTTCCCCAGCAGGGGCAGGCCCCCTGGGCCCACTGAGCTCCTGGGTGGGGCCGAGGAAGCACAACTGTGGGCAAATCAAGGCTCATCAGCAACGTGGTGAAAGCACAACTCCCAGTGCCTCATCTGCCTTGGAACCACCAACAGGCTTCCGGCTAGGGTTAGGCAAATGAGTTCATAAGATCTAGAAGCGAGCAGGATTCCAGCAACATACAAAGTGCTGGAAGGGGGCTGCTCAAGGTTGAAGAAAATGAAAAAGAAATGGTATCACTCTGTCCCAAACTGGACTGTCACCTCCAGTGCTGATGTCCTTACGGTCCGTCCTGTGCCTTCAGTTTCTAAGGGCTGGAGGGAGGGGTAGGGCAAGGGGAGTTTCCCCCCAGAGCTCTGGAGAACTCATAAGTGAGTGAGAAGAGCAGGAGTGATGCCTGCAGTCATGGTCAAGTTCCTTCCGGAGACTGGGCAGGTCCCAGGAACCAGGCTCTGGTCTCTAGACCAGCCCTGGCAAGACACTCGGGAGTG
Source organism: Homo sapiens (assembly GCF_000001405.40). Classification (NCBI taxonomy): domain Eukaryota; kingdom Metazoa; phylum Chordata; class Mammalia; order Primates; family Hominidae; genus Homo; species Homo sapiens. Next base: position 15,780,952 of record NC_000002.12, read on the forward strand.
TGTGTGTGTGTGTGTGTGTGGGGGAGTGTGTGTGTGAGTGTGTGTGTGTGTGTGTGTGTGTGAGTGTGTGTGTGAGTGTGGGAGTGTCTGTGGGAGTGTCTGTGAGTGTGTGTGTTGTCTGTGTGAGACAGTGTGTGGGAATGTGTGTGTAAGTGTGTGTGAGAGTGTGTCAGTGTGTGTGAGTGTGTGTGTGAGAGTATGTGTGTGAGAGAGAGTGTGTGTGTGTGTGAGTGAGTGTGTGTGTGAGAGTGTGTGAGTAAGGGAGATGCTGCTTCTTGATATGATACAAGTGTGGGCCCACCTGGCAGCCTAAGGTGGGATGTGGAAGCCAAGGGTGGCTGCAGCCCCCAGTGGCTGGAGAAGGCAACTTCCCTGACCCAGAGTTGCCGAGTGGCTCAGGGACGGGCCAGGGCCACGGCCAGGAGCCAGGGAGGAGGCTCTGAACAGGCCTTTCATCCATGGCCAGAGATGCCTGGGAAGCACCATGTGGGGCAGACCCCTTAGAGTCCGAGCAAGAGCCTCTCCCGCCTGTAACTACTCTACAGCCACGACGGCTCTGGCAGAGCCCGAGAAACCCACAAATACATCCATGAATATTTATTCAGCCAGTAAAAATGTAACATGCACCAGTTCTATTCCATGAGGCTTCTAGGTGCTGGACACAGCAGTGAACCAAGCAGAAGACGCTACCTTCCCAAGCTGCCCGTGACAATGGAACAATGGCAGCTCAAGTCAGGAAGGCTGCAGGCATTTCCCAATATGCTGTCTCACGATGGCCCTGCCACAGCCCTGCGAGAATCTCCACTCACCAGCAAGGGAAACAGAGGCTCAGAAAGCCCAGCGAGTCAGCCCAAGTGCAGAGAGCTAGGTGACACACCAGATGTCATCCAGTCTCTCTGTCACATCCTCACCCTCAAGGAGGTATGACGGTCCCGTGAAATCAAGTAAAAGCACTTTGTAAACTAAAATGCAACTAGTGAGATGCGGTTCTTATCATGAATGGGAAAGAAATAGGAAGTGACCCAGGCTGAAGGTGAGCTGAGGGTAGAGACAGACCCTCTTGGGTGTGTCTGGGCTTTGGTTTTGCAGGCAGTGTACTTTGCTCCCCAAATGCCCCTCTCCTGGTGTCTTCCTGTAATCTTTCTGCATGAGTGAGCAATGTTTGTTTTGGAAGCTGAAGGACCAGACTTGTACCAGTTGAGATGAGTACACTTTTGGTCACAGGCGGGGGCTCAGATCCCTCTGCACACAGGAATTCATCCTGTCACCTCATGTGTACCATCCATAACCCTAAAAGACTGCCCTGTCATCTTATCTGGCAACTGGGATTTTAGCAGTCCCTTCATTAAGCCTGGAGAACAAAGGCGGGCGGGTGAGGGTCTCCGAATGTCCAAACACCCTGTCACCCGGAGTGTGAGGCTGCGGCTGCCCCGGGGAGGGCCAGGCGCTGTTTACAGATGGGAGGAGATAACCGCAGAGGAAGGTCGCTGGAGTCTTCTCTTCCATCCTCCCTCTCCCACCCCTGAGGGGGGTCCCTGACCACCCTGATTCTCCAGCTGGCCTGGAGACCTATTTCAAGCTCCTGACAGAGGAATGCATGGCAGAGCATGTGAAGCGGGGTGTGATGTGGGGGCAGGGAATCCAACCCACGAATTGGATTTTACAATGGCACGCCCACTGCTGCCAAGGGGAAGTGGGAAGCAGGAATTAAAGCAATGGAGCAATGGTTTGAGTCACCCTCTCTGCGCCAGAACATTCTGAGAAATCGCTGGTTCGTACTCCAAAACTCCTTTCCCTGGGACAGGAGCTCCTCTATATCATCAGAGGCAACGGGGTACCCAGAGGCTGCTTGGATACCATCAGTGACAGGGAGCTCACTCCTCTAAGCATGGTCTGTTCCTTTGGAGGGTAGTTTGTGGGAAAAAAAAAAAATCTCTCCAGGGCTGAGCTGTGACCTGTGCCCTGTGGCTGCAGGTTGAATGTTCACCTTGGCTTTGTGCTTTAAGTTACTGAAACTCATTAGAGAGTGCGTTCTAGTGGACATTATTATCATCCCCACTACCCAACTACCAGCAAGAATCATCAATGATAACTTGCATTTAGAGTGTCTTCGTGCTTTCACACCCGAGAATGTATTTGTTCATCCTAACAGCCGTATGAAATGGGGATAAATTAACCTCATTTTCTTTTTTCAGATCAGCAAACTGAGGTCTGGAGAGATGAAGTGACAGGCACAAGCGGTAAGAGCAGCTGGGACCAGACCCCAAGTCTCCTCACTCCCAGTCCATGAGGGCTCAGCTCTTGTCAGGCACTCCCTAATCCCGGACAGTCATTCTATAGTAAGGGCCAACTTTGCATTTAACACCGAGAAAGAATCTCCTCTGCCCTGAAGATCACGGTGGTCCTATTTCCTCCCAAAAGATGGACAGGTGTTGTTTACAATTCAGTATTCAGAAGTGAACTGAAATGCAAGAGCTGGCAAAGCTTGCTCTGAGAAGGGAGGTCCCCGTGCCTGAAGTTGGGTGTCCATGAGCTGGTGAAGGACTCAGTGTAGATATGACAGAGGGTATGTCAGAGCCAGGCAGGGGGCTGGAGTCTATGACATCAAAGTCCTTTTCAATCTTTGTAGGAAGACTTCTTTCCTTCCCAGGCCCTGTCCTTAGCACAAATTTGGGGACTTACGTGGGATGGTGTCTTGCAGGGACAGTGATACATGTCAGAGCCAGCCATGGCGTTTTCTCCCTGTGCTGGGCAGCCGGCCGCCAGCACGCTCCATGGCTTCGCATCCTCCCATAGTCAGAGAGTCTCTACCCATGACCCTGGGACACACAGATCTCCTTTCCTAGGTTGAAGGCACCCAACCTCCTCATTATAACAGTGCCCTCTCTTTGCTTGTCCAAACCTACTGCTACTTCAAGTCAGCCACTGTGATGCTTCCTGCAGGAAGCTCTTCCTGGTGTCCCCAGCTCTTCCTGACACCTGTCTTCTGAGAGCTTCTGGTGCCTGTCTGCCAGAGCTCCCCATGTGGCTGCGGGAACCCCTGTAGAGTCCAAGCCATCACCTCCCACCACATGCCACAGCTCATGAGGGAGTTCCCAGCCAATGTAGCCCTGTTGTGGCTCCCAGAGTGGCTTTCCCTGGCACAGAATGCCCTCATCATTCCCCTGCAGAGTTCCTTGGTGCCTCTAGCACCAGCAGGCAAGCCAGTCTCTTTAGCTGGGCAGCTAAGGAATTGGATTTGTTCTGTTTACCTCCCCAGCCTCACTTGCAGTCACTCTTCTGTACGCTGGTCACACAGACTGACATGTCCCATGGCGGAGCAGCCGTTTCCAGCTCCACTCCATGGCATGGGTGGTCTTGAAAGATACCTCCAAGATCAGTCCTCAGGCGACCTGCCCGACCAGGCTCCCAGGTGACCTGGATGGTCTGAGACACCAGGAGTAAAAGGGCTGTGGAAATCATAATGTGCTGGATGGCTGGGAGGGGACTGCTGGGAGGGGATGGCTGGTGACCACTGTCTTGTTTTTTAAGCCTCATGTCCACCCTGCACTGTTATGGGGATTAGCTTAGTTGTGGCATTATCAGATTCAAGTTCGTTTGCAGGGGTCTCCAAGGCCTATGCTCATCTCTTCCATTCTCAGAAGAAGGTGGGACGGCCCCGCACAATGGGAAGTGACTTGCAGGAAGCTGTCGGAGTGCGATGGGGGCAGCCTCGGCTTCCTGAACACCCCCAGCCAGGGCAATGCACCCAGACAGGCCAATGTGTCCATGCCACATCACTGCAGGGCAATGACACAACTGTCAGGGGCCCTGGATACAGCATTCCTTGCCCTGGGGTGGGGTAGGGGGAGTAGGGAGCTTCCGAGACCCTGAAAGCAGGGCTTCCAGGCTTCGGCACCCTGTCCCTCCTTCTGGGCTGTTCCTTCAGCATCTGCTTCAGTGTCCACCCATGCCTGGCCTTTCCTGACCACTTCTACATCCCCATGTGGCGCTTCAGCCTGCAGCAGGCACAGGTGTTAAAAATCCCGTCCACCTGACTCCACCTCTCCAGCGGGGAGGTGCCAGAGAAGAGTGGAGGTGTCTGCTCAGGGGCACAGGGTGGGAGCTGGCTCTGGGGCCTTTCTCTGTGGGTCAGGATGAGGAGCAGGGCTGGCCTGGGGCTCTCAGGACACCTGAGGGCCATTTGCACAATTGTCTTTACAGGAAGCTTCAGGGAGGAAGGCTGCGGGCTGGAGAGAACCTGAGGCTGAGTTTCTTCCATTTCATCCAGCGCATTCACCAAAGCACCCTGTGTGCCGAGGGCAGCGGGGGCCGTACCCTCCCGGAGCTCACGAATGGGTGAGGGAGAAGCCCCTAGGCGGAGAAACTTACAATCCCATGTGGACATGTGAACTCAGTGAGAGGAGGTGCTGCGGTGAGGGCCACTTCTTGGAGATTTGGGAAAAGGAGCAGGATGTTTCTGGCAGTGAGGCTGGGAAGGGCATCCTTCATAGCAGAGGGAAGCTGTGAGCAGAGCAGAGGCTGAGGACGACTCCACCCAAGGGGACCGGTGGGGCAGGGGCTGTGCCAGGGCTTGACCCGGAGCTCTGGGCTGTGTCCAGTTCCCTTCAAATGAGAAAGAAGGCGCCAGAGGTGCAGGGGACAGGGGATGCCTGCCAGCCAGGCCCCATCTCCTCTGCTGTTTAGGGACTCGGGTTGGAATTTCCACGACACTATTTGGGGGAGGATGAGGGAGCTGGTGGGAAATGGGTTTGGGGGCGCGAGGCTTGATATCATTTCTTCCGATAAAGAGGCATTGGCTCAGCTTTTCTGTCTTCTGCTTAATCACTTTCAGAGGCTCATTAGACTTAGAGGAAATACACTTGCAAACTCAAACCACATGCCACCCTCAGAGTACATACTCCCATCCCCAAAGCACACGTACCTCAGAGAAAGGATCATTGGTTCCCAAGAACAGGAGCCATTCCGTGGAAGGGGTCACCTGCCTGGAGACTGCAGTGCTCCGAGGCCGTAGAGCAAGGTGGGTGGAAGCGGGTTTGAGAGTTTCAGGGACGGGCTGACTCTCACGGGGCCCTTACCACGTGCCTGCTGCTGTTCTCATTGCATTGCACGTATTAACTCACTTAAGTCCCACCTGAAGGTGGCCACCATCATTGTTCCCAAAGAGCAGCTAGGCCCAGACATGTTAAGTAACTTGCTTCAGATCACATGCAGCCAAGTGGCAAAGCCAAAAATTGTCCATAGTCAGGCCACCCGGGTTTGCAGCCCAGCTCTGCCATTGACGAGCTGTGTGTGTTTGAACAAGTTACTCAGCCTTGCTGGTCACTCTTCTCCTGTGTGAAGTACATGTAGCAATTACATCTGCCAACGGGGGGATGATTGAAGACCGGATACACCATGGGCCTAACACGGTGCCTAGGATACAGTAAGTACCTGTCAATTTAAGAAACAGCTGACTAGCTGAGGTCCCACTGAGATGCCACCTCCTCCACAAGGCGTCTGTCCCTGAAGCTACTAAAGATCACTCTGTTCAGGTTGGGCAGCACCAGGATGTCTCCTCTGCATCCCTACTGTACTGTGGCTATTTTATTTGACAAATCTTCATATAGGACTTCCTGTGGGTCAGACAATGTTCTAAGTACTTTAATAAATAATAACTTTTTTTTTTAATTTTGGGACTGATTCTTGCTCTATCGCCCAGGCTGGAGTGCAGTGGCGTGATCTCAGCTCGCTGCAAACTTCGTCTCCCGGGTTCAAGGGATTCTTGTGTCTCAACCTCCCAAGTAGCTGGGATGACAGGCACCCGCCACCATGCCCAGCGAATGTTTGTATTTTTAGTAGAGCCGAGGTTTCACTATGTTGGCCAGGCTGGTCTTGAACTCCTGACCTCAAGTGATCTGCCCACCTTGGCATCCCTAAGTGCTGGGATTACAGGCGTGAGCCACCGTGCCCGGCCAATAATAACTCTTTTTAATCCACTATTATCCCCATTTTACAGATGCTAAAACTGGGACACAGAGAGGTTAAGCAACTTTCCCAAGACCATACAGCTAGTTGGTGGTGGAGCCAGGATCTGAACCCAGTCTGGCTTCAAACCTCCACCCTTCACTACTTCACGGTTTTGCCACCATCACACTGCCCACCTGTGGGTTTATGTGCCTCCTCCACCAGATTGTGAGCCCTTGGAGGGCAGGGACCTAGAGGATTTATGTTTGATTCTCCACAGCCCCTCACACAAAGCCTGGCCCAGAGTAAGTGCTTAGAGAATGTAATTGTTCAATGAATGGATCAGTGAACATTGTCAGTGGAGACATTCACACTCTCTAGGTTTCCAAATTTGACAGGCAGTCAACAAAATCAGACAACGTTTTTAATACATTATTTTTTGAAGAAAGTCTTGCTGGCTGTTCTGTTTCTCCCAGAGGCAGTGGTCTGATGCAAGGTCCCAGAATTTATTTTCTGTCTTTATCTGACCTGTCTCTGTCATTTCATTTCTCCTGGGTGGGAGGAGAGGGGAGAGGTCAGGGATGGAAAGTCCACAGAGAAAGCAGGGGCAATAAGGAACTCATGTCAGCACTCTTTCCATCTGGAGATGATGCTAAGATTCTAAGGGGCCTTAGACATCTTTTTATCTTCTTTTTATTCTCTGTGCCCACACAGACTATTCATTCAATCCAATCTCCATCCATCCATCCATTCATCCCTCCATTCATTCATCCCTCCATTCTCTATCCTCCATCCATCCATTCATCTGTTCATCTTCCATCCATCCATCCATTCTCTGTCATCCATCCATCCATCCACCCATCCATCCATCTTCCATACTCCCTCCATTCTTTGTTCATCATCCATTCATCCATCCATCCATCCATCTTCCATACTCCCTCCATTCTTTGTTCATCATCCATTCATCCATCCATCCATCCTCTATCTATCCATCTGTCCATCCATTAATCCTCCATCTTCCTTCCATCCGTCCATCCATCCATTCATACTTGATCCATTTATCTTGCATCCATCCATCTGTCCATTCATCTATCCATACTCCATCCATTCATCCATTCTGAGAATACTTACTGAGCACATGCATTCCCTCCCCTGTGGTGCCTCAGAGGCACTCTAAGGCCAATAGATGGAGGACCCAGAGACAAAATATTATCTTATTATCCAAAGCAAGTTCTAAATGCCAAGGTGGACTATCGCCCAGTTTAGAGGAAAATGAATCCTGGGTCTTCTAATATGTGAGCTAAGATGGTCCACTGTGACTATGAGAAGGGTTTTGATTGTTAATAGGGAGTTGGAGGAGAGAGCTCATGCTCGGAGTCTTCCAAGTGGAGACAGCTGATCTGGATTGCTGAGTGTAAGGAAATCCCCAGCATCCAAAAACCCCAGTCACTCCAGACCCTGAAAAACAACTCCCTCTTTGACAGAAACAAGCTTGGCCCAGGAATTGCCCTTCTTTTTTTTTCAGGCCCCACATCCCCCATGGCTGCTCCTTCCTGGCTAGAGGCTGCAGCCCTGGAGTCCCGGCATGGACAGTTTGAGCCTGGCTCACCCCCACACACACAGCCCCCTTGTTTCAGGAATGTGGGCGGCTGCTTGGAGCCACGGCTGGAAATGGCCTCCCAACAGATGTGCCTTTAATTTGTTTCCGGGTCAGTGGCCCCCATGCCCCAAGGAGGCCGCCTCCCAGGCAGGAGGCCCCAAAATAGCCCTGTGTATGCGTCCTTGGATGGGGTTATCCATCACTGCCCGGCCTCTGCCCCCGGATGCCTCACTCTGGTGGCTGGCTCTAATCGGACCACTTGGTGTGGAGACGGGGGAAGTGGCTCTGTCCCCTCGGGTGATGGCCCCTCAAAGGGCCAATTGTAACCACATGGAAGAGAAGCCTTCTGCCCTGGTCCCAGGGTCAGCCAAAGATCTCTTCCTGAAAGAGACTTCTAGGAAGGAAGCACGAGAGGTTTGCATTGTTCCTACAGATGAGCACGTGATCTGAGGTTGCGGTGCTTCTCTCTATCAGTATTCACCTACTAGCAGTGGGTGCAGTGAGCACCGACTGCATGCCAGGCACCGGGCCAGGCCCTTTCCACGCGTCAACACCAATTCTCCGCTTTGCAAGGAAATTCTGCAAGACAGGCATCGAATTCTCATTTTCCAAATGAGGAAACTTAGTCTCAGAGAGCTTAAGCCTTCTCTAACCTGAACACTAAATGAGGAACCAAGATAAAAAATGCAGGTCTGTACAGCTGAAAAATGGGGCTTTACCCAGAACAGCACCACCTCCCTGCCTAGAATGGTGGAGCTTGTTGAAGTTTATTGTATAGTAGGTGTTTACTAAATCAATGTTTCCTCTCTCAGTCCCTTCCTCTGTAAAATGGGGATCATAATTATCTACCTAAATGGATTATTTTAAGGTAAAATAAGATAATTTATGTAAAGAGCATAGTGTAGTGCTTCGTGTCCAACAACCAAAGGATGAGCGCTGAATAAATGATTAGAACGTGTTTAATAGGCGGTGTGGATGAATGGTAGGGGTTTGAGTCCTGATGTGTGTTTCTAAGGCACTCCCACACTCTTCCCAACCCCTACGTTCTCAAGCCAGTGAGCCAGGTGGGAACATTTGTGTTTCAGAGGCCAAGAGAAGGGTGGTGATTTGCTTCTCCCTCAAAACTTTTCACCTCATCTCCATTCCAGTGGTAATCAATCCCCCTTCCTTTGTGTTTCGAAATTACTTATTGTATAACTTATATCCTAGATCGGGGTCCCAGCCTGTAAGCAAAACCTGGCCCACTGCCCACTTTTGTAAATAAAGTTTTATTGGGACTCAGCCATGCTCATTTGTTTACTTGTTATCTATGGGTGTTTTCATGCTGCAAGGCAGAATTGAGTAGTTGTTTCTGAGACCTTACAGGCCCCGAAGCCTAAAGCATTTACTATGTCTTCCTTTACAAAAAAAAAATTGCTGACCCCTCTCCTGGTCCGACCAAATAATCTGTTTCCATCATACGTATACACTGGGAGCAATGTGAGGTCGGGAATACATCCTATTTTCCTCTCTGCCTGGTGCCTAGTACTGGGCCTGGCCTAGACAGCACATTCAATGAAGGCTTGTATAACCATTGACAAGGACCTCCATCCCCTCTGGTCAGTTGTTCCAGTTCCTTATCACGTGGCCCAGGGCCAACCAGAATCTTGTTTCTGTCTTAGGTATTGCTTATAGTTCCAGACAAGAGCAACAGGGACCACTGGGAAGTCAGGGCTAAATAGCGAATTTGATGGAGGGGCTCATGTTGGAGCCGAGGAAGTCAGGCTCCCTCTGCGTGAGGAAGAGGCACTCACACATCAGCAGGATTGGGTGGAAAGTTCCTGGCTTAAGAGTGAGGGCTCCCGGATGCTGTACTTGGTGCCCAGGCTGCAAGAAGGACACGGGCCCACACTGAGGCCCCTCTCATCTTTAACATTTCCTGTCCTGCCCACCTCCCCTGGGACTGCAGTGAAGCAGGGAGGCTCGAAGCTTGGATCTGTGCCAGGTAATGAGTGAGGGGACTCTTGCTGTCCCTCAAGGCTCTCCCCATCCAGAGCGGAGCTGCGGACACCCTCTCAGTGAGCATCACCCGGACGTGCCTGTTCTGCAGGGGGCGCTTCCGGGGGAGCACAGCTTCCTCCTCCACTCAGCTGCCCTCTGCCCAGACTCAGTGCCCCCTCCCCACCACAGGCCCAACTCTTACCCTGAAAATGCTTCTGCTCAAGGCCTGTGCTCTGGTATGAGCTCAGTGGCCATCTTTTTGGAACCCAATCTGGATGCAGCGATCTTAGGAGTGTGCAGGGAGGTTTGGGACTGGAATAGGGAAAGAGGAATAGGGAAGGGGGAAGAACGGTGTCCAAACTATCCGTGACCTTCTGTGTGGCCGCGTGGCTGCAGAGGTCCTGCTCTACTGCACAGGTCCCTCCAGAGCCCCTAGGTCTGGGGACATCTCAGATGCTAGGGCTGAGCCATTATGGGGAGCCCACTGGATTCCACCATCCTCAGCAGGACAAGCAGGGTGTTGGAGGGTTCTAGGGCCATACTTCCACCCACGCTAACTTCTTTCCCTTTTGTGCTATGAGCTGAAGACCACCCCATAGCTGTAGATGCATTATTCACTTCCCTTCACATTCTCCAGAAAGAGGAGTGAGGCAAGCACGGAAAGGCAAGGAAGGCACTGCCTCCTGGCCACGGTGCTGAGACCAGCCGTTCATTCCACCATGCTGGTAGCTAAGGGACCAGCACAGGGAGCTCAATAGGCTGGACTTGGTCTGGGTCACTTTCAATTTAGAGGCACGTGAAGGGATGGAGTGAGCACTGTGTGAAATTATAGAATTCAAGCTTATAATAATTCAAACTTAAAGCTGTTGAAACTTTAAATTATTCCAGGCCTTGAGAGGAGTGTGGCCATGTAGCCTGAGTCAGGAGGCGTGCAGCTGCAACTTCTGCCTTTTCTCTCCTGTAAATAATTAAGACCAATCTCATAAAGAGAGAAAGTGGGCAAATGACATGAACAAACATTTCTCAAAAGAAGGTGTACAAATAGCCAATGAACATGAACAAATGTTCACATCACGAATCAACAGGGAGATGCAAATTAAAACCACAATGAAATACCTCCTTACTCCTGAAAGAATGGTCATTACTAAAAAGTCCAAAAACAATAGATGTTGGCATGAATGTGGGGGAAAGGGAAGACGTACACACTGCGGTAAGAATGTAAATTAGCACAACCTCTATGGAAAACATACGGAGATTTCTCAAGTAAAAGTAGACCTACCATTTGATCCAGCGATCCCACTACTGGGTATCTACCTAAAGGAAAAGAAATCAATACACCAAAAAGACACCTGCACATGTGTGTTTATTGCAGCAGGATTCACACTTGCAAAGATATGGAACCAGCCTAAGTGCCCATCAACCAATGAATGATAAAGAAAAAATGTGGTATATATACACCATGGAATACTATTTAACCATAAAAAAAGAATGAAATAATGTCTTTCGCAGCAGCTTGGTTGGAGTTGGAGGACGTTATTCTAAGTGAAGTAACTCAGGAATGAAAAACCAAATACCGCACATTCTCACTTATAAGTGGGAGCTAAGCCATGGATGTGCAAAGGCATCCAGAGTAGTATAATGGACTTTGGAGACTCAGAAGGGGTGTAGGGATAAGAAATTACCTATGGGTACAATGTACACTACTCAGGTGGTGGGTGCATTAAAATCTCAGACTTCACCTCTATACAATTCATCCATGTAACCAAAAACCACTTGTACCCCAAAAGCTATTAAAAAATAAAAATAATAAAATAAAAATAATTAAGACCAAACAGAGCCAAAGATAAGACCTTCTCAGATCACTACCTCATGGTGTAATAAAGTAATCTTCCTTGGAATGTAGCAGTCTGTAACCAATCAAATCACTGTGGCGTATGGACTGGTCTTGTATGAAAAATGTCATCCTGCTAAAATGTTCACGTAAGTTAAACTTCTCCACTTTGGAACTCTGACCCCGTTCGTTTGGAGTTGGGGTGGTTCCAGGTGCCTCTTCTCGAGCTATGTGATCGAACATACTCTATACTTCATCACATTTTCCGAATCTCATTATTTAAGGTTGACAACCGGATCTGGCATCTGAAGCCCTGGGTTTGGCTGTGGCTCTATCACTTACCACCTGTGAGAGCTCAGGCAACCAGCTTCACCTGGTTTCTATCCTAGTCCTAGTGTCCTTTTCTAGAAAATGTGATGGCAGGGCATGGTGGCTCACGCCTGTAATCCCAGCACTTTGGGAGGCCGAGGTGTGTGGATCATGAGGTCAGGAGATCGAGACCATCCTGGCTAACATGGTGAAACCCCATCTCTACTAAAAATGCAAAAATTAGCTGGGTGTGGTGGCATGTGCCTGTAGTCCCAGCTACTCCAGAGGCTGAGGCAGGAGAATTGCTTGAACCCAGAAGGCAGAGATTACAGTGAGCCAAGATCACGCCATTGCACTCAAGCCTGGGTGACAGAGTGAGATTCCATCAAAAAAAAGAAAGAAAGAAAGAAAGAAAGAAAGAAAGAAAGAAAGAAAGGTGGACAATACTGATAATAATAACAATACATAACAATACCTATCTCTCAAGATTGTCTGAAAGAAAACAGCACACCCAGGAAGGCCCTGACATGTGATGTCAGGTGCTCAGGAAATATTCGTTCCTTTCCTGCTGTCCGAGAGTTCTCCCAGAATGTCATCCTTGGCCACTGACCCTCAGCATCCTGGGGGTTCCTCCTGCCCCTGGCCATACCACCTGCCTACACACCACCATGCTGGTGCCAGGAGGGCGGCCTGGGAATCCTGAGATGCCAGGTGGGAATGGCTGGGAAAGGGAAGAGAAAAGACCAGCAGAGAAGCTTTGCCCGGAAGGTAAGTGGTTCCTGAAGTTGGAGAGAAAGTTGCCATTGATTATTTTCCCCCTCCAGGATCTCCTAAAGCTCATTAAAGAGAATGTTTCCTCTAGCAGTGCCAGCAGGCTGTGAGTTTCTGATCTGCCAGAAGGCTTAAAGCCTGCTCCATCTCCCCTTCTTCTTTCCCTCCTCCCATGTCCCAGACCCCAGGGATGTGGAGAGAAAACGACAATAGGCAGGGACCCTACTCTCCCAGAGCTCCTGGCCCAGAGGTAGGCATGAAACATGTGCACAAATACAGTCAGTCCTCATTATCCACAGATTCTCTATTTGCAAATTCACCTGCTGGCTAAAATGTATTCATAATCCCCAAATCAATACTTGTGGTGCCTTTGCAGTTATCCAAGAACCTGCACAAAGTGGTGAGAAATTTGAATCACCTGACGCACATGCTCCCAGCCTAGGCTGAATGGTGCAATGCTCTGCCTTCTTGTCTCGGCTCTCAGACTGTGTCCGAATGTCCTTTCTGAGGTATATTTAGTGCCATGTTTTTCGCATCTTCGTGCTTGTTGTTGTTTAAATGGTCCCTAAGCACAGTGCTGAAGTGCTGTCGAGCGCTTCTGAGCACGAGGAGGCTGTGATGTGCCTGACACAGAGCATCCATGAGTTAGCTAAGCTTTGTTCAGCTGCGAGTTGTGCTGTTGGTCGTGAACTGAATGTTAGTGAAACAACAATATATATTTGATAAGGTGTCTTTAAACAGAAACGTGCATAAAATAAGGTGATGTATTGATTGGTTGACAACAGTGTTGTGATGAGAAGCTCACAGGAACCCGGCCCTGTATTTCTCCTAGGAGCTGTGGTTCCGTGTCCGCTAATTTGGCATTCAGGCAGCTTGATAGAACATAACTCCCATGAATAATGAGAATTGACTGTTACCTGCAGTACCAGCAGAATGGGAGGCCTTAAGAAGCTCCCAGCTGGGTGGGGGTAGGAGACATGGCTGCAAGCAATCTTCTGGATCAATTGTTCCAATGCTTCCCATGGCTGTTACCAAGCTTTCCCCTCCACCGCTCCACAAATAAAATAATTGAGCTGGACTTGGTAGACTGGGGCAAATTCTGGCCATGGGAAGACCTGAACACTAAAAAGAAGCAGCCAGTTCTTTGTTGAAAGCTTGATATACCCTTGAGTGAGTCTCTTCCTCTTGTCTTCTGTGCCCTTGGCCATAAACTAGAGAGACTGGACCAGACAATCTCTAAGACTTTCAAACTCCAACTGGCCGTGACTCGTTGAGATTCAGAAAAAAAGATGAAAATCTTTGCGTTCCTGGAATCATATCATTTGTTAAGTCAGGTCAAAATGTATGCAACTCTTCATGGCTCCACCCATACCCTGTTTTTGGATGTCACAAACATTTATTGGACAGTGATTATGCACCATAAGAAAGGGCTAAAGCTTTTACATATCTTTTTATGTTAAAAACAAACAAACAAAAGCTATATGTCAGGTACTGTTGCAAGCTCTTTATCTGTGTTAATTCATTTAATCTTGACAATGACCTTATGAGGTAGTTACTTTAATTATCTGCATTTCACATATGGGGAAACTGAGGCATGGTAAGTCGAATGAGTTTCTCCAAGGTCACACAGCCAGTAAGTAGGCACAGTGGGATTCCAATCTAGGTGCTCTCTGCCGGAGCCTGAGTCCTGAGCCCCTGCACTCCCCTCTCCTGCCTTTCTTGTCTGTCCAAGCCTCACTGCTCACTGACCAGCAGCAGGAGTATCACCTGGGAGCTTGTTAGAAAGGCCACACCCTAGACCTGCTAAATCTGGCTCTGCATGTTAACAAAGCCCCCCACCCCCACCCCCAGGAGACTCAAACACACCTACAGTGTGAGCAGCCCTATGTTAGACCATTTAACCTTCCTTTGGATGAAGAGGAAGTAGAGCTCAGTGGGATTAAGCAGCCTGGCCAAGGCCACACAGGAAGAAAACGCAGAGATGAGGCACTTGACTCAGGTCGTGATGCCACGCTGGAGGTGCCCTCCTGGGCACTCATGGCTGTGGGGGAAAAGTGGGAAGCTTCAGTTTAGTTTCAGAGTAAGTTCATATTCATTTGCTTGACAGATGAAGCTTTTCCTTAGAGGAGAAACCCTGACATTGAGCGGCGGCACATCCTGTTGACCGGGAGCCAGGCCCTGGCTGCAGCCAGCGGGGAACATCTGGATGACATTAGCAGCCTGAGTGTTTGGTTACAGAATATGTCCACCTGGCCTGGCCACAGCCAGGAAGAGAGAAGAGCTTGGGTTCAAGAGGGAGTTCCAGCAGGCGTAAGTAGTGGCTGCTAGGAAAAGCCTCTGAAGCGCATTCCGACGTGGGCTTCAGGCCAGGAGCAAGTGCAAGACTACGTTTTGGTGGTGTCCTAGGTGGGACAGAGTTTTCTTAAAGACGTAAAGTTTCCTCAGGGGGCAGCCAGTGTGATCCCATAGCTCAATCCCAGATCCTCTTGGCTGTTTTGCCGAGGGACTGTCCAGTTTCTGCTCCCACTCTTCCAGGAGCAGGAGGCTCACTTCTTCCTGAGGAAGTCAATCTCTTGTCCAAGCCCCCAGACTCCTGAAACGCCTTCTTGGTGATAAGCTGGAATCCTCCCCAAAGCTTCCAGACTCTGCCTTAGAGACACAGAACAAATCCCTAAACCATATGATGGTACTTCAGATATGAGAAATCAGCATCTGGTCCAGACTGGAGGGCTGGGGGATGATCAGAGTGTGGAACCACCTGTCCTCTGGGTGGTGCTTGTGAAGGAGGGTGTTGGGGGTTGGGTGGAAATAGGTGCCACCCAAGACCACCTGAGACAGCCTTGCTGGGTGGGCACATGAGTGGAGGCCGTTGGGCAGGTGGGAGTCAATTGCAACCCTGAGGCAGGAGAGAGGATGGGGAATGAGGAGTAGGGCAGCTGGTGGCCAGGAAAGCTGAGATCCAGGAGGGGACAGGGGAGGAGCAGGTCAACAGGAGTGGGTCGGAAGCACCTCTCTCATACGGAGTCTGGGCTTGAGTATCTCTGTAGGGTGTGCATTACACTGCTGCCCTCACAGAGCTGTTCAGGGTCCGGAGCCTGTCTCACACCAAGCAGGTTTTCAGAGAAGAGGCTTTGAGCTGGGTGTAAAAAGAGAGTCGGAGAATGGGCCCTTTGCAGTTAGATTTACCCAGGCTCAGCATGTCCCAGCCCCAGGCCCGGGGACAGATTTACACAGCTTTTCTGAATCTTAATGTTCTCCCCTGTAAAATGGAAGCGTAATACCTACTTCCTATCTTTCGTTGGATTCAGTGCTTAAATGCATGGAATGTGGTTAGCAGAGTGCTCAACCCATAGAAAAGTTTGCACCCTTTTAAAATATTTCTGGGTGAGCAGGAATTAAAGCTTACATGGCAAACTTTTCAAATATCTGTTTATGGGCAGGAGGAAAGTGAGATAAAAATGGCTTTTGTTTCTAAGGCACCCATGAGGCCCATCCTTACTCCTTGAGGAAAATGTGTATCTTGGTTAAGTCGCTATTAACCCCTGGCTGTTTCCCTCGACCGCTGGGACGCCACCTTAGTGTCCACCTTAGATATCTGTAGGTGCCCATGATGACACAGGCTTGGAGGGTTTCACAGGCGCCATCTCATTTAATTTAATCCTGGCTGCCACTCTAGGGTCATCTTTCCGTTCCGTTTGTACAGATGCAGGAACTGAGTTGCAGAAAGCTTTAGGGAGGCTGTGTGACTTGCCTGAGGTCACACAGCCTCTGAGTGTGGGGGGCAGGGGAACTTTCCCCCGAGTCTCCCCATTAGCTACCCTCCAGGACAGAGAGGTTTTCTGAGGAGGGTGGGTTTGAGCTGGGGGATTCGTCCACTCCCTGACCCCACCTTGGCCCTCTCCTCACCTTGGCCTTTCCTGGGCAAGGGGCCATGGGGCAAGAGACCTCCCCAGACCTCCAGGTCCGCACCAGGCCCTGCAGCTGGCAAACCTCCTCATCCCCAACAAGGGCGGGCATCTCCCAGGCAGCACCCCCTCTCCGGAAAGCATAATCAGCAGCAGCTAATCTAATCAGATGGGGCTCCCACAGCTGAGCCTTCCAGTCCAGAATCCACCCCTGCCCCTGCCTGCCAGACCCCTTTTCTAAAATCTGTGATCTTCCTGCTTGAAATCACCTTTAATTTCCCTCAGGAATGAACAAGCATTTAGAGGTTTGGTTTCAATTACACCTGGAAAAAAAGTTTGACACAAATTTCAAGCCAAATAAATTAGGAAACCACAGACCCGGGACTACAAAGCGAGCGACGAGGAGAGGCTGAACTTCATCCCTGGGTGAGCGCAGACCCTGTGCCATGCTCCTCACTGCTCACCAATGCCTGGCCAGCGTTCTCCTCCCCTGCCTGGGCTTTCTCCCCCAGGAAGCCTTCCTTGACTGCCCCAGCCACCAGGGGTCTCTCCTGCCTTTGCTCTCCTAGAGTCACAATTCTGTGGGTGACTGCCTTAGGAAAAGAATCGCTTTGTAACCACCTCTTACCTCCCAGCTCTCTCACATTCCCTCACCAAATATGCATCCGTGGAGGCCGCAGCAATGATAATACCCAGTTTCCACATGATTAATGTGATTTCCTTCACCTCATTTCTTTTTCCCTCAACCACCAGAGCAAAGCATCAACCATTGCCCAGGTATCAGCTTCAACAGCACCTCCTTCAGGAAGCCTTCCTTGATTGCTCCAGGCCAGGCAGAGGGTGAGTGCAGGAGGGAATCTGAGGTCCCAACATATCTGATTCCCAAATCCCTGGGCAATATTACAGTCTGGCTGGGGATGCAGGGCAGCAGCACAGGACATGTGTACGCCGTCACCACCTGCCCACGGGAATGCAGCCATCTAGGGAATGTGGGGGTCCTCAGAGTTGCCCCTGAGGGCCAAGGGGTCCCAAGTAAATATAAACAAATTGTCCAGTAATCTGGTCTCCAAAGATGGGCCAGGCTCAGAGATGTGGTCATGCCAGAAAAATAGCTGATTTTGGCTCCGGAAGACACTAACTGTGAAGCGGAGCTGGACTAGGAGTGGACCGTTTCCATCAAAGAGGTGGGTGGGATTTAGCACACTGCCTTCCTTGTTTCTGTGTCCATTTTCTCCATAACATTGTGAGCTTTTGAGGACAAAGTTTTTATCTGGTTAACCTGTGAATGGATGGCACTTACTTAGTCATTCAATAAATATTGGTGGAAGAAAGTAAGATATGGAGGAAGGTTGAAAGGAAGGACAGAAGGGAAAAAGAGAAGAAAGGAGGAAGGGAAGGAGGGAGGAAGGAAATGCCAGAGGAATCCCTGAGACATCTCAGCCAAGTGCCACTGGCCTCAGCTAGTCATGGTAGATGAATATTTGTAAAAGAAACTAAGCTGATTCCGATGCTTCTGGGAAAAAATCCCAACTTCCAGGCTTGAACTTTAAGCTCCTCACCATCTGGCCCTAATATTTCCTTCTGGCCTCATCTCCCACTATCAGTGAATGAACTCAACCAGCCTGCATGCAGTTGGCCACAGCCTGGCCCTAGCACTGAAATCGCCACCTGGCTTTCTTATCTCTGAGTCACTCAGTCCCCATATCCTACTTGGATGGAACCCCTTGAGAGGTTTTAAGGGTCCTTTCCAGGCATCCAGTCCTAAGGATACTCATCTCTGAAAAGAAAGAGGAGAAAGAAAACGGATACAATGCAGGATCATGAGTGTGACAGCAGAAGGACTTCCAGGATAAGATGGAGCCTCCAAGGCTAGCTGAAGGCTCAGAGGGAGAAAAGTGCCTGAACTAAGGCTTGGAGGATGAGCTATGATTGCTGGTGATTAAGGGAGAAGACAGACATTCTAGACAGAGGAGGGGCCTATGCCCAGGCACAGAGAGCAGGTGCTGTAATGGATCCACTGCCCTTCCTCTGGCTCAGCCTGGACAATTCCTTTGCATCCTAGAGGTCCCAAACTTTCTTCTTCCGTGCGTTCCTCCCTCTCTGACCCTGTGGTCCCTCCAGCCCCCTCCCACAGAGCACCTGGTGCCACCCTCTCTCAGTGCAGGGCTCTGGGTCTGGGTCTGTTTTGCTTCATGGTCAGAGGTACAAGCACAAGTCACCCTCTTGCTCCTACTGGTCTGGAAGCACCCTAGAAACAGGTGACTCATCCTTGAGGTAGTCTCTAGCAGAGCCTGAAACAGGTGCTCAGCTGATGCAAATCTAAACACAACTGTAGCTATGACTATCGGGTGCTGTGCCAGGCACCAGATGTGCAGAGACAAATACAACCAGTAGATTCACGTACCCTTTTCTATCTAGGGAACACTCAGCCAGTGCTAAGTGCTTGGCATTTGTCCTTGCAGCAACCTGGTTCCCAATTGGGTCACTGTGACAGGGGAGAAATCGAAGGCCAGAGTCACAGATCCCACAAGTGGCAAAGCCAGACCTCAAACCCAGGGTGTTTTGAGTTCCAACTCAGCATATTCCCCAACACCCCAAGTGCCCTCCCTGCTCCCGGGGTTGTCCTGGGACTAGCTGGGAATGAGGCGAGTGAGGCAGTGCTGAGAGATCTTTGAAGGGCTCTGCAGGCCAATAGGTCCTCAGGCCTCACACCAGGAAGTCCCGGCTGCTTCCTGGACAGGAAGGCAGCGCAGGGGAGAGGGCAGGTGCCTGGGGACCCTGGGACCCTGGCCTGATCCTTCTTGTACATGAGCCACAGGGAACACAGCCTACAGGGCAAGCCCAGGAGCATCCCAAGAGGATGGACATAGGGGAGAGTGAAGTCAGGCCATCGCATATTATCCAATTTTTCTGGCACCAAAATCCCTGCTCCCCCAGGTCAGCATACTGCTCCCGTGATGTCAGCGCATGCAGTCAGAGTCAGAGGCACATGCACGAGAGGAACTGCATGGGTTCAATGAACCCGGGAGGTTACACTGTGAGGGGACGACCCACCAGATGGGACTATTAGAATTCCAGAAGTCTACACCATGTATGTCCGGCATGGTCTCTGGCTTCAGGCACAGCCCTGTCCCCACACCCCACACCCCACACCCACCCCAGTATAGTGAATATTCACCCAAGTATAGCGAATGCCAAGGGCTTTGCAATCATTTCGGTAATGACTTGATATTCCAGAGGATCTAACACCATGCCCAGATGGGACTTCAGGTGTATAAAGTGTTTTTACCTCCAGCCGGTTCCTACCGTGTCCCTGAGTACTGGGGTTCACCCCCATCCCAGGTGAATAGCAGGCCCCAAGAGATAACATGCTTTGCCGAGGTCACACCTTTATTTCAATGACACAATCCTTTATCAACACCCACTCAGTAAAAGGGACGGTGACGCTTTGCACATTTCATTTCATTTTTACAACGATCCTGAGAGACAGAAATTAATACCCTCATTTTACAAATGGGGAATGAAGGTTCTGAAAGGAGTTGATGCAATTTGGCTAAAGTCACACAGTGGGTAAGCAGCCGATGTGGGACTCAAACCCTGTCACACAACTGTGTACGCCAGCTCCGAAGAGAGCAAAACCTGGCAGAAGGAAGTTGGCCAGTGCAGGGTGGTACAAGCAAAATACAAGAGTTCAGAAGCTAGGCTGGGCCTGGAGCGGACCAGTGTTGAGGAAGCCTTGTCTCCTCTCCTCCCCCCGGAATGTGAGCAATGTTTGATGACGCAAGACCCAGGCCTTCAGCCGCCTCCAGGGTGAGACTGGGCCCTGGGTCTCTCCAAGCCTTGGTGGGCCCCGGCGGCTGGGGACTGTGTGTCCTTTGGAATGAATGGAGCCCACAGTGTGAGTGCAGGCCTGGCTAGGACCCAGGGGCAGAAGCATGGGTACAGCCACTTCATTGTGTGGGCACAGGAACCCACTGGGGCCACATGCAAATGAGCCAGCTGGTGGGGATGGCGGCCACAGGCCAGGAGTCAGCCACGAGGAGGAACAGGAAGGAAGATGCCCAGGAGGAGAGGCCCAGGAATCTGAGCACGCAGCCTCCATCCTCGGTCTGCTAGAAACCAAGATCCTAGGGATGGCTGCCCCACCTTTGCTCCCCAGTGGAGGTGCAGTCAGCAACGCTGCCGGGGTATGAAGGATTTGAACCTTCAAACGCTTGATGGCCCAGACTCTCTCCAGAACAGAAAAATCTGTGTGCACACACACTCATGCACACAGTATAGGCACAAATGCAAGCGATTCAGACCTAGGCTTGTATCGCTGACATAATCGGTTCTCAAAACCTTTATGACAACGTGCAAATGATTATGAAGTCCCCTTAGCGTTTCGATAGACCTACCACGTGCACAGCCATTTCTCTTCCAGTATCTTAGTTTATTCCCACAGCCACCTTTTGAAGTCAACGAAATTGCAAACTTCGTCCCTGGCAATATGTTTTACAGATGAAGAAATGAAGGTTGGGCCAGTATCGGTGATTTCATTACGGTAAATTGCCAGTTAGTGACAAAGCTGGCACTAAAAGCAAGGTCTTGTGACTTTTAGTCCAAAGTCTTCCTCCGTGGGGGCCCTGATCCTCCAGCCTGGGTCTTCCTGCCTGTGGGCTCCCTGTGGGCACCGCCACTCTCAATTCCCAGCCCCTTTGTGTTGTTCTGTCTGCTCAGGGGCAGCTCATGCTCCACCTCAACCTCCATCCCGTGGGCCTCTCCACATAGCTGGGTTCAGGCAGGGTCTTCTCCTGCCTGGGATAAGAGAATGGAAGGCTTTTAAATGGGTGAATCACTTAGACCCAGAGAGAATGCTTCAATTTGGTTATAATAGAGGGGAGAGGAGTCTACCCAGACAAGCAAGGGAAAAATGAATCCGCTGTGTGAACT
This sequence comes from Homo sapiens, assembly GCF_000001405.40. Lineage (NCBI taxonomy): Eukaryota > Metazoa > Chordata > Mammalia > Primates > Hominidae > Homo > Homo sapiens. The sequence goes on from NC_000002.12 coordinate 15,802,226, forward strand.
GGCATGGCAGAGGCTGGGGATTGGCCAACACGATGTGCCCTAGGGCGAGTTGCTTGTCTAGTTTTCTCTTTCTGGGCACCAGAACCTTAGCTACAATAGATCTCTGGAGTATATTTGGCCTAGATATCTATATGAAACTTTTCTGTAGAGTTTTTTTTTTTTAATTCAGAACTCCATAAAAATCATAAAAACCAGGTGCTGTGGCTCATGCCTGTAATCCCAGAATTTTGAGGGGCCAAAGTAGGAGGATCCCTTGAGCCCAACCTAAGCAATATATTGAAACCCCATCTCGACAAAAAAATAATCAAAAATTTAGCCAGGAATAGTAGTGAACACCTGTGGTGGTCCCGGCTACTCAAGAGGCTGAGGTGGGAGGATTACTTAGCTCAGGAGGTAGAGGCTACCATGAGCTGTGATCATGCCATTGCCTGGACTACAGCATGAGACCCTTTCTAAAAAAAAAAAAACCCAAAAAAATAAAATAAGGAGACCATTTTAACCCGCAGTGTAAGAGGACAGGAAGGCTGTGACCATTATTGATAACCCCTACCCAATAAATTACTGAAACTTCTCACGCAGGTGAAACGATAGGAGGAAAAGTTGGGAAAAGTATGTCTGGTTTGTTCACCAGGAGACCTCAGCAACCAGCCCAGAGCTGGCCACACTAAGTGGGCACAATGCACGATGCTCCATGTGAACACTGACTCTTCCTTTTCTCTTAGCTGGGCTGGAAATAGACTTTGTCCTCTGACTTCCTTTGTCCTCATCTGCAAACAGGGCAGATGTGAGAGGCCTGGCAAGTGTCTATGATCTGGGTGAAAACATCTGCTTCCAGCACACACGACACAAGTCAGCAGGAGCCAGGAATGTTCCTGCACTCGCTACCGTTTGACTTCTTTCATTAATAACTTGGGAGGATTGCAGGCAAGGGCTTCTGGCAGGAATGAAAGGAAATGATCCAAGAAAAAAATCAAACTCATAAATAAGTTAAAGTGACTGATGGAAGGCTTTTGATCTTTTTTTTTAAGTGAAATATGGGCATTTCCCTTCAGAACTCCGCAGGTAGAGGGAGAAGCCAAGAGGGCTGACTTCTTAGGGGTTAGCATGTAGACACACACTTTCAAACTATGGCCCCTTCTCATTGGTCTTCTGGGGATCGGGAAGTCTCAGTTGGGCTGAGAGGAGGATGGCAGAATAAAGGAGAAAGAGCATGAACTTTGGAATCAGTCCAAGCTGGGTTTCAAACCAGTTGTGTGATCTTGGGCAAGTTCATTATCCAAATGTTACATTCCTTTTGTGTCGACTGGGGGAAAGAATGCCTGCCTCACAGAATAGCTGTGGAAACTGAACTTGGTGATGTGAACATATATTAATCAGGATAAGTATTCCTTAACTGCCACAATGGACAAGTCTCCAAAGTTCTGTGGCAAAGCATAACACCAATCACCCGCTCCAAGTCCCATGCAGGTTGATGGAGCTCCCCTCCATCCCATGACTCAGGTAGAAGGACCGTACCTTTCAGCAGGTGAGACCATGCTGGTCCACACCTGCTGTCCCAGCTTCATTGTCATTAGCACCCTCCCCCGTCCCTCTCAAAAGCGTCCCTTTTTGAGTGACAAATTATACAGTCACTTTAGGCTCAAAGAGCCAGACTCCCTCTGTCCTGTGAGGCCATCTTCTCTACATGTGGCATCCAAGGTCGTCATGGCACAATGGTCCTTCAGTGCATCAGTTCAACAGTGACATATGCCATTCTGCCCCCCATTTCATCAGCTAGTCTGGTCACACGGCCTCACCCGACAGTCCTGCCATCTTCCCACATACCCAGCAAGGGGAGTGAGCCCGATGCGGGTGTGCGGGGTGGAATGAGGTTCTCAGTGAGTGTTTTGTCCCTGCTCTGCTCCTCCCACCATTCCTCGGGAGGCACACAAAGTAGGAGGAGAAAAACATCATCTTGTGGACACGTCAGACCACAAAACACCAAAAGTTCTGAGATGTACACATTTTTAAGGCAAAATGAAATATAGCCCTTTACTGTTTCCAAAGGGCTTTTGCGTTCAGGATCTCACTTGATCTTCCCAACAGCACCATGAGGCAACACTGGAATTTCCATTTACAAGGGAAAACTGAGGTTCAGAGAGACACACACCCATTTCACAAGGCTGCAAGAGATGGAGCCAGGACTTGAACTCAGTCCTTCCACTTTGCCATCCAGTTCTCATTCCCTTTCTGCCTCTCACAGTCCTACAAATGCATATGACAATGCTATGGACATCCTCATTAGTGAGCCCACAGATGGATTTCCTGAGTGCAGGACCAAGAATCAGTGGTGAGGCCAGAGCTGAGGGGTAAAGGCTGTTAATCTAGGATCAAATAATAGAAATGAAGGGAGTATGAAGAGGCCCCTTCCCTCACCTCTTTCTTATTATACTCAGGGAGACTGGGGCCCACGAAGACTTGCCTAAGGTCGCACAGCGAACTAGTACCTGAGACCACTGGCTTTCCTGATTCCTATTACAGTGTTCTTTCTGCTGCTCTATTACAAAATCAAAGGGGAGAAAATGAAGAATAGACTGCTTCCTTGGTTATTGTGAAAAAGAGAGAAGCCAATATAGGCACAGGGGAACAAGAGGGCATATGATCTCTGCCATGTTCATGGGAAGCCCAAGGACCCTTGGAATACTAAAGAGTGGAGAATCCCTGTAGGCTCAGGGGAGATAGGAAGGCTTCATATTATTTACATGTGATCCAGACTGTCAGCTCTCCATTAAGATCCTCTCTTCCATGTGACTGGCAATGTTAAGCCTTCCAGAGGAGAGATGAAAACAAGTCATTCTAGTTGGAAGCAACTGGATGCTTGGCAGTGTAGCTGTCCATCCATTTGGTCCTTCTTCCAAAATGTATTTACTGAGCAGGTGTGTGTTCTCAGGCACCCTGCGGCAGGCATTCTGGGCATGCCATGATGAGAGATTCAGCTCCTGTCCTTAGGAAGCTCCCAGTCTAGTTTGGGAGACAGCCAATTGGGACACAAGGCACTAACCCAGCCTGAGTGGGAACTAAAAGGATTTATTTTCTAGAAAAGGTGACATCTGAGCTGAGACTTGGAGTTGGTGAGCAGTTCTAGGTATGCTGGAGCAAGATTTGAGTTTGATATAATGAGAGATGATGCAATCCAGAAAGACACAAAGGAATCAGCATATGAAGGACTTTGACTGCAGAGTCTGTATGTGATCCCATAGGCGATGGGGGCTACTGAAGACTGTGGAGCAGGAGAGTAATGTGATCAGATTCAGGTTTAAGAAATCTCTCTCCAGCAGCTGATGATGGGCGGGCTGAAGATAGAGATGAGACTCTAGTCTACATTTCTCTGGAAGACACTTCCAGCACCATAGTGCAGCCACCATCGTCTCCCATCTAAGTGACTACAACCAAGTCCAGATTTGCCTCCTCCAGTCCATTCTCAAGAGGTCAGTGTGACTGATCCTTCCAGAACTCAAATAGGATCATGTCTTCTTCCCCTGTTTAAAGCCTTCAGTGCCATTCCACTGCCCTCAGACAGTCCTTGCATGATCTGGCATAGGTTGCCTCTCAAATTAGGTTCTTGAACTTTCTTTGTCTTCTGTGTGTCAACAAACTCAATGTTCCTCAAAGGTATAGTGTTCTCTCCTGTCTCGGGGCCCACAGACCTATGCTTTTCTCTGTTCCCCCTTACTTCCCACATCCCCAGCCTTATCTCCCCAATTCCACTCCTTCAAATCTTAGCTTAGATGTCACTTCCATCTGGGAAGTCCTCTGGCCCCCAAAGCTAGAAGAGGTGTTTCTTATCTATGTTCTCACTGCAGCCTGCACCTGGCTATATGGTCGTTGCCTATTTACTAGTCCATACCCCACCAGACCACAACCACGTGAAGATGCAACTAGAAAAACAGGACTCTCGTGTTGATGCTCCATCCCCAGGGCCTGGTACGGTATCTGGCATATTTGCACAAGTATTTGTTGACTGCACGAATGGAGACAGGAGACCCACCACAGCCATCCAGATATGAGAAGCAGAGAGCTGCGATGAGGGCAGGCCAGTGGGATGGAGCGGAGAGGAGCGCGGTGGTCATTTGTGTTGATGGAACTCAACAGTGTTGTCCGTGGGTCTAGCAACTCCTTGGCTCTCTCCACTACTTCCATTGGCTGTTGCTAAGGACCCCAGCCTCTAGGGATGAGACCTGGGGGCAGAAAACCATAATGTCATGCGACAGACTGTAAGATCATCGTGCCTTATTCACGTCTTCACGACAGCATTTGTCATTTAGGATTCCAACATCTCTTCAAGCTTCTGTCTTTCCCACTGGGCTGGAAACTTGAGGGCAAGGACTGAAGCTTATGAGCAGGGTGGTACAGAGTAGGGTCCTGAAAGAGCTCATTAAATGCACCTGAACTTGGAAGAGACTCAGTCCCTGCCATCGAAGACCTCACAGTTCATTTCAGGTGGCACCTATGGACACACAAGACTTTTTCAAGGTGGGCTTGATAATGACAGATGACACCATCACTGGGCCACAGTAAGAATTAAAAGGGTTTGGACTGTGCTCTTGAGCACAGAGGAGGGGTCATTGGTTCTGATTTGGTGGCCTGTAGAGAGCTCCCCCGGTATTGCACAAACATGCCTCTGTTTCAGCGTTGTACATTTACTGTCAGGGAGCAGGGTACTCACAGCACACTGACTCCTCTAACAAACTACCCCTGGGTCTCAGGGGCTTCACTGATAAGATCTATTTCTTGCTTCTATCACAGTGCAGTGCAGCTTGGCAGAGAACCACACAGTTATTCAGAGACCCACGGTCCTTCTATTTAGAGTAGAGGCTCTCAGCCATGGCATGGTGACACTTGGGAACCAGGTAATTCTTTGTTGTGGGGGCTGTCCTGTGCTCTAGGTTGTCTAGAGCAGGGGTTCTCAACCCCCAGGCCGCAGGCTGGTACCGATTTGGGGCCTGTTAGGAACCAGGCCACACAGCAGCAGGTGAGTGGTGGGTGAGCATTACCGCCTGAGCTCTGCCTCCTCTCAGATCAGTGGCGGCATTAGATTCTCCTAGGACCGATAACCCTATTGTGAACTGTGCATGTGAGGGATGTAGACTGTGTGATAATTATGAGAATCTAATGAATGTCCGATGATCTGAGGTGGAACAGTTTCATCCAGAAACCATCCCCCTACCACCATCCCCACCCCCACCCACCCCTAGTCGGTGGAAAAATTGCCTTCCACAAAACTGGTCCCTGGTGCTGAAAAGGTTGGGACTGCTGATCTAGAGCATCCTGGCCTCTACACACTAGATGCCAGTAACACACACACCCCTTAGTTGTGACACCGAAAAACGTCTCCAGACATCGCCAACGTTCCCTGGGTGGCAAGATGGTCCCCAGTCGGAGGCCACTGGTCTAGAGGCTCTGCCCTCCTCTAGGGCCTTGGAGTGCTCCACGGGGTCCTCCACCTCCACCAGGCGAGGCAGGGGAGCTGAGGGAAGAGAAAGAGCATTGGGCCACACAGGAGGCTTCATGGGCCGGGGCTGCTGGTGACATACATCCTGTTTCCTCATGTTCTACGGGACAGGCTCAGTCCCATGACTATAGCTGGGAGAGAACTTACGTCCTGTAAGGGAGGCTGGGAAAGAGAGTGTAACCGTGTGCCTGGCAGGAGAGGGAAGTGGCTTAGGGAAGAATTTGCCAACCTCTCCCACGGGTAGAGTTCATGTATTTTCTTTTCATTTCTGAAGATAAGAGAATGCTACCCGCCCCCCCCCCATTTTTTTTTTCCGTGTCAGCTGTGAGGGCTCAGTCTGGCTCCCCAGTCCATAAACCCAACCTCACAGAAGGTCTTTGAGCTCACCTGGAAAACCATGGGAACACACTCCTCCCACACGTCACCGTCCTCTCCAGCCATGGTGAACAGTGCGAACCTAATGAGGCCTAGAAGCCTTTCCACTCCCTCCAGCCACGAGGCCGCCTTCCCATGGCAGGACTAGGGGTGGCTGTCGGACCAGACGTATCAGTCCTGCCCTTGGGAGAGTGTTTCCGACCGCAAGTATGAACCCTCCTCACTAACAGCTATGCTGAAGCACAGCGGGGAGCCAGTGCAGCACAAGCTCAGCACGACCGCGGTTGTAAGAACCCACGTGGAAGCCAAGAAGCCGCGATGGGATTCCAGCAGGGGGAGCGGCGCTGATGTGGTGGGCGAGCCTGGTGCGCTTGGGAAACATCGGGCAGGCGGTTTTCTAACTGAACAGAAAGGACCCTTAGAGAACTGTGGAATATCAGGCTGTAGAGGTAACCTGGGGATCGGAACGCCAGGATAACACAAATCCTTTATTTTGCATTTTCCAATGGCGAGCGAGTGCTTTGGCTTTCCGGATGGACTAAATTTACACTAGCCAAGAAGGATTTTTCTGGAAGCTTCTATAGGAAAATGGCCGTTTTGAGCTCCGACAGGAGTCCCTCTCTCCAACTGCGTGCAAACTCCTGGAACTCCTCCACCACAAATGTTTCATGTGGTGTAGCCGAGAATTAATTAGAAAAGAAAAAAAGAATCTCTCAAGTCAAAACACATATCTCACAACCTATTAGCATTAAGATTAGCATTAAAGAAAGTTGGAAACTATAACATTTTAAGCACAATTTATAAGTCTAATTTCCTGTGTGTCACTCTCAGATAATAAATGCTTTTCCTTCAAGTTGAAAAGTCTTGGTGGAAAGTAGGGGCTAGGAGGTCGGGGAAAAGAAAGAAAAAGTTAATTTAAGGCCTATTAGTTTATTTTTAGTCGCCCAAGATCTGAGGGTCTGAGAACATTTCCCTTTTCTGATAGAACACGCCTTCCTGTGTAGCAAGGAAGTCCCCTGACCTCGGGCCTCCTCTAAGGTGCTACTGATTTTTGACAGAATTCCTCAGGCAAGGGCTTTGAAAGAGGCTGAGCCAGGCCTGTGAGGGGAGGGTGATCTGGGGCCTGGAGGGACAAGGTTAATTGCTGGGAGCATTGAGAGTGGGGTTGCAAGGCAAGGGATACCGGCCGGGAGTCCTGCTTCCTGTATTGCTCTGGAATAAGTTCGCCCACCGCTTCCATAATAAGACATTCCTGCTAATTTGCCGGGAGCTGAAAGGGATTTCTGTTTTTAGCTTTGGGTCTGTGGCAACTGTTTTGTTTTAGATGAAAATTAAATGGGGAAGGGAGCTGGGGTTGGGTGGGGGATGGGAGGCGGAGCCGTAATTGAAGTGCATTACTGCTAATTACTTCGCCCTTTCTTTCAGTCATCATGTTGACAGAGAAATCTATTACCCAGCAGCTCCGTTTCCACAAATTGCCCTTCCCCGAGGACTTTGGGGAGGAGGCTAGATGGTGCTAGGGGAAATCGCTGCTTTGTTGGAGAAGTGGGCCTCCAGCCCTCCTCAGAACGCGGCTCCAGCTGTCTCCTAACCAGAGAGAGGGAAGCTAGTGGGTACCCCGCAGGAGGCGGTGGGAGTCACCTGGGAGTCCTGTCCCACCCAGGGTCCTCCCAGCGGCCTCCTCTTACAGATCACCTGGAATGCTGATGAGGTGGGTGGGGAGACAGCCTGGTCTCTGCCTCAAAACAAGAAAGAGAGTTGGAGGAAATGCTGCCTCAAGTAGCAGCCGTGTTGAAAGCTCTTGCGTATTTGGCCAATGAAATAAGGAGCGGGGCCCTGGGCCGTGCCTTCTGCCTCATTCTGCCTCTCCTGGGCCTTCCTCATCCCTCCGCCTCTCCTCTTCCTCCTCTCTGCGTGTGACATTCCCTCTCCTCTTCCCCGGTCTTCCTCTCTCCTTCACCTCCTGCCTCCTGCCCTCCTCTTTCCTCTTGCCCTCTTGCCCTCTTGCTCCTCGTGGCTCAGCCCCACCGAGGGCCAGTGTTGAGGAGTTTGGGACAGTCATATCAGTGCCTACTGGGTTCCCCATCTCCTCCCTCCCCATCTGTCTTTCCAAGTCATCTCTTAAGACAGAGCTCTAGCATGTGCTAGGGGGTTAGACACCTATGGGCCAGTGAGAAGACGGAAATGATCGGGAGAAGAGCTCGCAGAGCCTGCCTGGCTGCAGCCCCTCCCTTGGCCTCTTCTCTCAGCCTATGCTCCCTCAAAACACATGCGTGGGGCCTCGGTGGCGAGGACGCATCAGAGACAGAGCAAGACGCGAAGTCTGCCCCTAAGAGGCTCATCGTGGCAGGTGACGGGTTGGGGAGAATAAGATGCGTCTAGTTATACCTAGAGCCTAGGACTGAATATAACCAAGGCTAAGCTGCCTTGAGACCCGGTCTCTGCTCCACAAACACCAGTCCAGCATCCACAATAATTTACAAGCAATAGAATCTTGCCTTCCGTGTCTGAAGGGAGTCTGCATTCTTCATGCTTGGCAAAGCTTCTGGAAATCCCTTTTTAATAATATGATTCCAGTCTCTCCCCATCCCCTCACTCCCCCCAGTGACCAATTCTGCCTGTTCCAGTGTGAGCCCCACTCACCGCTTTGGCTTGTCCAGGGTCCCGTCACCCATTCTCTGCCTCCTCCCTCCACACAGGGCCCGGCAGAGGCGCCTCAGAAACTCAGGTCGGTCCTCAGCAGGGCATGTGGGAAGGGCCCGGTGTCGGGCATTGTTTCCCTGTCAGTCTATAGCTGCTGTGGGTCCAGCACCCCCACCACCCACCCCAGCTAGTCTTTGAGCCTGAGAGCACATTACAAGTTTCCAAGATAAGAATGTACTGGCCCCGAAGCTTGGCTGGGACTCTGCCCTTGATGGAGGGTGTGAGGGGGGAACAGAGAGCTCCCCGGGGCATGGGCCACTGTTCTCAAGGCCTTTGCCTTCAGTTCAGGGCCCTACATCTGGAACAGAGCAGGAGGCCAGGGAAAAAATGTCTGCAGAAGAGATCAAACCGTGAATTGTTTTCCAAAGAGCTGGAGAAGGCTTAGGGTATGAACACATCATCAGATTCTGCCAAATAATGGTGGAGGGTACCTGGGAAGACAGGAGGTTATTCAAGGTCTCAGGACACCTCCCACTAGGGTACTGGACAGGTCTGTGGCCTTCCCTTCTTTCCTCACTCCTTTCTCCCATATGCCCTCGGAGGAGGAGCCTGGTGGGGGGGAAGGGGAAGTTTCAATGCATTTTCCTGGGAAATGACTTCTCCGGAGTCACATTTCTTTTAGGTCTATATGGTAGAGTCATGGACTGTCCAGCCGCCCTTGACTTAGTTGGCTGAGATCCACCCAGGAAGCAGGTCCCTGATCTCAGGCGTGGATTCTCTGGAGGGGCTGGATGGGCTGCCTGTGCCTCCTGCAGGCCCTCCTCCGCTGGAAGGAGGCAGGCCAGGAGATGCCTCGCATTCCTGTGGGGCAGTGGGCTGGAGAGGTAGTTGTTTCTTTTTTTTTTTCTTAGAGGCACGGTCTTGCTGTTGTCCAGGCTGGAGTGCAGTGGCGCCATCATAGCTCACTGCAGCATCAACCTCCCGGGCTCAAGTGATCCTCCCTCCTCAGCCTCCTGAGTATCTGGGATTATAGTTGTAAGCCACCACACCCAGCCTAGAGAGGTTTTAAGGCTTCCAGCCTCCCTTGGGGCATGGAGGTCTCCCTCCATAGGCCTGGGATGGGTAGTTGTGGTTTGGGCTGAATGCTCTTGATGATTATCAAGCTACTCCTGGGGTATCCCTGCAGATGAACATGAGACTGAATTTCTGGAAGGAGGAGAAGCTGTGATGAATGCAGAGAGGGTGCACTCGGGATAGACAGATCACTTTGTCTCAAGTGCAAATTGTGATGAATTGGAGGCCACATGCACCGACAGTCACAGGTGGGAGGAAACAGAGAGGGCACCTGGTCCATCCCTCATAGGACTGATGGAAAATGTGGACCCAGAGAAGGAGAGATGTCTGTCCAGAGCCACACACCAGGAGCCCCACCTTCACCCCCCTTTCCTCCCCGCCCCACACTCACTGCGCTCTTGTAATGAGGTTAATTCCACTACGAAAATCTCACAGGATGGAAAATCCCCCAACTGTCCCTGCTTGGGCTTAGTTTTTAGAAATTCAAGGACGTGTACACATTTCAGTTCTTTTTTTTTTTTTTCAAACTGAATGTTTAAAATTCAGGCATCTTTTGTTCCACTCGATTCTGGAAGAATAATTCTAGGGACTTCAAGATCTCATTTAACAAGCGTTACAGCTTGATGAAATGCTGATTTTCATATTGTTCTCAAACTGCACAGTTGCAGAAGCCAATGCCAAATGCAAGCAGGATATTTTGAAGGAAAAAGCTTAAAATTGAAATCCACGTTGACAAATCCGAGATGAATGGCAGCGTGATGAGCACAGGGCTGCAGTTTCTCAGTCAGCCTGGAAAGGCAGTAGGGCGTGGCCAGAGACAACAGGCTGTGGACAAGGACCTGGCTCAGATTTAGGCTCTGCGACTGCTGGCTGAGCCACCACATGCAAATTTGTTTGTAAATGATAAGGGAATCTGGACTGGCAGGGAGGATTTGGCTAGTTTTTGTGGCCTTTGAGGTGCAAATGACAAGAAACTTGAGAAAAGCAAAGTCTCTCTTAGGGTTGAGATTTCTCTGCTGCCTACAGTTTAGCTGCAGTGTTGAAAGAATAGGGAGGTTGAAAGGCATCATGTTGGATGGAAAAGAGAATTGGAGTCTGCAGATGGGGATCCACTAACCAGCAGACTTCTCATGTGGACACTGAGCTGACAGATCAGAACTTACGTACTGCGTTGAGGACAACTCCAAGTGGCACTGAGAGTAGAGCCTGGCACTGAATAAATATGAATACATTTCAAATGAGGAATTAGCAATGGCCATGCTGGACACTGTTTTGAGAAGAATTGGTGGGTTCCTGGATCAGCAGGAACATTTGCATTGATTACCCAGCCATGGACTGGTTAGGGTGGAGCAAAGGCTTCATATATGCACCATAGTTACTGACCCTGGACTAAATGAGTTCTGAGCTCCTGTGGATGGCTGTTGGCATCAGGTTCTGTGTCCACACAATGTCAGAATCACTCCCTGGAGAAGGGTCAAGCTCTAACCATCTGGACAGCTGGATGCCGGGTGTGGGGCTGCTGTGTATGGCCATGCAAGCTGTGCCCTGCACAACTCCAGGTCTGCTCTTCACATGGTCTATTGGAAGCATGGCGCCCTGGAGCTGGGCAGCACAATGGCGCTGGCTGAGAGGTAGCAAACTGCAACTGAAAAAGCACTGTCCCAGAACCTAGGAGACCTGGTTCATAGTTTTCTGTCTGAATTTGTCGCCAATTCCCTTTGGGGCCACACTCAAGGCCTTCCCCATCTTTGTCTCCAGCATCCCCATCTACATTTGCAACCACTGGTTCCCAAGTGCTCCCCCGGGGCCCTGCAACCAGCATTCCAAGCACTTGGGTGTTTTGCAACTTCTGTTTGCTTTGCCATAGAGCCAGACCTCTAACCTGGGCAACTAGACTTGTTTCTTGGGCAACTGTAAAGCCAGGCCGACTCCTCAGACCATGAGGGGCAGTGGGGGTGGGGATGGGGGTGGGCTTTCGCCACAGCTCAGTGCTCTTGCCAGCTCCCAGGCTCTGGGGCTCCCAGGAGGACTCCCTTGCAGAGGCCAGGCCCTGCTCTGCAGAGCAGGTGAAGCACTCCTGTGGACATCACCTTTGGGTACCATGCAGGGCAAGACCCAGCCTTCCTCTCTTGTCTCAAGGAATGAGCCTCACCCCACCCTTTGCTCCTCATGCACCAGCTCTGCTGACCTCACAGCAGGTCTCCATACTGGCCCTGCGGTTTCCTCCCTCTGAGCCTTTGTACAAACCAGTCCTTCTGCCTGGAATGTCCTCCCACTTCCTCTAGTCTATCCTCAAAGTCCCATCTGAGTGGAGCCATCTCAGCGAACTCCCTCCCTTCCAGAGAGAAGCAGTCACCTCTCCTTTGTGTGGTGCCGCTTCTATTTCCAGGTTCTCCTACAGAGCACTTAATGCTCTGCTTTTCCAATGCCTGGGAGCTCTTCCTGGGAAGGGAAGGTATCTGCACAGAATAATAATAGGCCATTTCTGTAAGCACTGACCATGTGCTAAGCATTTCACATGTATAATTTCAAGAAGTGGGTATTGAACTTGACTCATTTCATAGAGGAGGAAACTGAGGCCAGAGATCACTCAGCAAGTGCATGGCAGCTCAGAGTTCAGCTCCCCATCTCCAGAACCTGGAGATCTGCCCGCTGCTTCTCCTGAAGTGAGCCATCTCCTCTGCAGCCGGCCTTTCATTCCCTGCCCCAGTCCTGGGTATAGTCGGACTGTCTTGGAGGAGCAGCTCTCTGAGCACCCCAGACAGAAAGCCTTGGCAGCTCAACATCAAACCGGGTGGGGGGGGGGGTGTGGATTCATCCTGTGCGGTGGCGTGGGGCAGACGTAAACATTGCTGAGTGAGACATGCAGTTTTCCAAGGGAACTGTTATCTGTGCAGGCCCGTTTGTGGGGCATTGAAATGAATTCCTTCCAGGAGGATTATCTTTCCTGCTTTATTATATTATATTTTATTTTTTTAGTGTGTTGCAAGTGTTAAAACTAGTTTTCAAGACCTGTTAATGAATCCAGAGTGATTATGTTGATATCCCCATCAATTATGCAGAAAATCAGGTAAAATGACTATTTAGTTTATGTAATAGATGTGTGGGCTTCTTGTTCACTCTCTGAAAGAACATTCCTGAAAGGGTCATTTTTTATTTCCGGAGATGCCTTTTTTCCTAATTGCTTGAAGGTTTGAAAATTGCTCCCTTTCCCCCATTTTCCTTCTGTGCAAATGTGTTTCCTCATGTCACATTTCCCTGACACCTCCAGTCCCCTGGAGAAGCAGAGCCCCTCCTCCAGCCTCCCACGTGCCTTCTGTCTCACCAGGAAAACCTCCGAGATTCAAAACCAAGTTGGAAGAAACACAAACCCTTTGGTTTTTCTCTTTTGTAAATAGATTTGACACAATGAAGTGGGAAGAGGCCAATCCTGAGTAGAAGGAGAGCTGGTTCCCGTTCCCAGCACTGCCGTGAGTTTGCTGAGTGACTTGGGCACGTCCCTCCTTCCTTCTGTTTCCTCAGCTCTACAATGACAAAGACAAACTGAGGGTCTACTAGGTAGGACGAGGGCCTGTGGTTGGAAGGTCCAGGAGCCAGATTCTACTTGACTGGGAGGAAATCTTTCTCTGAGAGCTTACCAGCCTGTCCAGTCGCTGTGAGATGACCTGATCTGAGAGTGGGCAGCCATCCTGAAAAATGCTGTACTCAGGGATTCAGATATGGGTGAGATTGGGCCAGGTGACCTTCAAGTCTCATTTAGCCTCAGAATCTCTGGTTCCTGGGCTCGACATGGTCAGCGGTTTCTTCCATCTTTAAAGGCCAGCAGGACACTCTGTTCGTTGCTCTTTGACCTTTTAAGCACCTGCTCACACAGTGGGAGGCTCGCCACCTATGGGGAAATGTACCTCTCAGTTCTTCTACCCAAGCCCCCCTGTGCAAATGTTACAGGTCTGAACTGGACACATCTTTCTTAGCGCATTGTCTTTCAGACTCCATCTGAATGCATTGGAAAGATTGAAAGTAGAGATAGCGTTGTTTCCTAGACATGACTATCTTCATCATGCTAAATTACCTAACTGCAAAGGGGGCAAGACAGCCAAGCAGAGATTTTCCCAACAGGTGCCCCTTATTGTCTTCTATGAATATTGTGTATTTCCACCCTAACGAAGACTATCACTAGCTTTTTCTGGATGGGACATACTGAGCACATTAGCTCTAATTTCAACCAGCTCCTGAGCTGACTTAACCAGTCCGCTCTTAAATGCTGGCCATTCTGTCCCCTGCTGGGGACACTTTCCCTGACTCTCCAGCAGTGACTACCCCCACAGTCTGCCCCCTGCCAACTGATACATGTGCACTGGCCTCTGACATGAGTGAGAAATTAACTTCTACTGTGGGAAACCTCTGACATATTGGGGATTACTTGTTACAGCCGCTAGTACTAGCCTAGCTGATTTGCTCTTTCAACCTCTTACCACTCCGTCATATCACTGCTTATATGCCTTTCTGTCTCACTAGACCGGGAGCTCTTGGAGAGGAGGACTATGCCTGATTTGTCTCTGTAACCTATGATCATGCCTGCCACATAACTAGGGCTCTGTGTTGGCAGAGTGACCAAATGTTGAAAGATGCTGGCTATTTAAAATTGTAACCAGAAAGAGAAGCTGAACCTGTTGGTTGACATTTTCCCCCTTGAAGATAATTTCAAGGGAGCTGGAAATCCCAGAAGGCTTCCCAGAAGAGGTAACTGGAAATAAAAACAATTTTTAAAATTGAGTTAAGTAGCAAGGGTGAACTCCCCAAAACAGGAACCATCATGGCATCATGGACACGGGGGGAGTTGAAACTGATGGCATGGGCGTATTGGTGTGCGTGTGTGGGAAGTGGGATAGGATCTTTGGGAGTGAAACAAGAGGCACTAAAAATGTTATATGAAAGGAAAAGGAAGCACTTTTGAAGAGCTTTGACCTTCACTGAGCACTCTCTGTGCACCAGAGGCTTGCACATTCATTTTTCATTCTTTCTCCTCCACAGATTCAGCTCAAGGCTATTTGATAAGTGAGCCTTAGAGACTGAAGTACTTGCCCAAGGCCATGCAGCAGGGAGGCCAGGTTTGTTCCAAACCCCATGCCCTTTTCTCCATCACAGCAACAGTGACTGGGCTGCCCTACAACAGGGAGAGGGGAGTCACCCCAACCATCCCTTCCTGGCAGCCATGTGTTTCTAGGAGGCAGGAAGATTGATGTGGTCACAGGACCACTAGCCATGGAGTCAGGACACTTGGGCCTAGCTGTATGGCTGCCTCTGATTGGCCATGTCTTCGAAATGGTCCCTTCTCTTCTCTGAGACTCAACTCGCCCCTCGAAAAAATGACAAATTTGGGTCAGGTCATCTTTACAGGCTTCTGACAATACTGGTACAGGATTCCTATCTCCAGGGAGAGCCACCCTCTTCTAGGTGAAGGGAAGACACCTTTGCACATTCTCTGCCAGGGAGGGGTGGGCCAGGCAAAACGTGTTGTGGGTGCAGTCAGAGAAGCGGAGTGGGGAGACGGCGCCACCCGCAGCCACCTTTCACCCTGGGAGCTAGAAACCCCTTTAGAGGAGACAGCAAGACACAAGGAAAGTGGCGAAAGCTTGAGGCCAGCCCCACCTGCTGTGCCTGCCCAAGCACCCAGCCTCAGAGCTTCAGGTGCCTCATTGAAAAGTTGAGTAACTCTACTTCCAGGAGATCTTTTTGTAGAATAAGATAAATACATGAACATCTCTCCTCATAGAACCAAGCACACATCATGAATGGTTTTACTGAAAAGGTTCTTCCTCCACATTCTCGGTATTTGGGATAAATATAAATGTATTCCCCTCTTCACCCCACCCCACCCTTCATCGTTGCTACTCTTGATGGAAGATGGAGGTTAGAGTGGATGCTTTTTGGGAATTTAGTTATTCATTGATTTGTTCATTCAATAAAGACGTATTGGGCACCTACTACATACAGCTGAGTCCTGTGCTAGATACCAGGCATACAGTGTGGACAAGTCAGCCTTCATGGAGCTGATGATACAGTGGGGGTATACAGGCAGTCAGCAAGTGATTAAATAAACGAGATTCTCTCAGACATGATGAAGGAGCTAAACCAGAGAGAAACTGAGTGAGTAGTGAGATTTAAGGGCTTCCTTTAGACAGACAGACGTCCAGGAAAGCCCTCTCTGGAAAGGGATATTTGAGCGAAGATATGACTGATGAGATGGAGCCAGCCATACAAAGAGCTGGGAGACGGGAGCCCCAGGAGGAGGGGGCTTTACGAGAAGACCCCCAAGACTCCAGAGAGGCCCAGTGCTGCCTGGCACCCAGGGTCATTGAGTCGTGGGACATTTATGATGAGATCCCCAAAGAACAGGCCAAGACCAAGCAAACTCTGGTCCACAGGAAATCAAAAGCTCTGATTCCGGCGTCTGTCCTCATCATTTCTGATGTTTGACAACTACTTCCTTTCAATCCTGGGCCCAACCTCCAAGTGCAGAAACCCCGCAGCACGCCAATGAAATTGATTTAGTGTTTGCCGCGCATTCTCTTCTCCAGCCCAGGCAGGAGAGATTTACGGCTCCTGGAAGTGCCAGCCCTCCCTGCTTCCTGTAAATCTCCCACCACATTTAGGGCGGCTGGAGCTATTTGGGTAACCTTTATCTGAACCAGAACTTCCTCGCCAGGAACTTCAGAGGGTACCTCCAGGAAGGACGGGAGAACCCCAGGGGCTGCCTTGTTTTGGGGAGGATTCCAGGCCTGCTGGGGACAGCTGCTCGGCAGGCATCGGGCAGAGAACAGAGTCCTTCTTTGATGCTGTGGCTGCCTTTGTGGGGATGGCGCAAACTCCCAAAGGAGCATTTAGTGTTTATGGAGGGCGTGTGGATAGGCAGCACGCTATTAAGCCTGATATCGGGCCCCTGGAAATAAGCAGGATGGAGAGGATCGTCCGAGGCCAGATGCTCACGGTGAAGTTGAATTCATGCGTGGTGGAAGACAGATCATCACTTTTGAGTCAGACAGGTCTTGCAGATTTTATATTATATTTATATCAATATGTTCAAGGTCTGTTTCCCTGCCTGGAATCTCATCTCCATGAGACCAGGTCTTAGATTACTCTTGGATCTATCCCCAGAACCTAGAACCATGCCTGGCTACATAGCTAGCACTCAATAGGTAACGGGTGAGTGAATAAACAACTGTGGATGTATTCTGGCTCCATCACTTGACCTTGGGCAAGTCATTGCCTCTCCAAGCCTCAGTTTCCTCCTCTGGATGTGGGGAATAATCGTTGTTCAATCAAAACATTAAAGGAGACACTCTGCTGTACCTGTGCAGTAAATGTCATTTCTCTTCTCTTTCCTCTTTGCTGGTCCACTCTGAGACCTGAGAGTAAAGATGAAAGGCCTGTGTGCTGTGGCCCTGAAGCAGCAGGCACAGGGCCTCCAGGGTTTGGGGCACTTCCCATTTTCAGAGGGAGCCATCACCTAGAAGTCACTTAAAATGTGTGGATTGCACAGAGGCAATACAGGGGAGTCCAGAGGGGCCCTTTGCAGTGTCCCATGGCCCAGGGAGGTTGCAGCCTGTCAGGAGACCACATGCCATGGGGAAGGGCACAGCACTCCTGGTTCCAGAACAGGGTCCCTTAATCAGAGTGTTGTCCATAGAAACACTCTGATTAAGCTTTAATCAGAGCTGTTTAGCTGTTTCCCCACTGGACGGTAGGGTCCTTAAAGACAATGTTTGTACCTTCCTCCTCTTTATACCCTTGGCTGCTTTCTCAGAGTCTGAGCATGGTGGTTGCCGGGCTGCTCTCAGGGCTGACACAGGAAGGAGAAAAGCTGGTTGAACCTCCCCCAGTGCCTATACTGACATTTATCTTAAACAGGTTAGCCAGTGGCTGCAATCTCTGGCCAGAAGGAGCAAGCTGAAATTGCTTCAGTAAACAGCTCAGTTGAGGGCAAACCAGGGCCTCATTAAACCACAATTAGAATTTCTGCTCTGGCTTCGAAGGAACTCCATTTGGGACTTGAGACTGTTTATTTGAATAAGACTGTGGCTGGGGCTGTGGGAGGGGCAAGGCGGAGGTGGAGGTGGAGGTCAGGCGGCGGGCGTTGGATCTTTCTGTCATTCTGGACACTTTAATAATGGGAAGACCTTTGACCTGAGCCCTCCCAGATCCCTGGATTCTAGAGCCTAAATAACTATGGGCCGGCAGTTTTGAATCTCCCTCAAATGACTAATTAAATGGGATAAGGTATGTAGCGCACTCGGCACATGGCAAGGACTCAAGAGGTGACCTGTCCCGGCATCTACACCAAAGTTGCAGAAGAAAAGCTCACTTTTCACCAAAACCCTTGTTCAGAGTGTGAAAGGCCATAATATCTTTCATTTGGCCACTATTTTTCCTATTGAAAAGGATACAAGCAAATGAATGAGCAGATCTTTTGTAGCGTGACTGCAAAAGGTTTCAGGTTCTAAATACCATATTTCTTCTAGCATTCCTGCCAAGGTTCAGCCCAGCTCCAGCTCCGGGTTCTCCCATAGCCCTTTGTATTTCTATTCTACCACGTGGTAGTAACAAGAGCTAACGTTTTTCTCAGGGCTTTGCCTGAGAAGCACTTCTTCCGCATCGTTTTCTTGTTCAATTTTCCCAAGAGTCATTTCAGGTCAGCGTTAGTAGCTTTCTCATTTTAGACATGAGAGAAGTGAGATTCAGAGAAAGGAGGTGATTTTGCCCCCTGTGTCCAAGCCAGTAAGGAGCTCTTTGACAGATAATCCATTCAATTAGCAATCATTTATTGAGCACCTACAACATAGGGACACTTGAGATACAAAATGAGGCCGGCCGTGGTGGCTCACGTCTGTAATCCCAGCACTTTGGGAGGCCAAGGCGGTGGATCACTTGAGGTCAGGAGTTCGAGACCAGCCTGGCCAACATGGCAAAACTCCATCTTTACTAAAAATACAAAAATTAGCCAGGCATGGTAGTACATGCCTATAATGTCAGCTACACTGGAGGCTGAGGCGGGAGAATCACTTGAACCTGGGAGGTAGAGGTTGCAGTGAGCCAAGATTGCACCACTGCACTCTGGCCTGGGTGACAGAGTGATACTCTGTCTCAAAAAAAAAAAAAAAAAAAGAATGACACAGTCCTTGCCCTTAATGTGCTTTTGCTGGTGGTTTATTTAACTGCATTTCTGCGGGTCTCTGGCACAGGGTCCAGTTGCTGATATCTGCAGGTTGTACGAAGGGCTGCTTGGCTCCATGAATCAGTAAGTGTTGGGCAGCTTTGACCTCTACCCACATTCTACCTGCATACTGAGAGCACAGCACTCATGATTTTAGGAGCTAAGATCACAGCAGGACAAATTGTATCCACTTCTCTGATGCCTAGGGCTCACACTCAGCCATGCTGAGATTCTAAAGAGGTCCTGGGCCAAATCTGCAGACTGGAGAAGACCTCTACTTCTGCCTGACCCAGGGACCCCAGGCCCGCCCACCCGTGGCTGTAAGAATGGTAGTGAACAATTGTCCTGCGGTTAAGCAGAATCCACTGACAGATTTATTCTATTCTTGGTGAAAAGCAGGCCAGGTTCTCTGAAAGGGTAACGATTGCATACCAGTTGATGTTTTGTGTAGAGAACTAGAAAGTAGGGCTGGAAGGTTGATCAGGAAATCCGTAGCGAACTTTCCTTTTTATAGGTAAGAAAACTGAGGTCAAAAGAGAGTTTGTCCAAGCTCACTTGGCCTGCTATAGAACAAAATATTAGAACATATAATATGGGTTGAAGAGTTGAGCTGGATAGGGAGATAGAGTCTTAACTCTGCCATTAACTTACTGTATGGCCTTGAGCAGTTCTCTCTCCACACTGGAGGTCTTAGTTTTCCTTTTTTTTTTTTTCCTTTTCTTTGTGAAGTCTCTCTCTGTCACCCAGGCTGGAGTACAGTGGCGTGGTCTTGGCTCACTGCAACCTCCACCTCCTGGGTTCAACAGATCCTCCCACCTCAGCCTCCCAAGTAGCTAGGATTACAGGCATGCACCACCATGCCTGGTTAATTTTTGTATTTTTAGTAGAGATGGGATTTTGCCATGTTGCCCAGGCTGGTCTCAAACTCCTGACCTCAAATAATCCACCTGCCTCGGCCTCCCAAAGTGCTGGGATTACAGGTGTGAGCCACCACACCTGGCCGGCCTTAGTTTCATTAGGTACAATGAGAGGTCGTCTCCATAATCCCTCTAGCCCTAAAAGTTAAATGAATCTGGATTTATATTATGTGTGCAAAGACTAGACAATATGGAATAGTATGTGTCTATTGATGGAGTCATGGTATTTACCAGAAGTATAAACTACATGTTCTCCGATGAGGTGTCCTAAGAAAAGGATCCCTTTGTAATGGTGAATTGAACTTAGGTAGGCTTATTGTTTTTCTTTTTAATTTTTTGGAGACAGGGTCTTGCTCTGTTGCCCACACTGGAGTGCAGTACTGTGATCGTAGCTCACTGTAAACTTGAACTCCTGGTCTCAAGAGGTCTTCTCAACTCAGCCTCCCAAGTAGCTGGGATTACAAGCACGCACCACCAGGCCCAGCTAATTTATTTTTTGTAGACATGGGGGTCTTGTTTTGTTGTCCAGACTGATCTCGAACTCCTGGCCTCAAGTGATCCTCCCATCTCAGCTTCCCAAAAAGGCCCTGGGATTATAGGCACAAGACCCCATATCTGGCCAAGGCAGGCTTTTAAAATGCCTTCTGCCATAGAATGGGCCTGGTCAATACCAGGCTTTCAGTAAATGTTTGTTGAATGAATGAAGTGAACTGCAGGCTTAGGTTCTGCTGAGGCCCATATGTTGAAAAGTCAGATGGATGTTAGCTGATCCAGCGAATGTGGATCAGTGGCCGCCCGTGAGTGAGGAAATGAATGGTCACATGGGTGGATGAATCAATGAATGGGGAGGGCACACTCCTGACACCCTGACCTGAGTGACTCCCTTGGGAACTTTCCTTCTGAGGAGTTCCTGGGGTCCATGCTCAGAGCAGCCCAAGGTAGGCTAGCATGCCAAGTCCCACGGCCATGCCAGGGCCCCCACCATGCTCACGCCCTCCAGACCAGAGGCCTCTGCAACTCTTGCCCACAATCCTCCCTGAGAATGCCCCAGGGAGAGGTTATGAGAGACCCTGAGTGGAAGGTGAAGGTTGAGGGCAACTGTGCACAGGAGGAAACACAGACTTGACAAGTTCTGTCCCACAGCTATCCCAGGAAGGGTGCTCACCTGCCGGCTCCACCTCTTACTTCTCTGGGGTCCCGTGGAAATTCTTCCTTCCCTCTGCCCTCGTCCTCACCTTGCTCTGCTTCATTGTACACCTGTGTGAATGTTGGCCTCCCTCACTGACCTGAGCAGGTGCTGGGTCTGATGATCTCCGCACCTTGCCTAGCCCAGGGCCTGGCGTGCAGGAGGCTTCAGTCATGAAATGAATGCGTGAGTGACATGGACTCCGCCGTCTACAGCTAGTGGATCTGGCTTCCTGGAACTCAAAGCACATTGAGTAAAGACATGTTGCCTTCAGTTGTCGATAATTTTTCTTCTAAATAGGAATAACATATTTCATCCTACTGTTAGTAAACAGTTTTCAGTTTTTAATAGCAATACTTTCCTTAGCAACGAATGCTTCTATTTGTATAATCCTTTGTGGATTTTAATGTTTTATCCTGATTGTCTCACTTTCATTCTCATAGCATCCCTGGTAGAGAGAGGGGATAGAGACCATAATCTTCCAGTTAGGGGAGAAACCGACGCTTATAGAAGTCAAGTGACTTGTCCAAGATCATGCTGAGGCCCAGGGCAGTGCTAGGATCAGCCCAGCTTTCCTGATTCCTGGCCCTGGGCTCTTGCAAAGCTATGATTTTCTGCTTTTACCTACCCCCGTGGCCATGCTGGAAACAAACAAACAAACAAACAAACAAACAAAAACTAGAAGCAAAGAATGGTTTGATTGAAGAATGTTTAAAAAGAATAATGTTCTTAATTAATAACGAAAGCAAAAGCACCCTTTTAGTGGGTTCATAAA
The DNA here is from genome assembly GCF_000001405.40 of Homo sapiens. Taxonomy (NCBI): domain Eukaryota; kingdom Metazoa; phylum Chordata; class Mammalia; order Primates; family Hominidae; genus Homo; species Homo sapiens. The sequence continues at coordinate 15,823,901 of NC_000002.12, forward strand.
CAGCAAGCTTAAACCTAATTGATTAAAATACCCTGGTACCAAGTTAACAGTGACTTCAAAAACAACGAAATCCAGACAAGACCATAATAAAAGTGTTTTCCCAGTTTTTAATTATCTTTGTTTTGTCTCAAATTTGCCTGTGACTCTTCTGTCTGGCTGAGCAGGTCACACCTGCCATTTTGACATGAGTGGGAAAGCGGTGTGGGGTGGGGAAAGGCCAGAGAGTTTAATCTGCCCCTTACTAGCTTGTTTGAAGCTTACTGACTTCAAAATAAGCACTCAATAGCTCTAGGCCTCAGCTTCCTTGCCTTTAAAATGGGCTTGCATGTAGATAAAACAGCTGCCATAGTGTCTGGCACATAGCAGATGTTCAATAAATGGACATTTGCTTCTTCTTTCTGCGTAAGATGCTTAAAGGACCTTAAAGACTCTTTAAACACAGAATGAGAGGTCACACTGCCCGGAGGTAGGAGCCTGATCACGAGATTTCTTTTTTTTATTTCTTTTTTGTTTTTTGAGACAGAGTCTCGCTCTGTTGCCAGGCAGGAGTGCAATGGTACAATCTCGGCTCACTGCAACCTTTGCCTCCCAGGTTCAAGCAATTGTCCTGCCTCAGCCTCCCAAGTAGCTGGGATTAGAAGTGCCTGCCATCATGCCTGGCTATTTTTTTGTGTTTTTATCAGAGACAAGGGTTTCACCATGTTGGCCAGGCTGGTCTTGAACTCCTGACCTCAGGTGATCCGCCTGCCTCCGCCTCCCAAAGTGTTGGGATTACCAGCGTGAACCACCGTGCCTGGCCTTTTATAGCCAGATTGCTACGACCCAAGTTACTTGCCTCATGCAGGACTTTTGAAATCGGATCCTCTGTATTTGGTGTGGCATCAGGCATGTCATCCAGTCTCTCTGAGCCTCAGTTTTCTCATCTGCAAAACGAAGATCACAATACTGATGTGTGTGATTTGTTGGGATTGAACGAGATCCTATGGAAAGCCCTGGAGTTCAGAGCATGCTAATAGCTATTACTATTCCATGAGCTGGAGGAAAGAGAGCTTAGAAGCATGCGTCAGAAGACACATGTTTAAGCCCCAACTCTGCCACTCACAGGCGTCTAAGTCTGCTGCTTGAGCTTTGTTCCCATCTCAATAATGGGGAGAATGACTCCTTGCCTGCCTGCCTGCAGTGTACCTTCAGAAGCCCACAAGATAATTGATGGTCTTCACCTTGGCCACACCGTACAGTTACTCAAGGAGCTTTAAAAATGACCTCATGCCAGGGAACAATCTCCAATTAACTTAATCTGGATTTGCCAAGCTGGGACTCGAGCGGGGGTGTATTAAAAACTCCCAGGTGAGTGTATGATGTTGCCAGCTTGCCAATCACTGAGTTAAAGATGCAGTTTGTTTTCTAAATCAGAGCCCTGCGTACATGAAGGGGTCAGGCAGGAGGGCTCCCCTCTAGCTCCTGGTGGGAAGGAGATTTCTCGGGGGTCACCCTTCCTTCCTCTGCTGGGTCAGAAGGCATCAGTGTCTTTGATTCCCTGTCAACACTTCCCAGGATCCCTGGTCCATCTGAAGAGGGGAACGGTGCCGGCAGTAACCAAGGGTGTGCTGATTTTAACCTTTAAAAAAACAAGCTTTATTGTGAAGACCAAAAGGTCTTATAAACCTTAATGAGCGGCATATGTGAAACACATACACGAATTGCTTGTTTGAAAAATATTTCCCAGCTAGCCTTCAATAGCATAGCCTTATTATTCTAAACGGGGAGCTTGTCTTACCAGAGGACTGAACAAAACCCCAGTTGGAGATAATTATCTTAGCAGAATTCCCTGTGGGTCCCTGGAGAGGGGCTGGGGGCTGGAAGTGGCTCAAACATATGTGCTAACTTAGGTTGCCTTTGTGTACACAACAAACTCAAGAGCTGGGCTTTCGGCTGCTGCGAGGAGAATTCCGGCTTCTGAAATGGTGACCTCAACATTCGTTTCGGGGATGGCAAATAGGTTTGTCTCCATGGGAGGGGGCAGGAGGTGGGAAGGCCAGGGATGGAAGACACGTGTCCAAACTCTTGTTACAGGCAGGAGCTGCGAGGTGCAGTGGGGAGTGTAGGAGGAACTGTGTGGGGCAGGCGGGGGAAACGGTTGGACCAGAAATCCAAAGACTGGGGCCATACCAGTCAATTCAGGGCTGGGTATGTGACTTTGAGCAAATCACTCTTCCTGTCTAGGGCTCAATTTCTCCATGTGTGAAAAGGGGTCACTGTGGTAATTCGAGGAGATGACAAACGTAGAGGAAGAATTAGTCCAATGTCTTCAGATGGAAAGCAATCTCTGTTCCAGTAAATGAGAACCTATGGCCCTCCCGGTGGGTAGCTACCTCACACACAGCCCACTTTCACCTAGAAAGATGAGGCGGGAGACCCGCCCTGAAGCAGGATTTTCAGGTTCTCAGCGTCCCCGCTTCCGGGGACTGTTTAGCTGCCATTATTTGGATGGTTTGGGCTGTCAGCCCTCTGGGCCTGGCACCCAGATGTTCAGGGCCAGTGGGCCAGTGGGCTTCAATTAGCTGTGTAATTGGTTCAATTCCCAACTGCTTACTACCCCTTAATTATCTCCCTGCTGCTTCCATTCCTGAGCTCAGGAATACCACACCCCTCCCCTTTTCCCAGCCCGGAAGCCATGGGAGGAGCTTCAGTGGGATTTGTCCCACAGCTGCAGGCAGCCCAGGGAGAGGTGGACAGGCTCCGTCAGGCCCAGCGCACCTTTGATCCCTGTCTCCTAGAGTTCCTCCAGGAGGCTGAGGAGGAGCTTGGTTGTGACTGTGTAAGGGAGGAGGGAGTGCGTCCATGACTTTTCAGGCTTTGAGAGTGAAACCAACCAAACCAGGGATCTGGAGTAGGACTTCAGGGCTGCATTACCTTGTGCAAATGATTTTACTTCTCCCAGCCTCAATGTTCTCATCTGTAAAACGAGGCAATAAGGCCTCTCCAGAAAAGTGGCTGTTAGGGTTAAGCTAGCTAATTCTAGAAAGCACATACATAGTAATCGTGCCTGGCACCTAGGTGTGCTCTATAATAGCCCACTTTTCCTCCTGCTTCCTGAGTCCTTTCATCAGCAATAACTCTGCATGCCAGCGAGGCAGCTAATTAAAGTGGGAAGAGGCTCAGAGCAGGGGTTACCAGCTTGCTTTGGGACCATGGGCGGTTAAGCCCCATCCATGCTTTGAGCCTCAGTTTCCCCATTTGTAAAATGTTGCTCCTAAGGACCCTTCCATCCTCCAACATTCTGTGAGGGGAGAAAAAGAAACATCCTCCAAGCCCTAGGCATGTTCTAGCCCAGGCACAGCCCTGGGTCCAGCTCCTCTCCTTGCCTCCAGCACATGCACCCTGCCTGTTTTCCCACCAAGGTAAACAGAGTCATTAATACTTTATCTTAATTGCCACTAATGATGGTAAATTTGCCTCATTACGTAAAACGGGGCTTTCTGGTCTAATTTGTTTCCTGAGCGGAGCTGGAACATTTAAAATTTCAACTAATTCCAGCTTTGCAGCTGAACCTAATTGGTCAATTGTGGGTTACTAATGGTGGATTTGACTCCTCCTAGAATAGGCTTTTGGGGACAAATAAGAGACAGGATTAAAGAGAAAGAAAAGCCACACAGATCAGAGCAAAACTAGTGAAAAAGAAGTACTAGAGAATGAGTCCCTCTGACCCCTTAATTACTCCATTTAATTTTTGTATTGCCATGTTCACAGATTTTCCTAAGTATCCTTTTTTTTTGAGACAGGATCTTACTGTGCCCAGGCTGGAGTGCAGTTGCATGATCATGGCTCACCACAGCCTCAAACTCACAGGATCAAGTGATCCTCCAACCTCCGCCTCCAGAGTAGCTGGGACTACGGGTGCACACCACCATGCCCTACTAATTTTTTATTTTTTGTAGAGATGGGGTTTCCCCATGTTGCCCAGGCTGAACTCAAACTCCTGGCCTCAACTGATCTGCCCACCTAGGCCTCCCAAAGTGCTGGGATTACAGGCATGAGCCACCATGCCTGGCCCAGTATTCATTTCTTTTTTTGTTTTCATAAAGTATTTTAAGTTTAGACTCCATCAACTTGGCCCTTTTATAACATTTATTAAAAGATTCGGAGTTGGTTTTACCTTCTATTCATCATCTTACCATGTTTTATTTATTGATTTATTTATTGATTGATTCTATATTGAAATATTTTTATTTTTTTAAACTACAATTTTGTTTTGAATTTCTTGACAATATTATCTGATCATAACACTCAACTTTTCTTTTTAAAATGTCTTCCTTTAAAAAAACTTCAATAGGCCGGGTGCTGTGGCTCATGCCTGTAATCCCAGGACTTTGGGAGGCCAAGGTGGTTTGTTCACTTGAGGTCAGGAGTTCGAGACCAGCCTGGCCAACATGGTGAAACCCCGTCTCTACTAAAAATACAAAAATTACCTGGGTGTGGTGGTGCACTCCTGTAATCCCAGCTACTTGGGAGGCTGAGGTAGGAGAATCACTTGAACCTGGGAGATGGAGGTTGTAATGAGCTGAGATCGTGCCACTGCACTCCAGCCTGGCTGACAGAGTGAGACTCAATCTAAAAACAAAACAAAACAAAACAAAACAAAACTTTGATAAATGGCTTTGAGGCCTGTGGTAGGGCCTAAATAACAAACGCATACATACGTGTATTTTCTTCAAGATCCAAAGGCTAGTTTACTGGGCTCTGGTGTTTGGGAATTTTAATTGAAAATACTGTGATGATCCTAGCCATGCTAATTGTGTAGGTATCTTGGCAGGACCGAGATGGTGTCCCCTCTTGTCTCCTGCTCATGGGACCCACACCCAGCAGGACTCAAGAATCAAGCAAGTCAATACGGAAGGACATTTTTATATATGCTCTTGACCAGGTAAGTTTGACCCTGATGGGTAAATTTGCAACCTGTCTTTGCCTTTTCTTTCCCATTTTTTAGGAGATAAACGCATTCCTGTCCATTTTTCCATTTAATCCTCACAACCACTTTGTGAGTTTGAAGCAAGAAAATGGTTCAGATCCCACTTTACAGACGGAGAAAGTGAGACTCATATTGACTTCCTCAAGGTTTCTCCTAGACTTCAATGCAGCTCTTCTGGGTCCCAGAATCCAGTGAGCATCCACTGCTCTGCCAACCCTGACAGGTGTCAGGTGAGAAAAGTCCACCCAGGAAGGGAAGCAGTGGTAGAAGTAGGTCCCGGGCCTACATCAGCTCTCTTAGGCCCCTGCCTCACTCCCTCAGCCTCTTTGGCCACTCTGTTAGTCAGGGTTCTCTGGAGAAACAGAGCCAACAGGATATATACAGATATACCAGAGGAGGTTTATTATGGGAACTGGCTGACATGGTGATGGAGGCCAAGAAGTCCTACGATTTTGCCATCTGCAAGTTGGGGAAGAATGCTGGTGGTGTCATTCGATCTGAGTTCAAACACCTGAGATCAGGGGGCAGGAGGAGCACTGGTGTAAATCCCAGAGTCCAAAGGCCCCAAACAAGGAAATCCAAGGTCTGAGAGCAGGACAAGATGGATGTCCCAGCTCAAGCAGAGAGAGAGAGAAAGAGAAAGAGAAAGAGAGAGAGAGAATGTGACCTTCCTCTGCCTTTTATCCTGTCTGGGCCCTCCATGGATTGGATGATGTCCACTGCCCGTAGTGATGGGGCAGATTTTCTTTACTCAGTCTACTGATTCAAATGCTAATCTCGGCCTGGTGGTGGCTCATGCCTATAATCCCAGCACTCAGTACTTTGGGAGGCTGAAGCGTGTAGATCACCTGAGGCCAGGAGTTCGAGACCAGCCTGGCCAACATGGCAAACCCCCATCTCTACTAAAAATAAAAAAATTAACTGAGCTTGGTGGCGCACATCTGTAGTCCCAGCTACTTGGGAGGCTAAGGCAGGAGAATCGCTTGAACACAGAAGGTGGAGGTTGCAGTGAGCCGAGATCATGCCACTGCACTCTAGCCTGGGCAATAGGCCCAGACTGTCTCAAAATAATAATAATAATAAATAATAAAAATGCTAATCTCTTCCAGAAACATCTTCACAGGCACACCCAGAGTAATGTTCTACCATCTATCTGGGCAGCCCTTAACCCAGTCAAGTTGATGCCTAAAATTAACCATGAGAGTCATTCTCTGAAAAATGGATAACAGGATTATGAGTTATTCCAGATGAGGTCTGTTATGAACTGAGTTGTGCCCCCTCCCCACAAAATTCACATGTTGAAGACCCGTGATGGTTAATTTTAGGTGTCAGCTTGACTGGATTAGGGAGTACTAGGGAACTGGTAGAGTAGTACATCTGTGTGTGCCTGTGAGGGCTTCCAGAGGAGGCTGGCACATGAGTCAGTGGACTGAGTGGGGAAGATTGGCCCTCAATAGGGATGGGCACCGTCCAATCAGCTGTTGGCCTTGATGGAACAAAAAGAAGAGAAGAGGATTTCCTCTCTTTCCTGGAGCTGGGACATTCTCCTCCTGCCCCTTTGGACATCAGAACTCCAGGCTCTCTGGCCTTGGACTCCAGGACTTCCACCAGCAGTCCCGTGGGTTCTCAGGCCTTCGGACTCACACTGAGAATGACACTGTTGGTTTTCTTGGTTCTGAGGTTTTTGGAATTGGACTGAGCCATGCTACCAGCATACCAGGGTCTCCAGCTTGCAGACAGCTGCTTGTGGGAATCTCAGCCTCCATAATTGAATGAGCCAATCCCCCTAATAAATCCCCTCTAGTATATATTAGAAGCTTATGCAATTGTGGAGGCTGAGAATCCCACAAGAGGCTGTCTGCAAGCTGGAGACCCTGGGATGCTGGTAGTATGACTCAGTACAATTCCAAAAACCTCAGAACCAATAAAGCCTATATATATATATCTATATATCTCCTGTCGGTTGTGTCTCTCTAAAGGACCCTGACTAAGTAAGCCCTAGCACCTGATGCGATTGTATTTGGAGATAAGACCTTTAAAGAGGTAATTAAGATTAAAAAAGATGATAAGGAAAGATTATAAGGGTGGGGCCTTAATCTTATATGACTGGTGCCCTTATAAATGGAGGAAGAGATACCAGGGATGTACCTGCACAGACAAAAGGCCACATGAAGAGACAGACAGAAGGTGGCCATCTGTAAGCCAAGGAGAAAGGCCTCAGGAGAAACCATCCCTGTGAGCACCTTGGATCTTGGACTTTGAGCTCCAGAACTGTGAGAAATAAACTTCTGTGTTTAAGCTACCTGTGTGTGGTATTTGTTACAGTGGCCCTAGCAGACTAACAGAGGGCCCGGGTATGGTCACCTCTGCATCCCTCTCCCCTGACAATTACATGGCTCAAAACACCAAAGGCTTTCCCTCCTTAGAGCACATTAGTGCCTGCCTGAGAGCAAAGCCATAGCAGAAACAGTGCTGCCCTTAGGGTATGAAGGGCCCTGGGCAAATATTGTTTTGCCAAGGCCCTGTCTATCTAAACAATTTGAGTGAGAAATAATTGATAAAATTCATGGGCCCATGTGAGTTACAGCTGACTGCTATCATTTGCAGTAGTTCTGTTCTAGCAAGTCACCACAAACATTGAAAACCATTGCTCCTTGGCAAAGTTCTGGGTTGGGTTTCTGTGAACCTGTGGTCACAATTTTTTTTTTTTTTTTTTTGAGACAAGAGTCTTGCTCTGTCACCCAGGCTGGAGTGCAATGGCACAATCTCGGCTCACTGCAACGTCCGCCTCCTAGGTTCAGGCAATTCTCCTGTCTCAGCCTCCCAAGTAGCCGGATTACAGGCATGTGCCACCACTCCTGGCTAATTTTTGTATTTTTAGTAGAGACAAGGTTTCACCATGTTGGCCAGGCTGGTCTCAAACTCCTGACCTCAAGTGATCCACCCCCCACCTCGGCCTCCCAAAGTGCTGGGATTACAGGCGTGCGCCACTGTGCCTGGCCCTCTGGTCACATTTTCATCAACTGGTCAACACACAACCTTGTTTGAGGTGTGTTTCTGTTTAAAGACACCTTATTTAATATATATTGCTGACCCCTTACCATTGAACTCATGGCCAACAGTACTATAACTCATGCCTGAGCAAAGCTTCTGTAGCACATGTATTTCCTCTGTAAGGCGCATCACAGCCTCCTTGAACTTAGGAACAGTAGACAGCACTTCAGCGCTATGCTTGGGGGGCATTTTAAACAGCCAAATCACAAAAGTGCACAGAATGTGGTAATAGTCAGACCACAGAGAGGATACTTGTTTGCAGTCTGAGAGCTGAAACAACAGGCAGAGCATGTCCTCACCTCCCTGACCTCAGCTGCAACTTGCAGGTTGGCTGACTCAAAATTTTCACCACTCTCTGCATATCTTCAAATGACTGCAAAAGCACTGTAAGTATTGATTTTGGGGTCACACATAAATCTTAGGAAGTAGGTGAATTTGCGAATCTAGAATCTGAAAATAATAAAGATCGACTGTATAGTAGACCATTTAGAGCAGCATTCCTAAGTACAAGGAGGTCAGGGTGTCGCAGTAGTCCAGGCAAGAGGTTACAGAGCTCGCATCTTTTGGTGGAAACGTAAATCAGGAGGCATCCTTTGGAAAGCATTTGGTAGTAATCCTCGAAGCTAAATATACATATGCCCTATGCCCAGCAGTTCCTCCCCTGGTCATATAGTTAGTAAAAATCAGTGCTTATGCTTGCCAAAGGAGGTATACAAAAATGTTCATAGCCTCATAATACATAGTAGTCAAAAACTGGGAAGCTACTCAAGTGTCCATCAACAGTAGATTGGGTAAATCAATTATGGCATATTAATACAACGGTATACAAGATAACAGTGAAAAATGCTACATGTAACAACATGGATTAATTTCTCAGATTCTATGCTGAGCAAAGAAGCTGGCACAAAAAAGTACACACCGTACTGTATCATTTGCATGAGGGCCCCAAACAGGCCAAACTAATATATCCTGGTGAAGGTCAGATGCAGGTTACCTTTGGTGAGGTATGGGTTGGGAACAAGCACAAGGGAACCTTCTGGGAGTACTGGACATGTTGAGTCTCGATTTGGGTGTGGTTACATGGGCATCTACATATGCAAAAACTCTCCGAGCTGTACATCTAAGATTTGTATACCTTCTGTATGTAGGATATGTGTCAATTTAAAAACCTAGAAGATGTGTGTGTTTATGTATGTGGGAGGGAAGGAGAGGAGGGAGAGAGAGAAAGTTGGAGGAGGGTGGTGGATTAGATTGGTGGCGATGGAATTGTGAGCCATCAACTAACTGAACTAATTGGAGAGATGTTTGGGCACCAGAGAGCCTAACTCTAACCACACAAAATAGGTCTCACTGCCCTCATTTTTGAAAGGAGGAAACTGAGGCTCAGAGACAGCAAATGGTGGAGTAGGGATTTGAACTCCCTCTGCTAGATTCCGAGGCTGGAAGCACCCACTCCTTTCTGAGGCCACATGCTCCTGGAATGTGACCCCATCCTCTTTTCCGGAGGCGAAGCTACTGACCCATCTGGGTTGGTGGTCATCATCCTGCTCCCCTGGCCAGGGAGTGGGTTAGAGTCTGACAGGGGACCAAGATCATCTCCATCGATTGTGAAGAGAAGTCAGCTGGGGGCTTCTGAGAAAGTTGTCCTTCACCATCAAAGGAGCCACAAGGAATACACACTTATCATCTGTCCGGGGGCATTGCTGTGTCTGGACGTGCTGGTTGGAAGTGCAGCTGCCATCTCTAGAGCACAGAGGGGACTAGCTAAAGTTGATTGACACTCTGAGGTTTGTGTTTTAAGCTGTTAAATTCAGGGCCACAAAATTGTCACTTAGCAATAGATAATCAATACAATTCTTAACCAATAGTGGTCAGGAATAAATGCCCTGGCCTTCCATGCTTTGGAAGGACACTTCTGCCAGTTATTCAGAGAGTTCCCAGTGCAACTGAGCCCTGGGTGCCATAGTGAAAACCAGTGCGATGACACACCCATTTTGGACTTTCCCTCTGACCCTTTCTTTTTTTCAGATTTCCAGGACCATTTCTCAGAATAATCTCATCAGAAGTGACGAGATTATTTCTCAGCAGCCGAAGGCTAGGCTGATCATTTCTCAGCAGCTGAAGGCTAGGCTGCCACTGGCCCCAGAATTCACCACAGGACAGAACTTAGAGAGGCTAGTGGCCCCTTGACCTCTCTTGCATCCACTCCCTAGCCTGGGCATGTCAGAGGCTGCACCCTGGTGTGGACTTGCTATGGAGGCAAAGGCTTAGAGCCTGGACCAGCATCTGTGGGCAAGGACTGAGCCTGGAAGGTTTTGCTCTTGACATTGTACACCCTCATTCCCACCCCTCCCACCTGCTGCCCACATTCAAGGTTTTTGACACGAGTGTACTCCTGCTTAGTTCCTTTTGTGGGGCCGCATTTGGGGTGCTTTGCCCTCCCTACTGAGAGTGAGGGGCCCCGGGATCTTCCCAATCCTCTCTCCCCAGTGGCCCTGTTTCCTATTTCCTTGCTTGGCCTCTGTATTTGCCCATTTCCACGCTGCTGATAAAGACATATCCAAAACTGGGCAATTTACAAACGAAAGAGTTTAATGGAGAACTCACAGTTTCAAGTGCCTGGGGAAGCCTCACAATCATGGTGGAAGGTGAGGAGGAGCAAGTCACATCTTACGTGGATGGCAGCAGGCAAAGAGGGAGCGTGTGAAAGGCAACTCCCGTTTATAAAACCATCAGATCTCGTGAGACCCATTCACTATTATAAGAACAGCACAGGAAAGACTCACCCCTATGATTCAATCATCTCCCTCCAGGTCTCTCCCACAACATGTGGGAATTATGGGAGCTATGAGATGAGATTTGGGTGGGGACACAGAGCCAAACCATATCAGCCTCTGTCCTTCACTGACTTCCTCTTCCTTACCCAGTGAGCCCTGGCTCCCCAGGAACTCACCCTGGGGTCAGGGCAGGGAGGAGGGGGCCCATCTACTGCTCTTCCCAGTCCTTGGCAGCTGGCCTAGGTGGGTAGACTACAGAAGGGACTGGTTAGGAGTCTGCACTGCTCTGGCTTTCCTCCCCTTGGTTAATAAACACAAATACTTGTTTCTCAAAATAAATAACATAAAAAAAGAAACAACATGCACTCAAATCCTTGTCTCAGGCTCTGCTTTGAGAGGAGTCCAAACTTAGACAGGGCACTGCATAAATAAAGGCTTATAAGCCAGAACTGAAAAACTGCATGAGGGGAAGAGGAGACAGAACTGGCTGGCATGAAAGCTTGAAGGACAGGTAGCCCCGAAGCTCCAGATTCCTGCTCTCCCCTTGTATCCATTTCCTAGGGCTGCTCAATGGCGTACCATGAACTGGGTGCCTTAGAACACGGAGGTTTGTCCTCCCAGAGTTCTGCATGCTGGGAGTTTGCAGTCGAGGTGTCAGCAAAGCCATGTCAGCTCTGAGGCTCTGGGAAGAATCTTCCTTGCCTCTCCCCAGCTTCTGGAGGTGCCAGCAGCCTGGCATCCCTTGGCTTGCAGCTGCACCACCGTGGTCGCTGCCTCTGCCCTCACCTGACGTTCTCACTTGGTGTATCTATCTGCATCTCTGTTTTCCCTTCTTATATAGACACCAGTCACCATATTAGGTTAGGGCCCATGCTAATTGAACATGACCTCATCTTAACTTGATTTCATGTGTAAGACTGATTCCAAGTAGGGTCACATTCTGAGGTTGACAGGAATTTTGGGTGGACACTCATCAACCTAGTATATACCTACTTAAAACTAAACAAATCCTCAGCTTACTTGAAGGGGCTGGATGCCACGTGGCCCACATCTCCAGCGTGGGGTGGACGGTGTCGGGAGAGATGGAAAGGTGTGCCCTAGCTCTCTGACCAACTTGCTGTATTCAGAAGCTCACTCTGCCTCCCTGGCTTCAGTTCTCCAATCTGAATGGGATGAGTTGGACTCCCTGTTCTACACGTGGTGAGGATGCGATGGAGAAGGACCATACGAGGTGAGGAAATGGCCAAGGTGATCTCCAAGCCACCTCCCATTCAGCTAACCTGGGACTCAGCATTTCACCCTCACATCTTGGGTTGCCTGCTAGACCTGGTTTGTGAACCTCATCAAAATCTGGGCCGCACGTGCTCTTGGGCCTGGGGATGGGGCTGACTGTGGCACGAGGATCTGCTCATCCTTCTGCCATGTCGCTCAGAGATGGAAGGGAGGGGCAGGTTTCTCACTTTCGAAAGTGACAGCATCATTTCCTAATTATCACATTTGGAGGAACAGATGGAAAAGCATGTGGAGGAATTATGGGCTTCTTTAAAAGGGGGGGCATGTTTTCTAAAGAAAGTTGCCACGGAACATTTCCACCCAGTTGTCCTGAAAGCATTTGGGATTTGCAAGGCATTTAGTAAATAGGATGCTTTTTTACAGATGAGGAAACAGAAGTGGGTCAGGGGAGGCAGGATGATTATTTATTGAACACCTGCAGTGTGCCAAGCATCCTACAATATTAGTGGCTGAATATTTACAGCCACCCTGTGAGGTAGGTGTTATGATCTAAATTTCAAAAGCAAGAAAATGGAGGCTCCGCTGTTGAGAAGTGGAGCTGGGATTTGAACCCAGGACCATCGGCCCCCAAAGACCCCTTCAGGGTTTGCCACAGGGAGGTGAATGCACCCTGGGCCCTGCCCCGCTTGTGCCCCTGGACTGGTGCTCACAAGGTCCTAAAAAGCCCTGACATAGTTCCTCACAAAGTTAAAGATAAAATTTCCATCTGACCCAGCAATTTTACTCCTAGATCTACACCCAGAAGAAGTGAAAGCAGGGACTCAAACAGATACTGGTATAGCAACATCCATAGCGACATCATTCACAAGAGCCAAAAGGTGGAAGCGAGCCAAGCGCCCATTGGCAGATGAGGGGATGGGCAAGGTGTGGTATACATATACGTATAATGGGGTAGAACAATGAGGTGCTGATACACGCTGCAACATCTGCGTGGTAAACCTTGAAGACATTACGCTAAGTGAAAGAAGCCAGACACAAAAGAACAAATATTGTGATTCCACTTCTGTGAGTACTTTCTGTCAGATTCTTAGACAGAAAGTAGAATGTTGGTTGCCAGGGGCTGGAGGGAGGGAGGGAATGGGGAGTGAATGTTTAATGGGTACAGAGTTTCACTTTGAGATAAAAACCTGCTAGAAATAAATAGTGGAGATATTTGTACACAGAATGTACTCACTGCCACTGAATTTTTCACTTAAAAATGGCTAAAATGGGCTAGCATGGTGGCTCACACCTGTAATCCCAGCACTTGGGGGGGCTGAGGCAGGAGGATCGCTTGAGCCCAGGAGTTCGAGACCAGCATAGGCAACAAAGTGAGACCCTCGTCTCTGCAAAACAAACAAACAGGCAGACATGTTAAAATGGTGAATTTTTATGTTATGTACATTTTACCACAATGTTTTTGAAAGAATGTGGAGCAACTGCAACTCTCATGTTTCATTGTTGGGGCAAAGCAAAATGGTGCAGCCACTTCGGAAAACAGCGGGCAGTTTCCTTTAAAGTTAAACCCTGGGCAGGCCAGATTCCTTGCAGAGCCTTGTGGGAGATTGGGCTAAGGACAGGTGAATTCAGAAGCCCGTATCTGGGCCTGAAGCTTCTTGGAAGGAGTGAAAATTAGCTGGTCTTGAAGGAGGTGTGGATTTCATTGGCAGTTTTGGAGAAAGAAGGGCATCCCAGGGCCCTACAGAAGAGGCAGTCTGAGCCGAGTCTCAGAGTCAGGAGAGTGCAGGCCTGAAGATGGGTGTGCAAGATCTGCGGGGGTGCAGTGTGTGTGCAGGGCTGGGCATAGTCCATGTGGCTGGAGCCACAGGGCAGCACAATGGGGGATGAGGCCGAGAGGTAGACTGAAGGACTTTGAGTGCTGGATTGAGATCAGCACATTAACCAGAAAGTGCCTGTCTCCACCTGCAGTTGAACACAGGGGTACCAGCCGCATTGCATTACACAGAGACCCCTCCCCCAACAGAAATGGACATAAAGAATCGAAGCACTTAGGAATCCCACGTGATAGCGCTGATGGCCCTCCACCCTGTCCTCACTACCACCTGGTCTCATTGCCCTGAAATAGGTGTATGAGGCTCGCCGTGCACCTCCCTTTACTTCCAGAGGCCTCTGCTGCCAAGACTGGTTCAAAGTCCTGCCATAAAGACAGACTGGCAGCCAGGCACGGTGGCTCACACCTGTAATCCTAGCACTTTGGGAGGCTCAGGCAGGTGGATCACTTGAGGTCAGGAGTTCGAGACCAGCCTGGCCAACATGGTGAAACCCCATCTCTACTAACAATACAAAAAAATTAGCCAGGCATAGTGGCACATGCCTGTAATCCCAGCTGCTTGGGAGGCTGAGGCAGGAGAATTGCTTGAACCCAGGAGG